>NC_000014.9:30217773-30520803 GCF_000001405.40 Homo sapiens
TCTAGCAAGTGGTCTTCTTTTGTTTTTTTGTGTGTGTTTGTTTGTTTTTTGAGACAGAGTCTTGCTCTGTCACCCAGGCTGGAGTGCAGTGGTGCGATCTCACCTCACTGCAACCTCCGCCTCCCAGGCTCAAGCAATTCTCATTCCTCAGCCTCCTGAGTAGCCACGGATGTTCTTTATGAGCTTAAAATGGATGGATAATTGGCCCCTGTGCAAGGGCTTAAGTTGCCTAATGCTCCTGTATCTATCACAGGCCCAAACCTGGCCATGAGTATTTATTCCTCTATCCTCCAAAGCTAAAAGCAATAATGGGAGAGAACATCCCAGCACCTTGGGAGGCCATTGTGGGCAGATCACTTGAGGTGTTTGAGGCCAGGAGTTTGAGACTGGCCTGGCCAACATAGCAAAACCCTGTCTCTAATAAAAAGTACCAAAATTAGCCAGATGTGGTGGCGCATACTTGTAGTCCCAGCTACTCAGGAGGCTGAGGCATGAGAATTGGCCAGGGGTATTCTTTATGAGCTTCAAATGGATGGGTAATTGGGCCCCTATGCAAGGGCTTAAATTACCTAGGAATGAGTATTTATTCCTCTATCCTCCAAAGCTAGTAGCAAAGTAATAGGAGAGAACATGGACAAGGGGGCTCTAACAGCATGATCATCAGCTTTATCAAGAGTGTGTTTTGTATTTCTTCCAAGAAAGTTTCTTGCAGATAGCTAATTTATTTTTTACCCTATCATATTCCAGCAGGTCTGTAACTAGAGTGGTACCCTGTACCCCATAATTGCTCCGTGTTAACAGTTCACAGATGAGTAACTTGTCCCTGGCAATTCAAAAAAGGCTACTGTAGTTTGAGATGATAGATATCCTTTTTCTCTAATAGAAAAAAAAGATGTGTGGGTAGGGAGGGAACATTATAAAAAAAAATTTTTTTTCATGTCATTTATTTGTTTACTTGTTTATTGCCTACCTCTCTCACCTCATTCTCATTAGAATGTTGGCTCCATGAGAGCCAGGACACTGCTTCTATTCATTGATGTTGTCCCAGTACTTTGCACATTGATTGGCACACAAATATTCAATAAATAATTATTAAGTAGACAATTATTTTTCCACCAGAGAAAGAGGGTCCCTTTGGACTAACAGTCCCAAAAAGGAATGGTTTGGTCCATTCCAAAACAGCTTTGTGATTAGCTATGTTTTTCTCTGGGCCTTTTACTGCTCAGAATCCCTGCCAGGGAAGAAATGCTAAAGCTCCCATCTTTTAAATATGTAGATCCCTGACATTTGGTTGCTTCATGAATTTTGCATTGCATAATGACAAGTGTTTAATTTTATAAACTGCTCCTGTAATAGATCATTTTCAAGGAGAGGCATAATCTGGAAATGCAGTGTAAAGTACTGTTGCCGAATTAGACAAATGTCTTCCCCGAGCCAGCGATCCTTTCCGTAGTAAATGTTTTCAAGCATTGACGGATTGGAAGCCATGGAAATAGTCTCAACACCCAGCTGGCTGACTGAGTCAGAAATGAGATGGCCCATGGATGCTTCTCTTTTCCAGGCTGCTGTGTACCAACCCCAGAGTATCTTGGGAGTAGAGAAAATAAAAACAATTGACTTGTTTCCTAAGACCCAAATGGACTTGCTCAGCCTGATTTTGAATTCTTTTTCCATTGCCACAAAAATTGAAGGTAGAGGTAGAAAAAGGGAATCGTGATTTCTGGGTTCTAAAAAGGATAGTTTGGTGCTTTATGGTCTATCTCAAGCATATATGCAATACCATGAGGCCAAAGAAAATGTCTCTAGAAAAGCTCGTGGTGATTTGAGGGTATAATGGGAGGAGAAGCCACACCAATGGGCCAAGTTATGGATAATCCATGCTTTGTGCTCCATGTTTCTGTCACTGTTTGGCCTCAGCAAACTCACTGACCCTCTCTGTTCCTTGGTTTCCTTGTACAAAAAATATGCTTAATATGCTTAATAGTGTTCCCTATTTAACAGAATTCTCATTAAGAAAGTTGAGATTAGCCTGGCCAGCATGGTGAAACCCTGTCTCTACTAAAAATACAAAAATTAGCCAGGTATGGTGGCAGACGCCTGTAATCTCAGCTACTTAGGAGGCTGAGGCAGGAAAATTGCTTGAACCCAAGAGGCAGATGTTGCAATGAGCCAAGATCATGCCATTGCGCACCAGCCTGGGCGACAAGAGCGAAACTCTGTCTCAAAAAAAAAAAAAAAAGTTATGAGATTAATCTTCAAAAGTCAGTGGTTGTAAAAACTGTATGGCTGTAAAAAAAATGAGGCTAGTTTCGTAAACTATATACAGATAATTCATTACAAGTATTTCAAGCAAGAGCATACTGATTGTGAGGGCACTGTGTAAGTTCAATAGGAACAATGAAAAGAAATTGGTGTGTCAAGGGTTAAATATGTAAATTCATAAGGAAGATGGGCCCAATATATTTAGTATGGCTAATAAAGAAAAGAGTTGTACCCAAAGAAACTTGCATCCAATGGCAGTTATCCACAGCCATTCCTCAGGGAAATCTATCAGTCAACAAGGCAGCCCCATGTAGAAGACAGAATCATGAACAACAATCAAGATACCTGAGTCTAAATAATTTTTATGCAGTGACATCTCATCTCAGGCATCAGACTAAGCATGCTACAAAGATGATTTCATTTAATCCTTACAACTATCCTATGAGGATGATGGTATTAGTATCCATGCTTTATAATTGAATATATTTTATACAGGTTAGGAAACTTGCCAAAGGTCACACAACTGGGATTCAAACTCCAAAAGTCAAATTCCAGGGTCACACTCCTAAGTATCATACCACACTGTTTCCTGGTAAAATAATTGCTGGTAAGTCACTTACGCTGAGTTCTTACACCTAAGGTTGGGTTGATATAATCTCTAAAGTCTTTTCCATATATAAAATAAAAAGCTTATTTAACATAGCACTAGATTGGGTAAGCCAATCTGTTTCTTTGGCAGAATATATCAACATATCCTTCTTTGACAGAATACATATATATTGATATGATAGAATACATGTCTATGTATATATTGATTTGATAGAATACGTGTGTGTGTGTGTGTGTGTGTGTGTGTGTGTGTGTGTGTGTGTGTGTATTTCCAGCTCTGTTTGTTACTGTGTCCCCACCACTGGTTGAGAGCCCATCTGTGCAGCTCAATGGCTTGCACAGCACTGATAAGAACTCCATAAATGGAACTGGCCAGGGACATTTTGGACTCATGCTTTTTGATGCTTTGCTAATTGCATAAATTCCAAACTCATGCCATCCAGGCGTCACTGACCTTTCCTGCTTCTAAGAATTCTTCTCCGGTTTTGTTGATTCCTGCCCTAGTTTCCATAGCAGCTGCTCCACATATTGTCTCCCACTTTCCAGTACCCAACCCCATTTAAATCCCCTCTCACATCTTACCCCAGCAGTTCATCTTTCTTTCAGCTTTTCTGAGACTGGTGTTCCTAGAACCCTTCTTTTTCACTTGACAGAATTTCTTTAAATGTTCATGATTCCTTTTCTCCCTCCCACACACTTAAAGGGAAGCAGCATCCGTCTTTCTTCCTCCGTCACTCCATCTTATTGAATCTTGTTATATTATTTCTCCTTTCTCTTATGAATTCCATCTCTTGTTCTTTTCCCCTTTTGTCTAGGAACATACTCAAGCCAGGGGGTTATATCAGTACAGGACTTTTAACTAACACTGTTGAAGATATCCTATGTGCCAGATATTGTATTAGATAATATGCACATGATACTGTATTTAGTCTTCACAGTAACCTCAAAAGGTCGATTTTATAATTGGCATTTTGTATGAGAGGAAATTATGCTTAAACACATTAAGTAACTTGGCCGACGTCATGTACGAAATAAATGGGTAGTGCCAGGATTTAAACCAAGTTTCATTCCAACTTGCATGTTCTTTCCACTGTATCTCACTTGTTTCTGAAACTAAATAAATAAACCCTTTCCTGCAACCCTGCTGCGTTAAGCTCTCATTTTGTCTTTCACTGCCAAACTGGAGTTAAATACTGCAAGCATTTATTAAACATTAGTTATGTTCAAGTGACCGTGCTATATACTTTCCCCGGAGGAAAGACAAAGATAAGTAACATCATCCTTAGCTTCCAGAAGCTTACAACCTAATAACCTAATCCGGGTATCAGATATGTAAACAACAATAAAATGAGACAGGAAGAAGTGCTAAATAAAGTTACCAGAATCCTCTGAGGATACAAATAAAGAGAAAATAACTCGAACTAAGGGACGGTCAGAGCAGAGAATTTCATAAAATAGCTTTTGAGTCATTCAAACCACTTTCTATTGACCTGCAATTCAACCTTGGGAATGTGTCTTCTCCCATCTCTTCCTTTGTGTTCTCTCACTCCCAGCCTACACTATCACTGCACCTTCGAAACTGATCTTCCCACCTCCAACTTTTCCCACTTCAGTCCAGCCTACAAAAGATCCTTGCTGCTGAGTTGCCCTCATTATACCCAACTCAGATTCACCACTCCCTGAATAATACTTTGTGTGGCTCCCTGCTGCCTGCTAAGTAGGAATATATTTATTTACTTTATCCTCAATAATCATAGGCCAACCATATGAAGTTGTTATAAAGATCAAACAGATAACATATGGGCCAAAAGTGTGAAAACCACAAATCATTTTAAAGATAACCTAATGATTACTATATTATGTATCCTACACTTGGACCAGTGTCTGTTTCCTGAACCCAGTCATGGCCGTAGCTCACTGCTGTTACTATAATGACCTCGTTCCTCCTTTCTAACTGTAAAATTCTATTCTATATGTCTCTCAAGGCCCAGCCATAAAAGCTACAGTCTTAAGAAAACATTTTCTCACCTCTCAATGAAAATGTCCTCTGGCTTCTCTGGACATCCTCAGAGCTTTACTTCCAACTTTTCCAATGCGTGTGTCACAGCAAGCCAAATATTATAGATGGTTGAGCATATGTTACAGTTTCCTTGGTTAATTGAAAGCTATTTTAAGGCAAGAACCATTCCATTCATCTTCACAAGGTTTGTGTGCCTAGCACAGTGCCTTACCTAAAGTAGGCACTCAAATATCAATTAAATGGAAGATTAAAACAGGAGGTTATGTTACTCTGTACTGAAATAATTTCAACAGGAGCAAAGGGAAGAATTTTTCATCCATCCTTTTCTGGGATTTAAAGCAAGGCATGAGGATGCAGAACATGCACACCCATACCAAATAACACCAGCGTAGTGGCCATAATGGGGAGGAGAAAAACCCAAATTGACTGGCCCCAATCTTGTGTCTGCCCTTCCAATTCTTATTTTTCAGGACCGAAGAGCCACTGGAAAGCCTAAATGGCAATCATTAGATTTGCCATCTTTCTCTCAGAAATTCAGAATTCAGAAATGGGAGCTATTTTGAAAATCAAAATGAGTAGCTGAAAGTCTCAGCTAAAAGCACACATTTTTCTATTACTCTCCTCGGTTCTCTCTCTCCCTCTGTGCTGTTTATCTCAAGTAACTAGGGGAGCTTGTTTAAGTGAAATCTTGTTATAAACAGTTAAGTCGAATGATGCTACTAGAAGAAGGCTGGGCACAGAGAGATCTGTGACCATGGTCAAAGCCAAGAGTCTCCTTAGTATAGTCCAGAGAGATCAGTTCACTTGGCCCCTCCAAGCTGGTGGTGACTCAAAAATCAGGCAGAAAGCCAGAGGATATCTGGGTTCTGACTCATGTAAACAGGAAACAGTGCCAAAGGCCTCCAGCCAGCCCCAGGTGTGCAGACTGCAGACCTGCACTGGCTTCTCATTGACCTGCAGTTGGCACAGCGTTATCTACAGGCTCTGTCATTATTACTGCCATGACTGTGTCATGTTTGGAGAGCAGATGCCTCCTCTCCCCACTGTCACTTGGAATTCACAAGAGGGCTGAAAAGCATGCCTGATCAGCTTAGGCAGCGGAATTCTCTGCTCTAGCCAGACTTTCTAGATTGATATCAGCTTTTATTATCTTATCATCTTTTCTCAGAAAATTCAAAACGTTTCTCATTGTCCCAATCCCAGTTACTCTACTTCCCACATAACCTCTAGCAAATAATTTACATCTCTAAAATGCCCTGTCTTTTACCTTTGCAGAAGCTGATAAGATAGTCAGAGATGGTGTGTAGTCCTTCTCTTTGTCCATATTGTTAACAATAAAGTTAGTTCTCAAAGATGCACAAAACCTCACACCTGGGAACAGAGTCACTGTAAGGAAATACAACTTTTATCTAAGTTCATTTCTGTTTACCTTGGCTACCTCCCATTTTTCACACTCCAGAAAGAAAAGAAAATTCCCAATCAGGTTCTTGCCAGAACCCTAGTACAGGGCAGGAATGAGGACATGGGCAGTGCCAGGGCAAATTTTTGGCTCCATGGTTGCAACTTGGCAGCATCGCCTTCCAAACAAGAAACAATTGCATAAACTTATATGGTTTCAAAAGGTTTAAATGTTTGCCAGGCGTGAAAGGGAGAAAAAAAAAATCATTTCACAGAATTCCAGCTCAGCGGTTCTAAAAATGATGAACCTTCTAGCTTCCAACTATCTGAGACCCCTGCCCTCTAAAATTTCCTGCCACATTTCTTGGGACCTCCTACATTCTCAGGAACCCTGGTGGCAATTGTTTTGCCTAAACCATGTCTAAAGAGTCCTTGGAGACTGTTATAACCACCCAAGTCCTCTCTTCCACTAGGAAGCCACCTCTCACTCTCCCATCTTAAGGGATACCCCCTTAAGATACCAACCTAATGGGGGTATCTAATGCCTGGCTCTGCCTCCTTCCTCCTACCTGAGGATTGCCTTCCATTTGGAAGGCCTGAGCCATAAGCCATGCAGACCAAGCATTTCTGAGCTTCTCGTGGTCTCTTCATTAGAGGATTTATGGAGCTGGATTCACTCCGAATATCCTATTATGTTCCTCAAGAATTTTGGTATCCAACAGGGAAGGGAGAAGATTGGAATTCACCTACTTGGCCCCAGAGCACCTCTTCCTCTTAGACAGCTGGGTAGAAAACATCTTGCCACAATGACTGAAGCCTGAGGTGGCCAAGGATAGGGTTTGTGAATGCCACACAGCCTGGCAGCACTGGCTGAAAGTGCTCTGTCTCGCCTATAAGTGGAGTGATCGAGACACACTTGGAGATCCATGGAATACTTTTTCTTACTATTTACTTGCTTATTTATACCTACTGCTCTGTGTTCTGAAAAGGATATGAGATAGACTCAAAAATAAATACAGTAAATCATGCTAAAATAATAAGAGGCAGTGAGGGTCGAGTATTTAAAAAAGAGTATAAAAACGATAGAAAGCCAGGGGAAAGATTAGCACAGAGAAATACAGGCTATAAAGTTTGCACAGCTCCTAGAGGTGGGCTACAAATGTGGCTGTGAGCTTGTGAGCAGCCAAACAAAGGAAAATATGACATGATTCATAGTGTCTATTATATAAAAATAACACAGTTGCTATCAAGAGACCAGGCCTTTCCTAGTACTGAGATCAGAGAGGAATGTCTCCCCGGGGTCCACATCAAGAGAACATTGTGTGCTGCACCTGAGACAAATAGAGCAAATTTCATGTGACTTTGCTTCCCAACTTCTGTCAGTCTAGAGGATGACACAACAGCAAAGCACAGCTCAATGGTTTTGCACAGCTGTCCAAAATCATTCTTGAGAAGAAAAAGTAGTAAATAAAATTCTTAAAAAATCTCCTGGGAGGGTAAAATAAGATGCTCAAATTATCCAGCTCTCTTGTGGTCTCAACTGATCCTATTGGAAAATGTTTAAATATCTGGAGAAATGAGCAATATGGAAACTCTTCAAGCCATTCTGTTCTTCAAGCCTTCAAGCTACACTATTTCTTTCAGCTGTGAGCATTTGGTAAGAGTTGGGCGACAGAAAGTTTGAGATTATATTTTCAGCAAAAACCTGAGAAGCCAATAGTCGCTCATTAAGAACAGAGCGATAAATTTTGGCTATCAACTAAGCTGAGGTGAGAGTTGGGGGGAGGATCAAGTCACCCTATTTAAAAAAAAAAAAAAAAAAAGAATGAGAAGAGTGTTTTCTATGATATGAGGTAGACCAGCTGGCCATAAGTAGGTAAGCCAAGCAACTGTGGCAACCCAGGACCAAGGTAATTGTGAATTAGATCTCTATATCTTTAAACTTAAGATCTAAAATCCTTGGTTAATCCCAGCTCCAACCAAGCAGATAATACTTTCCATTTTTCATGGATATATTTTAAGAATGACTGTATTTTAATTATAGGCAAGATGATATTTCAGGACATTTAAGGAAAGATATCTATAGCTCTTAACATCTATTCAGGGGAATTTCAAAGTATTTTAGGTTCGTTTAGTATGAAAGTATTGAAGGTGCTATGTAAATGTAGGTTATTATTACAATTTAATGACATTCCCCTCAAGCAAAAATTGCTAAAATTTACAAAGTGCGGAAAGAAGCGCATCTACTTCCTATTTTTCAGGGGTAATTAATTAACAAGCACATAAACAATTTACTTAGCCACAGGAAATTAAAGTAATAATAATAAACATATGGGCCTAGAAATCCAATTACAGAAGGTCTCTTATTTGCCCCAATGCAGGGAAGAAATACAGAACTAATACCCCCAAACCGCCACACCTCCTGCCCCATGCTTTCTTCCTCCACAGGCACAACACACACCAAAGAGAGGAGTGCAGACTCTATTGGGGTTGATACTTCCCTCTAACATAAGACACCCATGAATAAAATCTATGTTGAACTACGAATTCAACCCTACCAGAAATGTGCTCTGTCTGTGAATCTACTGAAACGAAACCGCACATACTGCACACTGGCCATTCTCTGCCATCCCTGCAAATGGTACAAGAGACCAGTAACCCAATGGCACCAGAGGAGGTTAAATTAATCCCCCAGTTTTTTTAATGTAGCAACTTGTATTTGACTTTGGAATGCAGTCGTTTTATAGTTTAGAATTGTTTTATCCTAGATAAAGCATGTAACTGGGAGAGACAAACTAGAATGACAATAAACAGAGCAAAATAGTCCAGTCTTCCATGAACCATTTGCCATAGTTAATCTACATAGTGGGTAATCAACCTTCATAGAAAATGGATAGCTGTCTCGGTTTAAAAGCCCAGGCAAGTTTATACTAAGGTGGGCAATCATATAGGTATGAATGGAAGACAGTTACATACAATTCCATTTGAGTTTGTCTCTAAAATTGTAATGGCTTTCTCCAAGTCCAGTCTCTCAAATGTGCTCCTCGCTGGTAACATTTTTCCCTCTATTTTGAATGTGTCTATAATAACTGGAGCTGGTTTAGTGGTCACCACATTAATCCAAGAATAAGAAATGAAAAAAAAAAGATTCATTTCCTATTCTACAATTTTAAATACAAATTAACAAAAAATAAAAGCCCCTCTAAATCTCCCTTATGGGTTTTCATGGTTCAGAAATACGCAGAGCACTTGGAAGCAATAAAAGAAATAACCTAAGAAAATTAAGCAAAATGAATTTGCAATTAGTTTGTGAAATTGCGATAAATGCATTTTGAAAGCAAAGAGTAAAATGTAACTTTCTTCAGTATAATTTGAAATTGCCTTTTGTGCTTAATATAGTTCACTTATAATTAGATGAAGATTTTGTTCTGGTTTGAAACATTCAAAGTTCCATCTTGAGATTGCTATGTACTATGTACACAGAACTTTTCAACAAGAAAGTCTGCTGCTGCCGCTGCCGCGTTTGCTTTGACAGCCTTTATCCCAGTTTTATAGAAATGAAAGAGTGAAAGAACACAGCTGGTTTGAACAATGGAGCATGTTCAACATTAGGCCAAACATTTAGATATTGCAAAATATTGCAGGCTATATTTATAGCTCTTAGCAGGTTTTTGAAATTCATGCTGATACTGCCTTACTCCTGCTTATTGGACCAAATTGCCATTTGATGATTAAATTATCTTTTGGTGTTTTTTTTTTTTTTAGTTTCTTTCAAAGGTAATGGCACTTAGACTAACCTCTTGGCACTATCAAAACTGTGATAACTTGAAACCCTTTCTAAAGTATTTCAAGATGTTTTAAAAATTCAAGATCCTTCCAGTTACTGAGACAGTTTAAAAGACTTTATGTTGATCTGCCTTATTTTTTCCCCGAAGAAAAGCAATATCCTGCCTCTGATGACCTCTCTCCCTGTCATAAGATTGCACACTGACTCATATGCCAGCACCTCCCAGAAAGCCAGCCAAGGGAACCCAGGGAACAGGTCTTCTGGTAATTGCCTATGTTCTGTTTAAACTTTCTCCTTCCGTGGCAGTTGTTTTCAATAGAATTCTCTTGTTTTTTAATAGAATTTTGTGACTTTGGGGAGTGCTTAGCAGATGCTCATGTTCTTTCACATTAATAACATAAGGAACAATAAAGAGAAGTGGGCAGTGGTTACAAGTTTAGCAACTATAAGCTGAGCCAGGCAAAGTTTTGCAGGACAATGGGATTTTTTCTCAAATGTCTGCATCCTTCAAGGGCTTGCTCCAATACTAGCCTATCCTTCCTGCCCACAGTGAATGGACCCTAGATTCCCACTGCATGTTTGTCTAACCCATTGTCATTTATCATCATTGCCATTAGTGAGTTCTTTGAGTATGCATGCTTTGCCTCCTGACCAAATAATAACTATGATGAGAATGGCCATTTAATGCATATTATTATGTGCCAAGGGATATATTATGTATTTTATATACATTTTCTAGAAGAGTGGTTAAAAACAAAAGCTTTGGTCTCTGTTCAGTTATGTATTGATGCAAAACAAACTACCCCAAAACTCAGTGGCCTGGTGTCTCTCACAATTTTGAGTATTGGGTGGGTGGTTCTCCTGGTCTTATTGGGGATCACTCAGTTGGCCTCAGTCATCTGACATTTGACTGGGGCTGCAGGGTCCAAAATAGTCTCATTCACACATATAGAAATGGGTGCTTGCTGTCAGGGGAAGATTTTCTGATTCAAAGCCTATGTTCTTTCTACCATACTATGTAGAATTCTGCTATCAGAGGAGAGTTTTCTCATGGCTACATCCTATCAACCTTGGACAGTGGCTGCCATAAGCTGCCCAAGAGATATTTGTCAAGTGAAGGGTTGAGGGAAACTAACAAACTGCTCTTGTGAGTAAAATATTACATAATATTTTCAAACTGATACCAAAATATTCGTGCCGATTCTCCCTTGAATAATAGGGCTTGGTAAAGCTAGGCCTCTTACCTTAGAGGAGCAGTCCATTCTTTCAGAACCACAGCAGAAAGGGTTCCCAGGACCCAGAGGCTTCCACGGACAGCACTCTGTGCCTCTCAGATTTGCCTACATATGAGAATCACCTGGGAGCATTTAAAAAGCTCTTGCTTATTTCTTCTTAAATAAGAATCTCAGAGAACAGGGTCAAGACTCCTAGACCTGTCAGCTTCCTTCAGGAGCCTCCAAGGCTGACCTGCCGTGTCAGTTGGATTAACACACCCTACAGAGACAGAGACTCAAGTTTGCAGTTTAAGTATCCACCCAAAGCATGAAACAAGTTGTGGTCTTACTATGCAAACCACAGAGAGCTGATCCACTGAATTGACTTGGGAATCATATCAGCAAGTCAAAGAGAAATTGGGTACCGCCATACACTAGGGGACAGGGGCAAGTGTCATAGATGAGCCATCAGCAGTGCTCTGACAGGAGCAGTCGCCAACCTCAGAAACAGAAGAGAACCATCCAGCTGTCTGCTTCCCCTAAAATACAGGTGGTCCTTGGCTTATGATGAGGTTGTCTGGACATAGCCCCATAGTGAGTCAAGGAGCGTACTGAATGTGTATTGCTTTTGTACCACCATGAAGTCGAAAAATCATTAAGTCTAACTGTCATAAGTCAGGGACCATCTGTACTTAAGTCTTAAACAAGAGGGACAATTGCCCAGCATCCTGAGCTCAGACAGTGGGTAGGAAAGTTTTACCAAACACACTGCTGACTTTCTTGAGCCTTTCAAAGATATGAAATGGTGCTTTGTAACAGTAAGTTGAAAGCTGACATGATGTTATTTCTTTGAAGACTTTGTGAATAGCTATGTTCTCTGCCTTTTTATTTCCCTACTACCTAATACATAGAAAGTTCTTACTACTATTTTTTCTGCTGTGTTGAGAGACTCTTGTTTTCCACCATCACATTTTGACTTTCTTCCTCTGTGATCCTTAACTTACTCCACCTACAGTATAGTCATTTGAACACTCGTCTAACTCCCAACCTACCCCTACTCTTTCCATTCTCAAATAAAGCACCTTGAGGGCAGGGCCTATGTCTTTTTCATCTCAGAATCCTCCAAACTAACTGGCAAGGTGACTGGTACAATAAATTTAGTATTTGTTGAACTGAAGCCTTCTGAAAGTGTCCTTAAAAGCAACTCTGTGGGAATAAACATCGGAGTATAAGTAGAGATCTGATAGCGGAAGGTGAATAAAGTTTAAATTTCTCAGATGTGCATACCAGGCTCTTGGGCATAATGAGGTTTTTGTTATCAGTGTGAGACAAGCAGCTAAAATGAGAACTTATTTCTTTAAAACTTGGTTGTTTATTGCTTCTTATTGTTCATTTGGGTAAATTTTGTTTCTCCTCTTGGTTGGCAAGCTCCTTTAATATGACCTATGCATCAAATTGATACTATGATAATATTATATATCATATTGCTAGAATATGATATTACTCATGATACATGATATTATATTTGATGCATAGGACATATTAAACAATGTTTGATTAAAGAAGGGAATGTAGGTGACCAAAAAATCTAGGAAATATTGTTTTTTAATACATAAATTACAATAAGAGATCAGTTGATACTGTAGCACAGGGTTCTGGACTATAGTCTGCAAAGGTTGAAAAGAAGAAGACTGAAAAGATGTATACTTATGGTTGTTCTGCTCTACAGTTTATTCAAAAAATTGATAGTGGTTTAAAAAACCTAGTTTATTCCACATTTATTCATTCCAAAAGTAAGGTCTTTAAACATTATCAGGGTTTACTCATCAGTGTTGATGCTGTTGTTCACATAAGAGCATCATTACGTCATTTACTCACTGACTGAGGGAATAACTTGGTTGAATTATTTTCCCTGTTTGATTTAAGTGAGGAAACTGCGCACACCATTTCTGTTTATTTTACGCACAAAGCCTAATAATATAGTTATTCTACAAAACATGAAATATTTTCAAGAATGTGTTTAAGATAAAAAAAAAGATCCTTATATGATAATCCATACTAAAACAGAGGTCAACACTGTCTTCTTCCTCCACAGCTCAAAATAAAGGAAAGATTCACTTTTATACAAACGTGACTTTACAAATGCTGCTCCCTTCGTTTCAGTTGTTTCTCAACCATTCTTTGCCACCTTTTCTGTGAAATATTATCTGACTTTTACTTTCTACTCAAAAATAGCCCACTGTTTCCTCCATGGTCCCATAACATGTTTTACGTACTTTTATTATAGAACTTCATTAATGAACTTATCCATTCATTCAACAACTATAGTGTGGCTTACCATTTTTCAGCCATCATGTGTGGCATCAGGAATATGGTGAGAATCATGATGTCAGCTCATCCAATGATGGTGTGATTGTTTTTCTCTGTCTCTCCCATGCCATACACACCTTAAGTATGAAGAGGTAATCTGTTCAATCAACTGAATGAGCCAAGGGCAGAAGATAAAGCCCACAGCCTCGTCTAGGACGCCTCCACCTTCTCTTGTTGGAATCCTTTTTCTCCTTCTGCTCTAAAGTTAACATTTCTGCTCCTTCCTCTACTCCTCTCCTGTGACCATTCCTGATACAATCTCACTCATCATGCATAAAATAAAGCCCATTATTTTCTCTATTCAAACATTCACCATCTCCCCAGTTTCTCAAGACAAACCTGAAGTTCATCTTCAACTTCCATCTTTCCCTAGCCTCCTTACTAAACTACTATTGTGTTCACCCTCCTCTCTAGATTTCCACTGGCCCTACTTTAGTTTTCTTTTCATCTGCCTGCACTATGTCCATACATCTTCATTGATCGTGCTGATTGTGATCTATCCCCACACCCATTCATTTTCTACTTCATGCCAGAGTTTTCTCTCTAAAATACGAATCACATAATTTATTTCTTACCACCCCTCTCCTCATTAAAAGTTACTGATGGCTTTTCATCACCTTCATAATCCAGTATGAAGAGATCCAGGCCACTCTCTTAGAGCACATAAGACTCTTCACGAGTTGGCCTCCCTTTTTGCCAAACTCTCTAAACTCACATTTTTCTCACTCCCTCTGCTCAAAAACATACACTAAGGTAGCTAGGGTTGCCTTTAGGATAATATGATTGTGAAAGTCCAAGTCCTCTCACATGTCATATGCCACGCTACTTAGGGAACTAAATAAAGGATGAGAACTTTGTCAAGCTCTGTCCAAGGGAAAGTGATTCTCTTCTTATGGACATGGATATTTCAATCACTATAACAGAATAAGAAAAACAATGAACATCATGAATTAAGTTGGGGCATCTTTTGAAAACTTTCTTTCCTTTCAGGACACTCAGCTCTTGTGCAGACTGTTTCTGTGATTTCTAGGACAATCATGGAATTTTAAAACTAGAGGATATACTAATATAATCTAATCCAATCTCTTCATTTCACAGGTGAGAAAACTCAAGCCCCAAACACTAAGAGATTTTTCCAAGCTCACACAACAAGTAAATATCCTTTTCCTTCCTCAGCCTCAACAAAAATAAAAGGAAATGGATTTTATAGTATTAAACAATAGGTTTGTTTATGCATTTTTCTGAGTAAACTCATTCATATGCCAAGGCCTCAGTTCTAATGTTGTTTTACCGCTAAAACCCACTTTTAATTTTGCATTTTCAATTAGACACAATGTGAAATGCCTCTTTATGAATTCTTGACTCACTTTTACCTGTCGCTGTGGGTGTATTAAAGTATATAAAGTTATAAAAAGATACGAAATATGAATATAATCTAGTTTAATTATTTCCATCCGCCAATGACTATGATTGCAGTTGGATGTCAGTGAAATCTCCAGTGGCTGAACTTCACGATGAGAAAAACAGTGAATATAGAAAAGATAACTGAGTAAGAACTACCAAAAAAGAACATTTATTTCACCAAAAAGAACATGGATCTATGATGGAAAAACTGCAGCATCATATAGCATCAGTGAATCAAAGATGATCTCAATATTTGGCAAAGTTAAACCAAGCTAAGTTCAATCAATATATAGATTATTAAGCTATTTTTTAAATGAAAAAGCACTTAAGACATTTTTATTTGTTAACCTTAATTGTACTTCCTGTCTGCTCTTTTCCCATTAGCCAGGGCCTAAATCTCTTGACAAATGAATCACAACTGCACTTGATTCATTCAGCAGCCACAAACTGGCTGCTGAGACACAATTCTTTGAACAGGGTGGTATTAGCAGCCCCCTCTGACTTTCAGGATGATTAATCTGCATCCATATTATAATTTGCATCTGAGTTCTAAACATCCATGTTTGCATTCATCATTCTTATCTTGCTGATGCATTTTGATCCTTGGCTCCTTCATGATAGGCAGCTGAAAGCCAAGACTTTCCAAATGTCTAAAGGAGCCCATACTGTGGGCAATACCTTCTGCATCTCTCAGATGTTAGGCGGGAGTTGGTTTGACCTGGAAAGGAAAAAGAAGCTTTTGTCTATTTCTCCTCGCCAAACGATTCTCTTTGCCAAACATTTCTTAGCCATCAACCTCAATGTTAAAAGGCTCTTTTCTAGTTTTTACTTCCTGTGGTATTTCCACTTTCTGTGCTACATGCCTGCTCTTTCTTCTCTTTCATTTGCATCTTTTGGCCCTGAGAACTCCTCTGTGCATGCACACACACTTATCACTATCCCCACTCCCATGCCCAAAGCACGGACCTGGAGAGATGGCTTTATATGCCATCTCATATAAGCCTAATATGCTAACACAAATCTCTACTCATAGCACTGTTCCCATGCCCCGACCAAGGAAGAAACTTGGCATGTAGATGTGTCTATATTCAAAATACAGAGTTGAGGAAGAGAGGAGTGCACAGCTATTAGGTGATCTCCAAACTTTGGAGAGGCATCTATAAGGACATATTACTACTGATTCAAGGAGGCAACTGATTGGAGTAAATGATGGAGTTTATCCTTAGATATTAAAATGACTTGACACTCATGCATACTCACAATCAACCTACCACTTCCTCTGTTATCACCAAGGCAAAATGGTAGTGTATATTTTCATACCTTCCTAACATGTCCCTCCTCTTAAATTGCTTATCGACTGCCTACTTTTGACTTCATTTTCCCTTCAAGACATCCTCCTTCTTGTTTAATTTTGTCATTTTGTCATTTCATGTGTATTTAAAAGGTCAAAGCATTGGCAAGATGTAGTATAATTTTCCTGGATCATGTACATTTTATGGATGATCTTGACAGGTAGAAACATCTGAACTGTCCCTCCATCTTTCTTCTTTCATCAACTGCACAGCTCCTCTAGGTTTGAGCTGAATGAAAGACAAACAGGGTCTACATTCTGTCCCTGTGGCCTCAAGCCATTAAGAGGTATCAGGAAAGGGAAGACTTAAGATAAAGAGGCCTAACTCCACCAAGGTCTCAATTACCCTGAGTGATTTCAGTATTCTAGACCGCTGGGCTGTTTTTCTAAATTCACTTTTTACTGTAAAGAATTTGAGAAGTCAAAGCAATGGTGGTGTGGGACAAGAACCTATGATTTCCTCCATTTTCTAATAGGAACTCCTCAGGCTTACATTGACCACACCATACAAGAATATTTAGCTTTATTAAATATATATTCCATATTTTTAATAAAGAAGAAAGATAAACATGCTTCTAATTTCTCATGTCTGAAATTGAGAAAAGAAAATTTGCCTCATAGGGTTATTGTGATGGTTAAAATAAGATAATATATTTAAAGTGCTAAGACATAGCACTCAGTGTGGCATGTGAAAGTACTCATTAAGTGTCATGTATTATTATTGGATCAGGGATCTTGATAGTTTTTGTTGTCTATACATACCATAAATAATGGATTTCCATGGTTTATGCCTAACACTCAAAATGGACACACGGATGACTTTTCATTAGATATCAAAATAGCTAGGTGGCTGACCTAATTTTTCATTTTTCAATGAGTTGATGTAGCATTATGTAGATGCAGCCTAACTGGACACTTTATTCCAAAATAGCTGAATGATGAGTCCACACACTTGACCTGCTTTCAGCCTCCCTATTGAGAGTGACAGCAGAAAGTTTAGAGTTGAGTTCATCTGGCATTTAGGCACTCATGAACATTAAAAACTGCAGCCTAGTCACACCATCACTCCTCAGCTCATAAGTGAGTCTGTGGGATTATTAGCTCTGTTCCCAGTGAGATAGATACAAAAGTTGCTTGGAAATTAAAGGGCTGCAAATTTCCTCTCATTCAAGTAAGGTTCAGATCCACTATATGGGACAACAGTGAAACTTTAGGGTTACTTTCTAAGGGGAATTTATTTTACAATACAAGTTCTATGAAGCAAATCTATTCATTTTAATTAATAAAAATGTTAACGACTGGCATAACACAAACTCTCAATGAAACCAAAAAACTTCGGACAACACATAGGTCTGCCTCTTATAATTACTACCTGTATGACCTTAACAAACAAAGCACTTCCCCTTTTCCTCTTCCTTTCCTCCTTCCTTCCTCCCTTCCTTCCTTTCTCTCTCTTTCTCTGTCTCTCTCTCTCTCTCTCTCTCTCTCGTTAACATGTGCACACACACTAGATCTGGGTGGCAAATAACCTTCATCTTGCTTACCAATTCTGATCAATTGGGAGTGTCTTCCTGGTGTGTTAAATTAGAAAGGATTGCAAGGTTGAATAAGGGCTCATCAGGAAAGAGTTCTGTGATTCATTAGTGATGTCTGACATGGAGGGGAAATTAGAGTTACTTTAAAGTCTATTTGCTAGACTTATCCAGGATTAGATAATCTCTGTATTAAGCCACTCTTGCATTGCTATAAAGAAGTGCCTGAGATTGGGCAATTTATAATAAAAGAATTTTAATTAGCTCACAGTTGTGCAGGCTGTACAGGAAGCATAGTGCTGGCATCTGCTTCTGGGAAGGCCTCACGGAGGTTTTACTCATGGTGGAAGGTAAAGTAGGAGTAGGCACATCACATGGTGAAAGTAGAAGCAAGAAACAGAGGGGGTTTGGCTTGGGAGAAGGTGCCATACACTTTTAAATGACCAGGCCTTACCAGAACTCACTACCATAAAGACAGCACCAAGCCATGAGGGATCTGCCCCCATGATCCAAACGCCTCCCACCAGGCCCCACCTCCAGCATTGGGGATTACAATTCAACATGAGATTTGGGTGGGGACAAATATCCAAACTATATCTATCTCTAAATCTCTTCTGACTAAAAATATCAATCAGTCATTCTCATAAAGAGCCACTAAAACAGCGAAGCCCTGGCTCACACCATTCTTACCGAATCACTTTAAATTTATTTTATATACAAATGCCATCAGAGGAACTTCCA
The DNA here is from genome assembly GCF_000001405.40 of Homo sapiens. Classification (NCBI taxonomy): domain Eukaryota; kingdom Metazoa; phylum Chordata; class Mammalia; order Primates; family Hominidae; genus Homo; species Homo sapiens. The sequence continues at coordinate 30,236,462 of NC_000014.9, forward strand.
GGTAGTCTTTACAAAATTCCTCCTGGGGGTGTCTAAAGTAGAAGGATGGTATGTTGAAATTTGGACTTTTTCCCTAAGCTAGGGTGGGAAAAGTTACTGAAAAGTTTTCTTGATGATTCTTATAAGGATAATTCACCTTTGAACCACAAGATTTAGCTTCCCCTCCCATCTTCAGAAATGATGACGGACAGGATTGAAACCTCTCTTCGGAAATCTGACATCTAGCTTTATTGTCAAAGAGGGGGATGTCAGGGAACCTTCTGTGTTTCAAGGGTTGAGACGAAAACCTTGTCCAACTCCCTAGGACAGATCCATGTAACAGAGAGATCGGTGTTTCGGCTTAGCAGGAGGGGCTGACCAGATTATCTCTGACGCATATGCCTGGGGTGTTGGATGCCTTGAGGGACATCTGTGACTCTGGGATATTCGAAAATGATCCTGGGCATCCTTAGTTAGGGTGAGCCATCCATCCTCCCTCCAAGATGCCCATTGTCCATGTGAGGACCATGGGGGCTGATGAAGGGACTTGGCCAGGAAGGATCATCATGACTGCAGTCTATGTGGGGCTTGTTAACAACCACACTGTGTAGTAGCCAGAATTAGAGGCAGAATTGCAGTAGCCGAAGCCCAGGTTTATCCTGATTGGACAGGGAATTCAGACCTATATCTCTATTAGGCTGTGTAAATTCCCAGGAGTGGACACAAAAGGAAAATGCAGGTTATGGAAGAAAAATAAGATATATGGCCATTTTTGTCCTCAGAATTTTTGGAGTAATTTCGAGTTACACCAGTACCAAAACTTAGAGATAGATCCGGGCATATATGACAGTACTGTTTAAATAACTACTGTAGAATTAGCCCCAAAATGACTCTACATTTCAGTTACAGCTGGATGATACCCTATCTCTAGGTCCCTGTTTCTGTCACTGTAGGTGAAGGCCTCATTCAATCAGTTCTTCAAGTCAGGAACGCTGGTGTCACCAATCAAGCTCCTTTCCCAAAGGTAATTAACCTCATTTATTCCATCACCAAATCTCCTCCCTACCATCTGTAAATTATGTCTTAGATCTCTCTGTAGCAATCAAACTCTTATTCAGCAAATGCTCAAGTACTGGGTTCAAAACTCTTGTAAGGAAATGCAAAGGAAGGTGTCTGGCCTTCCTTTGCATTTGGTTAGTTTTTATCAATGCTAACAATGGTTAGTTTTTATTAGTTGAGAAAGGTCTAAAAGAAGACACTAAGTCTGAAAAGTAAAACTGAAAGCCAGAAGGGACAGGACTTCATGTGAGACAGTGGGCTATGTAGAGGTTCATAACTGAAAAGTGGAGGAACTGTACAGAAGATGACAACCATGCTCTGCACAGGGGAAAGATTACTGACAACCAGAAGGCAGTAAACCCAGTGAAAAGAGCTATACTTTTGTCAGAGGCATTTGAACCAGAGCAACTCCATCTTAAGTAGGGGCTAGGTAAAATGAGGCTGAGACATACTGGCTTGCATTCCCAGATGGTTAAGGCATTCTAAGTCACAAGATGAGATGGGAAGTCAGCACAAGATGCAGGTCATAAAGAGCTTGCTGATAAAACAGGTTGCTGTAAAGAAAATGGCTGAAACCCACCAAAACCAACATGGTGACAAGAGTGACCTCTGGTTGTCCTCACTGCTATACTCCCACCAGCGCCATGGCAGTTTACAAATGCCATGGCAACTTCAGGAAGTTACCTTATATGGTCTAAAAAGGGGAGGCATGAATAACCCACCCGTTATTTAGCATACCATCAAGAAATAACCATAAAAATGGGCAACCAGCAACCCCAAGGGAGCTGATGAAGGGACTTGGCCAGGAAGGCCAAGTCTATGGAATAGCCATTCCTTTACTTTCCTAATAAACTTGTTTTCACTTTATGAACTTGCCCTGAATTCTTTCTTGCACAAGATCCAAGAACCCTCTCTTGGGGTCTGGATCGAGACCCCTTTCCTGTAACACTTTCATTTAATTGTGGATTAGGAGTTCCTGGACCCGCTTGTCAGGGTAGTAATTTTGTCTGAACAGTTTTAAGAGAAATTGCTTAGCAGCATTTCAATTTCAATTCAACATTTACTTAGTCTCCATGCTTCATGCACATCCTTGAAGATGTTAATGGAAAAAAAAGAGGATGCCAAGAAAGAAATTGGATAATTTAAAACAAAAATATTGATTTCAACCTGCATTATTAACAAGAATTTTAGTATGGTGACATCAACCTCTCTCCTATCTTAGTGTCTACTCTACGAAAACCATCATCTCCTTCTTACCTAGAGCTTGCATTTAAAGCATTGTTACAGTAGGTAACAGGGCAGGAGAGGGCCCCCTCTCCTCACCAGGAATGTCAGGTGTCCATCAGGTATTGGTCAGGTAGTTGTTACACTATCTCTCTAAAATAATAATCGGTCACAGACGGCACCAGAGAGAGGCAGTCTCCCAATATATAAAAACACCTGAAACTGGTGATCGGCAGCTTCCAGATAAGATCTCAGGAGCTGGATGAGTGGGCTCAAGCATGTCCACTAAGAGGCAACATGACAGGGTTTAACTGGTAAGGGAAAAAAGCCTCAAGTGAGCATGTGCCCAACTCCAGTAAACACACTGTGCATGCTCCCCTCCCAAGTGCCAGCAGGCCACTGTGCATGAAGACAGCCCACCCCCAGGGAAGAATCAGGAACACAACCCCAGAAGGATGCCAACATATAAGAGCCCAAGTCAAAAGTCAAACTGTGCACTTGAGTCTCTCAAGTTGCCCGCTTGGCCCTCTTCCACGTGAACTTTACTTCCTTCCGTTCCTGCTCTAAAGCTTTTTCATAAACTTTCACTCCTGCTCTAAAACTTGCCTCAGTCTCTCACTGGGCCTTATGCCTCTCTGTTGAATTCTTTCTTCTGAGGAGGCAAGAACTGAGGTTGTTGTAGACCCCTATAGATTCGCTGCTGGAAAATATATCAGTCTCTCTCTTTCTCTCTCTCCCTCTGGACCCCCATTCTTCCCTTCCTCCTCCACCCCTCTGCTAAAATCCTTGAATTATCATAATCTTCACTAACAATGAGAAGTGTTTTCAGCAAATCCAGCCTCCCCTCCTTCCTCCTTTCCCCCTATTGTTGATGCCTCCACCTGCCCTTACTCTATCCCCTCCTCCTTATATTTTTACTCCTTCTATCAAAACTACAGGATAAGTCTGGCCAGCTCTTTCTTCAAAGTTTTACTTAATTCATAAGGCTTAATATGCTGATTTTCCTGAGGGTACTTGCATTCTTACAGGTGATGAAATCTTAAGCAAAAGGAATAAAGTTGTAATTGTAACTTTTCAATCACTGGAAAATTGATGGGGAAGCCCTTGGGATCTCAGGGGAGTCTTCCCAAAGCCCCTAAAAATCAGCTCGATCTTCAGTTTCAGTATTCAGGGCACTTCCTAGTTTTCTAATAGATGCCTGCTGGAATTTCTTGGCCCTGACTTAGATCCTAGCCATGACTTTTTTCTGGGTGGTGTTCTCTCATCAGAACCAGAGCTGCTGGTCCCCAGGACTCTGCAGTGGTAGCAGTATTTCCACTGGAATACATACATACATACACACACACACATACACACAGAGAGAGAGAGAGAGAGAGGCGTACAACGCTTTAATGTCTAGAAGACTTGGGAAAGAAGGAGTTAAAAGCCCTAAGTGCCCATTACAGCTCAGCTAATGGGTCTTAATAGAAACCTGAGCAGGAGACCAACCACCTGCATTCAGACTGACCACTTTTCTGTGGAATCCTGGGTGGTCTGCCTAAGCAGGTTCCCCCCTTCCCTGGGGGCCTGTGGCACAGAGAAGAATCCAGTTCTATATTGAACAGAAGAATGATTAATAGTGCTTCCTGCCCTCAGGGGGAGGCGGGGTGGGCAGCAGCGTGCTGGAAGAAAAACAAACAGCTGGATATTAGACTGCAATGTGGATAAAAAACACTTATATTTTAGATTATCATTTTGGTGATTGAGAAACAAAATCGAAGGCTTCTCTTGACTAGCAAGGCAACAAGTAAGTTGCTGTGCCATTTTTATTATATTTTTGTGATTTTGTTCACTTAACAGACTTTTAAAAAACTCAGTATCATTGTCTTCTCTATTTTCTGAAAATGTAGAGTAACTATTTCATAGCACACTTACACTTTGAAGGGAAAAGAGAATTCCATGTGTGGGCCTTTGAACTGCATGCATATTTTATTTATGTGCAGAATATATATACATGTATGCAGATATACAACATATAGATTAGGAAACACTAATGAATTCTTACTCTCAAGTGAATCTGCACAGCCCTGTTTCTCAACGTAGGGGTTTGGAATGGTTTGAAATGTAACAACAGTGTCAGCTCTGTGGGAGGGACTGAGGGGGTGGAGAGAGATGGAGGCCTTGGTGAGTGAGACGCAAAGTCATTTAGTTCCTCCTCTGGTACCCTCCCATGAGTCAAGGTTGCTTGTGACATTACAGTTGGCAGTTTAAATAACCGTAAAATAAAACAGATGAGAAACAAAGTTGACATTCCAGAAGAAAAATTATACTGGAAATCAAATTTAAGCATACAGAGAACTCTCAATATATACAGAGAGTACATAGGTATGTGTGAGTGTGCTGATCATCTCTGCATATTAGTACCCACACATGCACACAGTAAACATGCCGAGGAGCCAGTTTATTCTTAAAAGAGTACATACTTGGGAGACAATTCCTGGATTCAAACCTGGTTCTGCTGCTGCTACCTGCCTAGTGAAGTAATTAGGCAATCCATGTCAACTCTAAATCTCTACTTATTCACACATCAATAAAATGAAGGAGTTAGATACCCTCATGGTCCCTTACAACTTTAACATACTAAACATTTGTGTACAGGAGGTCATTATTAAACAGTCTGGAGAAACTTTCCCCCTTTTACCTGACCCCTAACCCCATCTGTGTATGCTCAGCTGCAGATGAACATGGTGGACACTGGTGGACACTGGGGCTCTTGGAGGCTGCACAGCTGTGTCCAGAAGAGACTGGAATGTGGTGAGTAAAAAGGAGCCACCCACAAGGAGAGCAGAAGCCCTGTGACCACTACAACAAAGTACAAGCCTCGTCCTTTGGGAGAGTCCTCTTGGGGCGCATGGTGGGTTGGGGAGAAGGACCTTTCTCCTTGCATGACTCAAAAATGGTGGTGAAAAGCATAGCCCTTAAAGTCTTACAGGTTCATGTTTAGGTCCCAGCAATACCAGTCACTAGCTATGTATCTTTGGGCCAATTAGTATATTATGCTAATCTCAGTTTTCCTACCTGAAAAATGAAGATCATAATGCCCATCTCAACAATCTGTCTTAAGGCTTAAATAATATTTTTAAATGGTGCCCAGCACACAGCAAGTATTCAAAAAGATGGTGTGTGTATGTGTTTAACTTTCACATCTGTATACATATTTTACATATTATATGATTAACTCTCTGATAAGATTGATTTATGGATATTTATGGAAAAAAACTATTGTTATTTGGCAGTGGGAAAATAGAAATTAACTATTCATGAAGGACAGGGGTTTCATTTTCCAGAAAAAAAGAGGATTTGGAAATCAGAAAAAAAATTTATGATGAAAAGAAATGAATAGGGAAGTGGACACTGTATTTTAGATACATGGTCAACCACTGAGAGTTGCTCCATGGAACCTCCTTATTTATGTCATGTTGACTGCTAACAACATGGAGGGGGCTTGGAGATGCCCCCTTCACCCATGATCCCAATGATCAAGTCTCAGAGATGAAACACTCCATTTATGCATTCGTGCATTTGCTAAATACTTCCTTATGATTTCCTCAGAATGAAAGCTCCAGGAGAGCAGGGGTCATGCCTATCTAATCCAGTGCTAGGTCCCAAAAGCCTAGAACAATGACCAGCATGTGGTAGGTGCTCAAAACTACCATACTGTAGACTTCTTATGTACTTGTTCTGTTAATTATCTCCTGTTTGTCTCTTCCTGCTAAGACGTAAGCACCACAGGCAGTGAACATTGTTTTGTTTACTGCTGAGCCCGATGTGCCTAGAACAGTGCCTAGCACATTATGGGTACTCCATAAATATTTTTAGAATGGTGACTGAAAGAGGTAGGGAGGACAATTTAGAAATATTAAAGTCTCCATAATCCAGGCTGCTTAAGGAGCTTCTTAACCTTTAGTTTCAAAGGGAGGTTTCAAGGAAAATGGCTTCCACTGCTCCTTAAACACAGAGCATTCAGCTAAATAACCAGACCTTTCAGGAGTTTCTGAGAAGATGAAGACAAGGGAAAAAATTCAGTTCTATATCCAAGGTTGCAGAGGCTGTTCCACATGCATCCAAACTCACGCTCTCCTACACTGGTTTGTCAAATTCTTTATTTAAATATCTCATTATCTAAGACAATTTTGTACTTACTGTCATGAAGGCTTATGAAACCTGAAAACCTGTCTTGCTGGAATAGGTACAATTTAAGCCAGTGATTGTTCAAGAGAGAAAGGAAAGGTGAAGAATGGCACCATTGTGAAGATTAGAGCAGGAAGGTAGACAGCCCTGGGAGCTAACCTCTGTTCTCCCGGGTGTTTGTTTAGGCTCCTCAGACAATGCATGTAGCCTAAAGAAAGAGGGGGGAGAATTGTAAGTCTTCATGTATAATTTTTGTTGTTATATCTAAACTGATAGTTGAGGGCTAGGAGCTGAAACAATATTTTATAGAAGTATCATGTTGAAGTTTTTGCAGGTTTCAAAATATTTAAATATGTAAATTTCAGTGGAGAGATGTTCAGATTTTTTGATAGTCTAATGATTTTAAGCATCTCATTTCTAGTCACACACTGACAAAAGATGTTCAGATTGCAGTGTGAGATGGTTTCTATGGTTACAGTTGTTTCCTAGCATTTTAGTGACATCTTTTGTGAGCATTGGCTGCTTCACTTATTTGTCACTAATGTATGTGTAGAACTATAGTTAATAGCCTTGGGCGGACAAAATTTTTTTTTCTGAATGGCTGTATTGTTTTTTAGCAGCATTTTTCAATAAGGTGACAATGCATTAGAATACTAATAGTATGTATGGTATTTTAAGATGTCAAGTTTTCAATAAAATGATAATGAAAATTTTGCATTTCATTTAATAGTTAAATATTCATGAATTTTCACAGCATGATGAACTGAGTGAAAAATAAAGAAACTGTATAATGTATAATACTAAACATCATAAATTAAGTTTCTTTTCATAGAAGCTATTCAAGAGTGTTTAATATATGGTTCTTCGTGGATTTAGACCAATCTGAGCTAAATTAAAAGCATCTAAAAAGGAAACTTGTTTAAACCAATTTAACATATTTTAACACAGCATGTTTATAATGTAACAATATAAAAGAAAATGACACATTACAAACAATATACATATATTATATAAAAATTATGATGACTAAGTAGGAGATGTAGTCGCCAGGCAAGAGTATTTTGAAGAAAATAATTGTGAAATAGGAGAGGGAGGGATGCATGGGAGAGAGCCAGGTGACATAACCATGAGTAATAGGATGAAAATAAGCAGTAAAAATTGAGAATCTAAGTTTTGACCAATGGTGATCTGTTCCAGGTATTGGGCTAATTTCTAGAGAACCTAGGGGTGAACACCATCTCTTCCTTCTGGCCCTGGACTGATCCAGTCCTAAAGCAAATGTTTAGAGTAAGAATAAAATTCTTCTCCAATATTAGCGATTAAAAGACTTTTCTTCCAAATTCAAAGTGTGACTCAGTTCTTTATAATAAATCATATCTATATATTCTATTAGTTTTGATTCTCTATAAAGGAGAGATATTATTATATGTGGGATTCTGTTTCATTAATCACATATCTGCTTATATATATCCAAGATATGTGCTTCTTTTTTTTGTTGCTTTGTTTTGTTTTGTTTTGTTTTGAGACTGAGTCTCGCTCTGTCACCCAGGCTGGAGTACAGTGGCGCAATCTTGGCTCACTGCAGCTTCCACCTCCTGGGTTCAAGTGATTCTTGTGTCTCAGCCTCCCAAGCAGCTAGGATTATAGGCACGTGCCACCAGGCCCAGCTAATTTTTTTTTTTTTTTTTTTTTTTTTAGTAAAGATGGGGTTTCACCATGTTGGCCAGGCTGATCTCAAACTCCTGACCTCCAGTGATCCACCCCCTTTGGCCTCCCAAAGTGCGGGATTTATAGGCATGAGCCACTGCACCTGGTGGATATGTGCTTGTTTCTATTTAAGATATGCAGAGAAGAATAAAAACAGAGAATTATAAGTAAAGCAAATAGTTTTAGAAAAAATAAGGATTGTGCCAAAATGAGGAAGAATTGTCTAGCACAGGTAATCAAATATCTTAAGTAGAAAGAAGATTTAACAATGTTTCCTAATGATAAATTAGCCAAGTGTCCTAAAAACAAAAATTCAATGTGTACTTTATTTCATATATAGTGGTCGAAACCTCTACATTGCCAGACTATAATAAAACTCTAATATAACACTTCTTTTAAAAGGACAATTTGTTTTCTGGCAGCAGCATCCACTCCAACAACTTTTTACAAGGATGCATCTGTGATATTTGGAGATTTCTGTGTATGGGGTTGAGCTACCAGAGAGAAAGTGACTAATGAAATTCTAATTACTAATTGCTGTGATGTGGAAGACTGAGAAAGGAACCATTACTGGAATCTTTATCAGAGAGATATTGTCAGTCACTGAATATCCCACAACCTCTTCTGCCAACCTCCTGGCTGAAAATTGTTCAACTATACTCTGCTAACTGGCCAGGTATTCCATTGACCCATCCTGTTGACTGTTCAATGAGATTGGGAGAACCCTAAAACCAACATACAGAAGATAGACTTGGCTTCTATTGATGGGAAAATTAATAATAGAGCCAAAGTAAAGTAGAAAATCGTAGCCTAAAGGATGACATTGATCTATCCAAGAATGTGGACTTATGATGCAAAACTTTAAATTCCTCTAGGTTATAAGCATTATCACCTATTATTCTGCCCATATTGGTGATTAATTTGGTATTACCCCTCTTCCATAGGTATTATTGTCACTAATGTCTTTAATGCCTAACATATATGTGTGATAATACAGATTCATAAATGTAGATGAGAATCAAAGATAATTATTTAAGAAATTTTTATACATTTGAATGTTATTGCAAACCCTATTGTTTAACCAATTTAGTATTATCTTTGATTTATGCTAAGCAGGCAATCATCTTATGTATTAAGGAATTGGATTAACCAATGAAAAGAATATAATCAACAAAAGTAATAAATGAAAATTTCATATATTTCCTTAATTATAATAGACTGCCGAAACCCAGTCAATTTTAACATACTAATTTTTATTTATTAAATATCAATTAGGTAAATGTTGTCATTCAGTGTCCTGGCTCTAACGCTACTAGCTGTACAACCTAGTGGAGGCAACCTCACTTTTCATACTTCAGTTCCTTCATTTGTAAATGGAGTAATTGGAATACCTACCTTATAAAATGTTGTGTAGACTAAGTTATATATATATATATTATATGTGTATATATATGACACAGCACTAAGCTTGTCAAATAATAAGCAGACAATAAATATTAGCTATATTTATCATCATTAGATTTAATGGCAATTTATTTAGAGGCAGTTATATATAGGACCAGTAGAGAGGTGATGAGTGAGACATGGTAAAGACCTTCTTAGCCCAAATGTCATTAAAGTAAATATAGGTACTCTAATGGTGAATATAGGTACTCACTATATTCTAATAGTGAATATAGATATTCTAATGCCGTATCTTAAATTGGATAAGATGCATTCTGGACTAGAAGTTAGCAGAGCGAACTAGTTAACTTTCTAGTTATCAACTCCCTTATTCATGAAAGTAGACTGGCATTACTGATCTCTTTCTGGTCTAAATTATGACTGTTGTATGCTTTTACAAAATCAGATGCTTAAAAAAAGAATTGATAACACAAAAGGACAAATATTGCATGATTCCATTTATGTGAAGTACCTAGTCAAATTCATAGACAGAAAGTAGAATAGGGTTATCAAAGGTGGAGGGAGCAGGTAATGGGGAGTTACTGTTTAGTGGGTATGGAGTTTCAGTTTGGGAAGATGAAATTGTTCTGGAGATTTATAGTGATTATGTTTGCACAACAGTGTGAATGTACTTAATGTCACAGAATCGTACACTTAAAAATAGTTTAAAATGGTAAATTTTGTGCTATGTATATTTTCCCCAATTAAAAAAAAGTATGTATAAATGGCCAATAAACATTTGGGAAAAAATGAAAAAATTATAGAGTTAATCCAATATTAGGGTTAAAAAATACCCTTGTCCATAATTTTGGACACAAAGTCAAATAATATATTACAATTTTTAGTCTTAATGTGCATGATGCCCAAAACTTTAAGACTTTTATTTTGAGTATTGTTTTATCAAAAAGTCCCATATTAATCTTAGATAAACTCTTGTTTTCAGACTTAGGAACCAAACGATTATATCATATCACTAAATATTGGCTATCTTTATAACTAAATGTTCACTTCGGTGCCTCAGGAAGTCTAATGAAACCACCGTGATCAGCACTCCTAGCAAGGCTATCTTCTTTTTTAGAATGCATCCGTGCCTTGTATCAGATAAGTGAAGAGAACCTTATCAAGACAAATTGTGGCTAATGCATTCTCCTTTATGCATTTCTGGGCTAATGACCAGCCCCATTAAATATCACGCCAAATGGATTGGAAGTGCCACTGAGTGGGAAGAAGAAGACATTTTCCTCCTGCATAAGCACAGCCAATACAAACATCACCAAGACGAGGGCTGCTTTGCCATTTTCTTCCACATTCTGAGGTGTTCCTTTCACGTCTCGGGAGGTAGGAAACTAATAACCTGTCCGCAGAGACTCCAAACAAGCAAATGCTCTTTGTTGTTAGCTAGAATTAGGCTAACAGCAAATTTGATCTTTGGTTTTGAGGCCTTACCTCTTTACCCAAAAGTTAACTCTGATTTCAAATTGCTCCACTTCTCTGTTTTGTCAAGAAGCAGCAACAATCTACCACCACCACTGTTATTATGGCATTTCAATCACCTCGTTTCATTGTGATTTGAGAAAACACTTTGTTGAAACCCAAAGGAAAATCTGCCACGTTTCCATTCAGACATATGGCAGAAAAAAACCTTAATAACCAGTAATCAGAGTCGGCCTTCTTTGGGTGGAATCTGCTGCGGACAAAACAATTTATGCTGCATTGGATGAAAATAGTTCATCGATGCTATTCTCCAAGAGATACTAAAATAACTCCTTCTCATCTGATATCCCAAAACTGGGGGAGAAAGAGTTCAGATAATGTTGGGATCGATAAAGTCACAAAAGCAGAGTCATGTAGGAAATACATCTTGAAATTACTATCTTGCTCTTTTTATCACAGAACCAGCCAAAGGCCATTATAAAGGGTAGCATTACAACAAGTTTTAGTTCAGAGAATCATCGAAATTAAACATAACAAAGATATAATATATATCTCCCTAGATAGTGATTGCAATGATCGACAATCTGAAGTGTTTTTTTCTTTCAGAAAAGAACCTCTGATTATTCCTCATGGCTTAAATAATTCAGAATAGTGAATCATCAAAACTTATCTTTTAATATATTTTGAACGACATTTGAATATGAATATATAGTTTATAGAAAATTAGCTTAAGCAAATTAATGAGGCCTCATTAAAGTCCAAACTAGGTGAAATGGAGAAATACCCTCTTTCTTCATTATATATCAGACTTCATAACCTTCCATTCTCAGAATAGCCTCTCTTTCTGCCCATGCCTTATCACCCCCTCATACAAAAGTGCCCCTCTATCAAACTTTTCCAGAGATACGTGTTTCAATATCAAAGGTTTTCTCTGGATGCACAGACAATAGTGGGAGTTCTTATGTCAACAAAGCAAAAAGTAGGTAGTAGTTGTTTTCACTGACAATAGAGTATATCAGTATTTCCCAAACTTGGTTAGACATTAGAATGACCCAGAAAGCCCTTAAAAACTTGATGCTCAGGTTATATTCCACAGTAACTAAATCAAAATTTCTGTAAGTAGGATCCAAACAACAGTATTTTTTAAAGATCCCCAGGTAATTCCAGAACACAACCAAGTTTAGGAAGCATTGCCGTACCTATTAGAAATCAAACTTTGTTATTAATTATAGGCCAATAAGCTATCTCTTCATAGCAATAATCAACAATTGGCATTGTTTTGATTTCTTAGCATTATTAACTCAATGCCATACTATGGCCCCACTAAACATTTTCTCATAAAATATTTTATCATTATGGCTTCATTTCTGCTACCATGTTTTTTAACAGGGCCAGCATGGACTCTACCAACAGGAAAAAGTGTATTCACGGTGCCCCCTACCCCACAAAGGATTTATTTTTCCAGAATGGTTGTATGTTTTAAATGTTTAGTTTTCTAATATGGTTTGGGTTCTAGTACATTAGAGAGGAAGACCCAAACCACACCAATTGTAACATTTTATGTTTGTTTTCAGACTCCAAAAACTTCACTACTACATGGAAACATTGCACTTAACCTTTATTTTGCATCTTCCATTTTCTAGCTCATGCAAATGTCTTTCATTCAAAACTCTTCTTCCCCGTATTTCCATTAGTGATTTATGTCAATATAGCATTTTAATATGTATTTCCAGCACCCATTAACTTTTGTAAGAAAATTAATTTTTATGTTTTGATTAGAAAAATTTTAAAATTACCAGAGAATGCACACTTGTTTGACCATATTCCCCAGAATACTGCTTAAATAGCCAGTTTATTTTGCTTAAAGGCACTTGTGCTTTCTAATATATGTATGGTCAACCATTCTGGTTCCTTCTCTCAAGCTCTTTGATCTATGATTTGTTTGGAAACAGTGAATTTTATTAAAAATATGTTTGTCTTATTGAACTAGACAGCTTTATTACTTGAATATTTCCTTCTCTACTTTCTCTTAAAATTAACATATTCACAAATAAGAATAGAAACAAAAGGAAAAATTAAATACCTCCCTTCAAAAGTTCCTTTGGTATAATGAGAGCTAATCAACAACAGATATTAATTTTTAAAAATATTAAGCCAACCGAGCTAATTCTTGCTCATGTTATAATTTCTGAGCACATTTCTTAAGGTCTCTTTAAGAGATGGACTACTCTTTGACACTGAGAATATTATAGTTTTAAAGTCATCACATGATACCTTATTTCATGAACCAGAGAAGCTTTTTCCCACCAACTTTCTCTTGCAAAATGAAGGTGCTCTTCCTGAGTTTGTCTCAGGAAAGTTTGAGGGAACAGCAAGCAGAACAGGAAAGGTCTTAGAAAGAAAGAGAAGGGCAAGAAAATAACAGTAACAGAAACAGAAACATATGACTACTTTTTTAGAAGGCTTCAGTATTGGGTGACTTACATAACTTACCATGAATCTAATTTGAGTTAACAATAAGTCAAGTATTTGCTAAAGGTCAACTATATGCCCAGCACTGTGCAAGGCATTAAAAAGGACGAAGAAGAAAAGGAGGCCAAGAATTTCCCCTCGGATTTGTGATCTGATTGAGAGGGGAAGATGCTATTGATTATAAAACACTTATTTTTTGGAACACTAAGAAAAACAAGCAACTAATTATATTTTGACATGCCATCGTGTATGTCAAGATGCATTTTAGGATTCAGAGGTACTAAAATGCAAAAGAAAGAAAAAAGTCTTATCCTGGGATCACCATCTTTACATCAACGCAAAAGAGTACATATGTGAAACAACTAGGAAATAATACACAATAGTGCTAAATCCAGGAGATGCTGTATACACAGTGATGTGGCAGAGGGCTGCTGCAATAGAAACCCAATGCAACTACCTGGATGGTTTGCAGACTGACAAAAGACAAATGGGCAGAGTTAAAAGTTCTTGTAATGTCCCTGAAGTTTCATATAATGTCAAGGTGGCAAATTCCATCTTATTCACATTTATGAGAAAGGTACATTAAATACTACACCAATATCTGACCAACTGTTATGACCTTCTCATCCTACATCCAAAATATCTTTCTCATCCATCCCTTCTTTTCCTTTCACACTTGCCACTACCTTATTTCTTTTCACTGTTATCTCTACCAAATCTCTCTAGGCACTATCTAGATTGATCATTCTTATCCACAGCTCTGAGCACGGTGATCCCAACATTGTGATGATGTCAAGTGTGGCTAATCGGTAACGATAAACTACTTAGCTTGGCATTCAAGGCCTTACAATGTCAGACTCATATATATCTTGTCTTCTATTTTTCCATTGCAGTAGAAACTTTCTTAACACATTTCTATTTAATTGACTCATCAGATCAATGTTCTCCATTCCTTCTGTAAAACATAGCTTCTGTGAAACATGGCTGATTAAACACTCAGGGCAAGTTATACAGTATGTCTGTGCCCTTCTCCCACCAATTAGTTTATGCTTGCCTAAACCTATTAATGCCAATCTTACTTGTTCTTGCAATTATGTGATTTAATATAAAAACTGATAAAACATGTTTCTATGAAAACTAAGTTATGTGCTTGATTTTATTTTTTAAAAAGCCAATAAAAATGATGGCAAATTAGAAATGGGCAGGACAGCTGTAACAGATTGAGCAAATAAATCATAAAAACCCAGAAGGATACCACACTCAGATTGTTCTTATCTCCCACTTTTGCTCCACTTTAAATAAACCAAATTAGTTTGCATGAAGTCAGTCATAAAATGGTGTTTTATAAGTAAATATTCCAACCAGAAGACTCATTTTTCAAGAAAATGATTTGCTTCCTCAACAAAAGATTGGCAAATAAATATATGCTTGCTCATTTTATGTTAAAATAAAATATCTATGTGTTGTTTCTTAGTGATTCCCCCACTTTAACTAAGTTTTCGATTTACAGACTAGCTGTCAGTCCCAATTAAGTATATAAAGAATGGTTCTGGTTCTATCCTGGGCTCCAATCAAACTTTAATCCCTGGGCCTACACTATTTCTTCTTGATGAAATGAACTCTTCCCACATCTCATACTAATCCTCAAGGATCTGAGCAAATGTTCCGTCTCTATGAGATGTTCCCAAAAGCTCGCCTCCCAGAAACTAGAGTCACCTGAAGTTTCTAATATTAGGCTTACCATTTCTTGTGGAACCCTAATCCGATGCAATAACCTCTAAGCCTCAGTTTCTTCATCTGTAAAATGGGTTGTTGGAGGATGTAATGCATGTAAGACTAAGCACAATGCCCATAATGTAGGTGGATTCAAAAAACGAAACACACCATTCTCCATCCACATATTCTTCCTTTGAATGCTTATAGACCTTTGCTCTTCTCTCATGATGTTTCCTGTTTTCTATCCTGTATTTTCACAGGTTCAGTATATGTCTTTTGCCCTCTATTCGACTATATATTCCTTGACTGCTCAGCTGTGCAGCCAATACTTTTTTACTATCCCTTATTTTACTCTTAAATAAATAAATGATTACATGAAAGGCCGAATGAGTGTTGAACTTTTGTTCTGGTCAGAAAAATAAATAGAGGCCTGACAAAAGAATAAGGAAAGAGAAACAATTTAGAATGTGTTATATGATCTACATTTCACTTTCTACAAAACTTTATTCAATAGAAAAGACAAGAAGCTTTATTATAGCAGCTTAAAAGTGGATGCCTCTGTATCTCCCTCATCTTTTGTTTTTGTGTTGATTCTGCCTTTTCCCTAAAAATGTTGATGGGCTAGATTACACCTGATAGCAGTCTTGGCAGCCCCAGAGAATTCCATCTTTGCAATGCAACATTCTTTGGGAGAAAAGAAAACTTTTCCTTCCCCAGCCCCACCACCAAGGATTGAAATTCTGCATTCTTTTTAGTTGACAATTGATTGGAACATTTTGAAAATAAGTGCCAGGCCTCGATGAGGTGTAAAATACTGACTGTATTAGCTAGTTATTTAGGGAGATGTGAAGATGCTCTTGCCAACATACATTCGATTTAGGCTTTGGATGCCTTGCATGATCTCCCAGGCAGCACTTGTTTGAAATTGTTAGAATTTAATTTAAAAGTCTTCACATTTGCTTTTTTGTTCTTATTTTTAAAGCATCGATAACTCTTTAGAGAAGATACTCTAGAGTTAATATTTATATATGTATGTTTATATATACATATATATAGTATGAACAATATTTTTATCATGTTTTTCTATTCTTTGGCTCTCTTCTAATATTTGTCATTGAACTTAAACTTGCTCAGCCTGAGGATATGGAAAATGGAACTACAGTGTTATTTTAGTAGAGATGAACTTTTCAGGTCCGTGCCCTTGGGCTAACTATATGGATCCATATATAGTTTTATATTCACAGTGTACAGGGTTGCTAGGAGCAGTGAAATGTCTTGTTATCTCCCTACCATGTGAAGCATGTGACAGAATCTACTTAAGTCTTATGTGACTCAGACTCCCTCTTCAACTAGGGAATAAGACTATATCCTTTGATAAAGCCCATTCAATATTGTTACAAATTAATATTTATAATAGTAACAACAGCTTATATTTGTATATGTAGGAAACATTCATGCTTTTACTGTCTAGTGGAAAGTTCAGATATGTCTGGGCATGTTTAGCAAACGAGTGGGTTTGGCTTAACTAGGGCATTATCATTCATTGCCCAAGTTATGTACTTTAGAGCTCTAGGGGAGCCATTCACATGAACCATTTCATTATGACTTTTTCTAAGACAATGATTAAATAGTTTCAGATGGAGTTCAAGCACATTTGGCAAACTTGTGGGCTAGTCCAACAAAACCCTTATTTGAGCATGGGAGGAAGA
Organism: Homo sapiens; assembly: GCF_000001405.40. NCBI lineage: Eukaryota > Metazoa > Chordata > Mammalia > Primates > Hominidae > Homo > Homo sapiens. Next base: position 30,253,375 of record NC_000014.9, read on the forward strand.
AAAGAGGACACTGAAAAAACTCATTCTAAAAGGGAAAGAAGGCAAATAATGAACACAGTCAACAGCTCTAGGGAGCGGTGGTGGCTGACCAAACCTATTGCAACTCAGCCATGCTGGTGTCTTGGGAGAAAGTCGCTGTGTATACAACTGAAAGTTATGCCACTCGATTCAGTGTCTGAAAGAGTCAAACAACGTGCCAGTGGGCTTTCCCTAACAGTGTTGAGAGGAGAAAACCTCTGACATCTCACTTCAGTGAAGACTTCTGAATTTTTATGGCCCCAGGAGGACTCAGCATGAATAGCTGAGCCCATCAGCAGGGAGTCCTAATCTAGAGGGAAACGCAGGACCTGGGTAGAGAGAAACATCAGCAGAAGGGGCAGCAACTTCAGAAGGGGCAGCAACTTCAGGAAGGGCACAATATCATCAGAGGTCCAGGTGTAACGGTCACAAGAAAGAGCATAAAAACCAAACTGGGATCCAGACTGATTCACAAGCAAATGAGACTTTCCCCTGGAGACTCCCAGAAATGCTTGGAAGAAAGGAAGTTTGCAAAGCATTGTAATTCCTATGTGAGAAGAAAATGAGGCTCCCAAATGTAAGTGACTTTCTCAAGGTCATCCAGGTAGATAAATCAGGATTAGAGGTCACTGAGGGTTTCATAGTCATGTATGACCATGAATAGTCTGTGAAACCATGACTCTGAATGACAGGCCTACATCCAGTTGAAAATTGGAAGAGAGGATCACCCCTGAGAATACGCCATAATGTTATCAACATTATAAGACTAGTCTGAGAATTGCTTAATAGTCATGAGCTTTGAGACATCAATAAACAAGAACAAAATATAAACATATATCCTGTCATGATACAATTATTTCATTAAAAGATCTTTTTGCTATGGTAATGACTAAATACTGTCAGATGTAGCCCACCAATCATCCACCTTACACTAAAGTTGTCGGTCTTAGACAACAGTGTTGAAAGGGAAGTTTTGGAACATTTTTTTTTCAATACAATCAAAATTCAGTTATTTTATTTTTCATAGAAATAGCAGAACTTCAATTTGTATATCATTTTACAGTTTTCATGATCCATATATATATATATATATATATATATATATATATATATATATATATATAAAGATCACACTCAGAATTAAAGTACCCCTCCTTTATTCTCTGATCATATTTTTTAAACCTTTATTTTAGGTTTAGGGGCACATATGCAGGTTTGTTATATAGGTAAACTGCATGTCCTGGGGAAAGGTTGGTGTACAGATTATTTTGTCACTCAGGAAATAAGCATGGTACCTGATAGGTAGTTTTTTGATCCATTCCCTTCTCCCACCCTCCACCGTCAAGTAATTCCCAGTCTCTGTTGTTCTCTTCTTTATGTTCATGTCTTCTCGTTATTTAGTTACCACTTGCAAGTGACAATATTCAGTATTTGTTTTTCTGTTCCTGCATTAGTTTGCTTCAGATAATGGCCCCCAGCTTCATCCATGTTGCTGCAAAGGACATGATCTTATTCTTTTTAATGGCTGCATAGTATTCCATGGTGTATATGTATCACATTTACTTCATCCCGTCTACCACTGATGGACATTTAGGTTGATTCCAAGTCTTTACTATTGTGAATAATGCTGCAATGAACATACACGTGCATGTGTCTTTATGGTATAATGATTTATATTCCTTGGGTATATACCTAATAATAGGATTACTGGGTCAAATGGTAATTCTGTTTTAAGTTATTTGAAGAACCCCCACACTGCTCTCCACATTGAACTCATTTACATTCTCAGCAGTAGTGTATAAGCATTCCCTTTTCTACCCAACTTTGCCAGGATCTGTAATTTTTTGACCTTTTAATAATAGCCGTTCTCACTGGTGTGAGATGGTATTTCATTATGATTTTGATGTGCATTTCTCTAATGATTAGTGTTGTTTAGTATTTTTTCATGTGCTTGTTGGCTGTGTGTATGTCTTCTTTAGAAAACTGTCTATTCATGTTCTTTGCCCACTTTTTAATGGGGTTGTTTGTTTTTTTGCTTGTAAATTCAAGTCTCTTATAGATTCTGGATATCAGACCTTTTTCAGATGCATAGTTTGAAAATATTTTCTCCCATTCCATAGGTTGTCTGTTTATTCTGTTGATGGTTTATTTTGCTATGCAGAAGCTCTTTAGATTAATTAGATCCCATTTGTCAGTTTTGTGTTTTGTTGCAATTGCTTTTGGCATCTTTGTCATGAAATATTTGCCAGGTCTTATGTCCTAGGATGTCTTCCAGTGCTTTTATAGTCTTAGTTTTTACATTTAAGTCTTTAATAATATTGAATTGATTTTTGTGTATAGTGTAAGGAATGGGCCCAGTTTCAATCTTCTGCATGTGGCTAGCCAGTTACCCCAGCACCATTTATTGAATAGGGAGTCCTTTCTCTATTGCTTATTTTTTTTTGTTGATTTTGTTGAAGATCAGATGGTTATAGGTGTGGGGCATTATTTCTGGGCACTCTATTCTGTTCCATTGGTCTATGTGTCTGTTTTTGTACCAGTACCATGCTGTTTTGGTTACTGCAGCCTTGTAGTATAGTTTGAAGTCAGGTAATATGATGTCTCCAGCTTTGTTCTTATTTCTTAGGATAGCCTTGGCTACTCAGGCTCTTCTTTTTATTCCATATGAATTTTAAAATAGTTTTTTTCTACTTCTGTGAAGAATGTCATCCGTAGTTTGATAGGAATAACATTGAATCTGTAAACTGCTTTGGGCAGTATAACCATTTTAACAATATTGATTCTTCCTATGCATGAGCATGGAATGTTTTTCTATTGGTATCATCTCTGATTTCTTTGAGCAATGTTTTGTAATTCTCACTGCAGAGATCCTTCATCTCCTCTCCCTGATTAGCTGTATTCCTAGGTGTGTGTGTGTGTGTGTGTGTGTGTGTGTGTGTGTCAATTGTGAATGGGATAGCATTCCTGATTTGGCTCTTGGCTTGGCTGTTGTTGGTGTACAGGAATGCTACTGATTTTTGTACATTAATTTTGTATCCTGAAACGAAGTTTGTTGAAGTTGTTTATCAGCTGGAGGAGCTTTGGGGCAGAGACTGTAGGGTTTTCTAGCTATAGAATCATGTTGTCTGCAAACAGGGATAGTTTGACTTTCTCTCTTCCTGTTTGGAATGTCTTTTATTTCTTTCTCTTGTCTGATTGCTCTGGCCAGGATTTCCAATACTATGTTAAATAGGAGTGGTGAGAGAGAGCATCCTTGTCTTGTTGCAGTTTTTAAGGGGAATGCTTCCAGCTTTTGCCCATTCAGTATGATATTGCCCATTGCTTTGTCCTAGATGGTTGTTATTATTTTGAAGTGTGTTACCTCAGTGCCTAGTGTGTTGAGGGTTTTTAACATGAAGCAATGTTGAATTTTATCAGACGCCTTTTTGCATGTATTGAGATAATCACGTGATTTTTGTTTTTAGTTCTGTTTATGTGATGAATCACATTTATTGATTGGCATATGCTGAACCAACCTTGCATACAAGGGATAAAGCCTACTTGACCATGGTGGATTAGTTTTTTGATGTGCTGCTGGATTTGGTTTGCTGGTATTTTGTTGGGTATTCTTGCATCTATGTTCATCAAGGATATTGGCCTGAAGTTTTTTGTTGTTGTTGTATCTTTGACAGGTTTTGGTATCAGGATGATGCTGGCCTCATAGAATGAGTTAAGGAGGAGTCCCTCCTCAATTTTTTGGAATAGCTTCAGTAGGAATGGTACCAGCTCTTCTTTATTCATCTGGTAAAATTTAACTATGAATCCATCTAGTCCTGGGCATTTTTTGTTGGTAGGCTTGTTATTATTTTACTGGTCTGTTCAGGGATTCAATTTCTTCCTGGTTCAATCTTGGGAGATTGCATGTGTCCAGTAATTTATCCATTTCTTTTAGGCTTTCTAGCTAGTGTGCATGGAGGTATTCATATTAGTCTCCTTTCTTATTTCTTATTGTGTTTATTTGGACCTTCTCTCTTTTTTCTTTATTAGCCTAGCCAGCAGTCTAACTAACTTATTAATTTTTTCAAAAAACCAATTCCTAGATATGTTGACTTTTTGTATGGTTTTTAATGTCTCAATTTCCTTCAGCTCAGCTTTGATTATAGTTATTTCTTGTCTTCTGCTACTTTTGGGGGTTGACTTGCTCTCGCTTCTCTAGTTTCTCCAGTTGTGATGTTAAGTTGTTAATTTGAGATCTTTCTAACTTTTTTATGTGGGTGTTTAGTTCTATAAAGTTCTCTCTTAACACTCCCTTAGCTGTGTCCCAGAGATTCTGGTATGTTGTATCTTTGTTTGGAACTATTTTTAATATTCTTCAGTGCAACCTGCTGGAATGACTAATAGCTGCAATTAGGTCCAATGTCTGAAAGTTTTGAAATCTAATATTGCTACATATGGCTTTTACTATTTTCTTACAATTGCATGAGCTTTGAAACTGAAAGACCTGAGAGGGAATCTCAGCTTGACACTTACTCATTATGTGTCCTTGGGTCAGTCATTGAGAGTCTCTTCCTCCCAGTGGTTGGGAAGCTGCATGGAAGTGTAGAGGGCACTGTGAGATACAGAATCAAAGGATGAGTGATGAAACCACTGAGAGAGAACCACTTCCTGAGAAACCACTAAAGGTAATACTATAGTTACTTAAGACCAATTAATTTGAGCTACTGATCTTGCCTTCAAAATTTTCAGTACTATACTTGGGACCAAAAAAAAAATGTCAGCAATTTCCTCAGATGTTCTAGGAAGTATGGTTTGGAGACACTGAAACGTCAACCTTATTGTTGACTTCTATTGAACAGTCAGTGGTAGAGAAGGAGCCCTTAAAATATAGTTAGCTGTGATTGTTTTTCCTGGAGCCTCATAGCTACATTTGCTAGGCAACCAAGAGGCAAGTTTTGGGGATATAAAAGCAGTACAATGGGGTAATGGTAAGATGAGAGAGATGCTGTTATATACATGGAGATCTGCCAGTACTGGAAAAGTTATAATAGTTAAAATGATGATAATGATGATGATGATGATGATGATGATGATGATGATGATAATGATGATGGTGGTGATTTGGTAGGATGAAAGGAGCACATGACCAAGAGTGACAATGCCTGGGTAAGCAGCTTAGCTCTACTATACACCACCTCCATGACATTAAACAAACAACTTAATTACTGAAGACATTGCTTTCTTATCTCTAAGATGGAAAAATTAATATGTTCCTGTGTGCCTCTTAAGGTTGCTACATGGACAAAGTAAGAAATAGGTGGAATCACTCTGCAATCAGCAACATGCTTAAATAGTTAATGACACAGATTTACTTGATTGCCTTTTCCAACCAACTTTTCATGATAAGTTGTTGACCAGGTTGCTGGCTCTCTGATGGGATCATGTCAGGGTGAAAAAAAAATCCAGAGGCTACTAGATTTGGGGAGCTTTGTATAAAATTTGCAAGCAACTATGTGAGGTTTTAATAAGTGGGAGGTTTGCATTCTTAAGTCAAGGTAGCTTTTCTTATACAAATGTTTTTAAATAATACATTTTTATGGCACTTATATTTTCAAAGTGTTTTCTAAAATAACTGACCCTTAATAGAAAAGAAGTATTCTGCTTTATACTTAAGGATAAAAAAGGACATGCTATGTCTTAGAAGAAAATATTGGCCTGGCTTTTAGAAAACCTAAATTCTGTCTATTATCACTGTAGGACTCTGAGCAAGGACTTTGATTTCCCCAGCTGCCAATTGAGGATAAGGAACTAGATGATTTTAAACATCCTACCCAACTCTAATAATTGGTAATTTCTATGAAATTATCTATGCTTTTCCCATGTTTCCAGATGAGATGCTATTGAATGGTATTCTCCTGTAAGCCAGCCCTGCTGTTGACTATGTTTGGTGGCATTGGCTCTCCTAATATCTGTAGGAGATGACAAGCAAAAAAGGTATGGAGAAATGTGCTTTGAAACTGAGCATGATATATATTTCCATCTCAAAGAGAAAAACTTCTGTGTACACTTTGCATGTAATTTGTAGTGCATAAATATCAAAGCAAAAGCTTGATAAAGTTAACACACAAGGATTTGGGTTAAACTGAGAACTAAACACAGGTCTAGCCACCACTAATAAATAGGCTACCATATACGGACTGGGCCTGAGCCTTCCAGGTTATGAATGGCTGAAGACAATCTATAATTCAGGGACAGCATTAGAAGTCAGCATCTAAATCGGAAGACTAACTAAATGTCTGTAATGATCTAGGTTTTCTTCATTGCACTCCAAGAAACAGTTTCCTGACCTGAGCAAATTTCTATTCCTAAAGGTTACAAGGATAGCATGTTAGAATTTACTGTAAATAGTTCAAATGCTTTAGGGTTGCCAAATAATTTTAGGCAATTATGTCACAATCATTATTTTAACACTGAAATGCCCCTGTATGAGACCTCATAATGTTAGCCTGCCCCTACTATTTTGTAGCACTTTGCAATTGCCTTCCATGTAGTGCCCTTCCCCTTCATTAATCTTTCTCACTCTTTTTAGTCAGTCTTGGAATCAGACTGAAATCCTAGAGTTAAAAGAAGTATTGATTAGTTTCCATATCTGCTCACCTTACTCTCCATACAACACTTTTCAGAGAAGGTATTTTCGTAATGTCCCCAAATAACTTCCCTTAAAGTCTAATAAGCTTGTATCAGGAAATGCTTTAATTCTGTCAGGAATTCTGTCAAGAATTCTGCTTTAATTCTCTATCAAGAAATGCTGATTCTGTCTTGCCATGAAAGGAGACATTTGCCTTTTAGCTCTCAATGTTCCATTATCAATAAAGACCCCCAAAAAGTAAGGGGTCTGGCAGTTCTGTTTCCATGTGTTCCTTTTGTAAACATGAAAGTTTGCACATACCATTTTCTCCAACTATAACGCTCAGCCATCCACCCACTCACCTGGTCTTCTGACTTGTCCTTCTCATATTATAAGATTTAATTTATAAATCCCCTTCTCCTGGAAGCCTTCCCTTATGAACTCCAATACCTTTTATAAACACACACACACGCATGGAAAGAGAGAGAAAGAGAGAGAGAGAGAGCTAGATGCTCTTTATCCCAGGTCCCATTGCAACCTTCACTTAATTCCTACTCCTTACCACAACACATTGTAATTGTTGGCTTATTTCCCTCTCCAAAAGTAAATAATAACCCAATTTTGAGGGCAGGGACAATCTTATTCATGTCTGTATCTCTGTCACCTAGCACAGTACCTGACCTACAGAAAGCAGTAAAGAAATATTTTGTAAATGAAATAAATGTATCTATCTCAAGCCCTGGTCCCCTCCCACTACTTTTCTGAAATGATGTTTTTTTCTTCCATATTAAAGTTATGAAAATTTAACAAGCTCTTGATGACAATTTGGAAGCCTCACTAGGACCTCTCAGATGGCATTTCTCTTGTGTTTCAGAATGTGTCTGCTTTGCATGACAGTCCAGATGTCAGCCTTTCCACATTTCCCCAGAATTACCTTGAGTCGAATTAAGTCCCTCCCGTGTAGTTCTAAAGCTTCTATCTGGGCAGGCAGCTTTGTTGTTAGCTAACTGTCGGCATTACAGTGCTGTATTCATAAAGGATTGTCAGCACGATGCAGTATTATTATGCGAGATCAGTTGCTCATGTGAAGACACATTAAACCTAGCAGTTGCTTTGTCTCTTGTCAAGGGAATTGTGTGGTGCTACACTGGAGATGAGAGTTTGCACCGTCAACCTACTACTGCTGTTTTTGCTACCCACTTTGGAAGAATCAACAATTCATGCTTGTTTCCTTGTTTTTTCTTCTTTGGTAACAACTTAGCCACTATCCAAACAGGAATCTTAGTAGTGCCAGAAAAAATAATATCCCTTGGTGCAAGGGTTATTTCATGTGAGTGTTTCTACGAGGGCTAAAGTTCTGTGTTTTATCCTCAGTTCAGTGGCTGAGGTGCTGCCTTTCCCTGTTAAGAGGCCTCCCGACACCTACCTACCTGCGCTTCCACACTGGCATTCAGGATTTCCCATTGTCTTGTTTCACCAGCCTGTCACCAGGCTTCTTACTGGATGCTCTCTTCAATATCAACTTATTTGAATTACCATTTGTTATCAAAACTTTCAGAAACCAGCTCTGTCAGACATGGTAAAATATTCCCCACACATGCAGCAAAATCCCCTTCTGGCACTACACACCCTCAGTGGGCAGTCTAATTCCAGGGTCCTGTTTCTTCTGGTGTGCCCATTCTATACACATTAACTGTGCCACATCTGCCTAAAACATGACAGGTAACAAGATTTGATATACAGGAGAGTTCCATCTTAAAAAAAAAGGATTGCTAAAAGAAAACCAAAAGCCAATTTTCTGCCTCTGTTTCCCCAAGATTTTCTTCCCTCCTTCATTTCTTGTTTGTTTCCAAAATATCTACCTGAAAACTTAACCCAAAACAGGAAAAGTAATAGAAGAATAAGTTTAAAGAACCAGAGGGTCTTGGGGAAAGTTGAGTCTTTGAAAGTGTGAGAAGGTGTTAATGTTAGCTTAATCATTGGCTAGGCCTACTTTTTTCAAAGCTTACTTTATATCCTCTATTATTATTAAGAAACAGCACATTTTCAACACTACATTTTGCCTCAGCAGGCCCCTTTCAACAATATATTATGGTTCTGTTATAGAACAGCCAAATTGCATTAATCACTTTTTTCAAGATGTAGTTTACAGCAGATAACATTTTTAAGTTTGCTTTGCTGCAACAGCTTTCTGACAAAGGGGTAGACTGTCAAAAGTCATCTCTTTCATTCTGAGCCCAACAACGCTGCACATTTCACTTATCTCTAACTGTCTCATGCTCTCTATTGTACTCCTCCTTAATGCTTTTTAGTTTGGTTCAGTCTCTGATTCTTTAAGGATTCAGCTGGTACAATAATCAGATTGTCTGACTAGCCATCTTTCTGTCTGTCTACATTTTAAATGTATCTAACAAACAAGGTGATATAATTATTTTACTCCTGTTTTAACTCATAGAAAGCTAGAATTTTACAGATCACAAGGACATGACAGCAGGTGGTTTTCAAAAAGAATAAATATGAAGTATGAGCCTGTTTTTCTTAATGAAGTAAAATGGATCTTGCCTTTGTCATGCTTCCAGAATATGGCTCAATTAGAAAAATCTTAGGCAATATGTGTTCATTTCTAGAAATTACAAGTGGCTGTAAGTGATTATATGCATCTCGATGTAACGCCATAGCACAAATTCATCATTTTGAATGTCTGTCTATATACTGTGGCTTTAACCAAGTTCTAGGTACAAGCTGATCTTTTTGCAGTATTTTTAATAACTCCTACTTAACATAATGATTTTGAACATCTATTCTTTTAAAGTTATTTTTGTTAGTTTTTCCCTTGAGATCTCTGCTTTCTTTTAAAAATATCATGTTGTATTTTAAAAAGTCACTTTTTCTCTCTCTTCCCAAAACTACCATCATTTTTTTTAAAAAGTCAGCTTTAAATGGCTAGTGCCATCCTTCTTTTGTCAGTTACTTTGACCAAGTACTGTGACCTGGATTGAATAATTGGAACTTGCTGGTAGAATGGTACCTGAGTGTGTTTATCCCAGAAAGAAATTCCAAATGCACTGGGGATAGAAATAAACCAAGGAGTTTGGATGGAGATGATAAAGAATATGAAAAACTCAACTGAGAATTTCATGCAACCTCTCTAAAACTGAGAGATTATGGGTATATGAGCCATATTTCCAAAGCTGATGACCAAATGATCTTTAAATATATTACATTTTATTACTAAAAAAGTAAGTTTATAAAATACAAATTGAAATAACACTAAGATAATTTTTTGCCTATTATATTGGTGGAAAAAGATGAAGCTACAAAGTGTTGGCAAGAGTGCGGAGAAACTAGTACTCTTACTTACTACCATTGGGGATAATCATTGGCAAAAATATTTTTCAGGGCCATTAAAAAATACTTGAATAAGTTTAAATATTGCACATCCTTTGACCCAGCAATTTTATCTTTATAAATGTATCCTGCACATATACTAACACAAGTATACAAAAATGTGTGCACAAAAATGTTTGCTGAGTGAATGCCGAGCTCTAATTCTGAAATCAGACAGACTTGAGTTGAAATCACAGCTCCACTACCTTCTGGATATGTGACCTTGGACAAGTTACATAGCATTTCAGTGTCCTCATCTGCCCGATTATTTTGAAAATTAAATGAAATGATGCCTACAAAGTCTATAATAAAGTTCCTGGCACTTAGTATTAATAAATACTTAGTGAGTATTTATTACTCTTTGCAATGATGATAATATTACTACAGATATCATCCTGTATTATTTATAATAGCAAAATACCTGAAAACAAGTCAGCTATCTGTTAAGTGGAGAATTGACTATATCACCTTAGGTCCATTCAGTGGAATACAACATAGTCATTAAAAAGAATGAGATGAATCTACATGGAAAGGGTCAAAATATACTATGAAAAAGTCAAATTTCAGTATTAACTATACTATTCCATATGTGTGAAAAGACACGATAATACATTTTACTACTATATGGAGGGACGGAAGGAGGGAAGAAGGGACGGAGAGAGAGAGAGAGAATACAAAGCAAAATATTAATAAGAATTATCTTTGGGAAGTGGGATAATTGGGCACTTGAATTTTTTCTCTATCATGAACTTTTGTAATATTTTCATTTTTCACCATGCACTTGTATTACTTTTAAAATTAATAGAAGTATTATTTTTGAAAGAGTAAAAGTAAATTCAATATGTGATGCAATCTTTCACATTGAATTCTTAAATCAAATAAAAGAAAATAAGATGTGTATTTTTGCCAACTCCTAGCAAAAACAGCTGTCTCAAGAGGAAATGTTCTAGTATAAAAGGGAGCTTTGTTTTCTTCCTTCTGCCTTAGTTCAGGCCTGCTTGCCTGTTTCACAGTATTGAATATGCAGTGCATGGACAGGAAAGCTCAGGAATAAGAGACCTATATAAAACACCTAGGGATATTTTTAAACAATTCAATATGAATAGAGTGAGCTAATTTATTAAGCCAACTATCTATTTTCTAATTTCCTGTTATGTAGATAAAGGATTATCCAAATTATTTTCATCCTTGGATTCTCACAACCTAGTTTATAGAACGTATTCAGTAAATATTTGTTGAATGAATGAGTAAAGACTGGCTGTCACTTAATACATTTCTTTTAGCTTCCTAGTAGCTGGACTTACACATCTTCCATTGCTAAAGCCAGTCAGCAGAGACCTGGGGCAGGCAGGGTGAAAATAAATGAAACCAGAAGGATTTTCTGGAAAACCATGAGAGAGATCAGAGAATCAGGGAAACTCGGAGCTAGAAGACAACTGCAGAACTATCCATTCTGACACCTAATTCTGTGAGGAAACTGAGTCCCAGAGAAGGTGGTCAGAGTGCTGGTTAGAGGCAGAGTAAGGACATAAGCCCAAGTCTTATACTCCTACTTAAGTTTTCCTTCCTAACCAGGTTGTTATTCCCCACAAAAGAGTGCTATTGCTTAGATAAATTGGCATGGAATCTTCCTTTCATATGGAGGAGAAGGCAGTGGTGATGAGAGGGGAAAGGTTTACTAGCAAAGCTATATCCAATTACAAATTTACTTCTTTTTAACTTATATTGTTGTTTTCTCCCAGCAAATATTTTCAATGTAAATAATAGATACATGGAGCATCTCAAGTTTACCATTATTGTGTCCCTTTAAAGATATTTCTATCTTCCAACCTTTCTTCAAATACCATGATCAAAAATTAGCATAAATCAGAACTGTTTGATGTCTTTATGTTAACTTTGCCTAGGAAAAAAATGGAAAAGTATGGCAGAATACTTTCTCAAACTATAAACTAGACAAGAATACCACTATGAATTTGGAAGCATGATTTTCTTCTTTGGGTGGATTCTTTGGTTGTCTTCTGCCAATTGAAGCAAATTCCTTCTTAGTCTTTATTTAATAGCACTCCTTCTGCCTTCGCTATAGCAGCACTTATCACAGGTGAGATAAAATGTCAAAGCTAAAGAAAAGTAAATGACTGGAAGTGAAATATCCAAGCAGAGGTTGGCATATAGACAACGCCAACCAAGGAGGAAGTGAACTCTGAGCAGTGGTAGGAAATTTACTTAGCTGCGTTGACCTAATATGGTGGCAAATGTAAGCCTGGCATGATACATGCATTTTTTAATGAAACCATATTAAACAGCTGATTTTTTATTAGACCTGATATTTTCCCCCTAGATCCCAGTCCATCTAAATTTAAGCAGACAGAAGGGTGATTGATTCAACAGTATATCTTTTACTTAATCCAGCCCCAGTTAAGTTTTTCCCCCATTACCATGTTATGCAAGGGCAACCCCACACTGGCAGTTGGTTGTTAATTACATTTGATGTGCAGTAACACAAGAGAGCTAATTAACTTGCATCAAAAAAGCTTTATTTACTGTGACAAATTAAACAAACTCATAAAGTGTTCAGCCACAATGGCTCTCAATTATCATGCAGTCCAAGTAATGTGGTGCAAACATATTCCCAGGCCTCCCTCAGGTATCACTTCAATCTTACAGCCCCCTGCACAATACAATTATAAATGAATCTTTTTAATGAATAGAATGGAAAGTCAACTGCTCTTTGTTTTGCTTTGTTTTGTGTTTGTATGTGTATGCATGAGTGTGTTGAGTGTGTATGTGTTCTCTCAAGGTACAGCTGAACATGTGGGTCATAGTCAATTTCTTAATCCATGCTTACTGAATGTTCAACAGAGTTTTCATGGACTTTAATCAGAGAACTCTCTTAGAGCAAAAAGAGAAATCTCCTGTCCCAAAGCCCATGTTCTGTATTAAGCACGACTGTCTAAAACTGGTCCTCTTCAGACTCGTCTAGACAGTTTTTGACTCCTTAGAGGAGGCCTTACCACTCCATAATGACTTAAACACAGGAGGTATAAAATAATTCCTTTCTCATTTGGTACAGTAAGGAAATAAACTTTGCCCCTCAGCCAACAGGAGGCAGCAGAACATCTCGGTGTCTTTGGAACTTCTTTCTTTGGGAAAACTAGCTATAATTCCCACCATTCTTTGTAAAACAGCATTTCAAATTAATTTACCTGTGGTAAGTACTTAGCAAAATACTCTTCTTTCTTTCTACTTAATTTGTAATGTTTGATGATTTAAGGTTCATAGCACAGTAAAATGGAAGAAACACTGAGCTAGAAATCAGATGAAGAATAATAATAGCGACTAGCTCATGCAGCTCGTAAGTGGCGGAATCAGGATTGTCTAACTCCAAAACTTGTTCTCAACTGCTGCCAACAAAGTACCTTTTGGCATGTTATGGAACCCCCATTTCCTTATCTGTAATATATAAATAACATTTGACACCATGTTATAAATGGGGCCTATAATAACTTTAAATGAAACTGTAAATTGTTGATGTCATTATGAATATTTATTGATTGGCCTCATAAAAAATTCATAATGAAATTTTCTCAATTGTCATCTTTCAATAGAGTTCTATGCCTATATGCCAATAAATGACTAAGGAGAAGAATTTTCTTAAAGGATAAAAAAGTTTACTTATCTACATGACAATTTGGAATACCAGTATCTCTAGAAGAGCTAGTTATTCTGAGCACTTTGATTAAAGAGGAAAAGAACTGAGAAATAGGAACAAGGTCTAGGGAAACTGACTGCTCTTCAATAATCTCATCAGTATTTCTGAAAGTTAAGCATCCTTAAGTTCCTTATTGAACCCCCCAAGAGAAATAAAGGCACAAATTTGCCTTAGAATGGATTCTTTTTTAAAACCAAGCAGGAATGATCATTACAAATTTAGCTGAAGAGTCATGCTTGGTCATTTCCTGTTTAACCTTAATCTACAAGAAAACCATGCATCCCAGAGATGGTTGGGAAGTCACCCTCAAGACAAAATGTTCTGGTTCCCCTCCTCTTGACTGTTGACATTTATGAATTAGCTGCAGTCTGTAGCTGAGGTCCAGAGCCACTCTGTTCCTGAAGGACTTTTATCCTCCTACCTAATCAGTGATTTTGTCGTCTGGACAGACATCAAGTTTGGGCAAAAAGGCTCACCAATAATGCATTCTATTTGGCTATAGGTGACAGCAGGAGCTAGTAAAGAAATCACAGTAGGGAACACAGCTGAGTGTGGGCATAACAAAATGTCCTTTATTTACAGGAGCATAACCTGTAATATGCAGTTTCAACATTGAGGTACACCAGAGCACGTCTAAAAGACTGCTGGTTCTGTAATGAAAATTTTGAGTGATTCCAAAGGTCTAGGGTCCTCTGTACTGGGTGATTATTATGAACTAACAAGGCAGTGTGATTATTCCACCTCAGAATAGTCATACAAATCAGTGGCGCACTTCTGCTTCTGCCAACATTTTCTGTCCAGGGCACTGTAGTTCACAACTGTCACAAAAGTACTTAGTTGCTTTCCTAGCTGAAAGTATGGCAAAAAAACCGAGCAATTTTGTTGTTCAAGAACTGGCTTCTTTATAAACTTCATCTCACTCAAACATCTCCCAAAGATCTACAATTCGTGGGTGAAATCCATTTGCCTCCTCCCTCCCCCAGGACAATTATGAGTTAACATGAAAACAAAGACTCAAAACAGAAATAAAACCTGAAATAAATCACTTGTATAAATGGAGAGATACAACTTGTCATATTAAAAATCTTATAGCCTAGTCTACAAAGAACAATCTTATCATTCTCTATCCTATCAGAAAAGATAGGTACATAAGAGGCTGACCAATTTATTATAAACAGGTCTTTTTATGCTAGACTGATTGCAGAGATGTTACTATAACGGAGAATTCTGAAGAGGACATTAAAATGCAACTACAACACCAAATGGAGTAGTTGATTTTTCGAGCTTTATTCAGACTGAATGTGACAGTTCTTTCTGCATATGGAAGTCCATGGGTGGCCATTAAATCAAACTGAGCATCTTACAAGCCTATTCATATTGACCAGAGTATGGCGGCTCATTTAACCAATTCTGCCAGTGCGTATTGCAGGGAGCTAGAGGGGATGTAAAGAGCTCTCCTTGATTACAATGCTCTCTGTGGGACCACAGGAGTTACCTACCAGCCCCCAACACTCAGAAATTCTGAACCAAGCAAATGACAGTACATTTTTCTTCAGCTCACATCCCTTCAGTGAGATTCAAAGTCAATCATATGAATACCAGTTTGTAATTTCCCCCTGCATTTTAGGGTTAAGAATTCCAAGGAGACCCCCAAATTTCTATGATGTTGTCCTGTTCCTTGGCACAAAGCTTGCTGTGACTCTACTGTGAAGGTGTGCCGTGAGCTGCAGTGGATATCCTGACTTCCCAGGAAATTGAAAAGAGCTGCAAGACTGGCTTTCTTGACAGCGAGTATCTATAAGCCTTTCCACTGTTGGTGAAGCAAGAGATTTCAATGTTCTTTTCCTTACAAAATTCCAAATTAGGTGATTCTCCCAGCCTGAAACTTTCTTGAGGCTCAGAATAGGGCTCTTACCTCTCTCATTTTCTCACCTTGATGGGCAGACTATGTCAGACTACTCTACAATTATAATTGCAATTGATTGTATTTCAGGTGAGTTCTGTAGAGTAGACAAGGAAATGGAACCGTTTGTTATGTTAAGAACTTAAAAGTTAAACAGAGCATATAGTCTCCATCAAAGAACCGCAGTGAGAAAATACACACCAACTCTATCCCTGCTGCCTCTATTGAACTCATTTTGGAAGATGCCTTTAGATAGAGTGAGTGACAGCCAAGTTTCGTACTTAGAGGATGAATTGTTTATGAAAACATCTTGAGTTCATTGATGATCAATTTTAATGAATTAGGTAATGAATTGATTGTCCTTGAAAATACTATTTGCATTTGAAAAAACAAAGAGATATATATTGTTACTATTTTTGGGACATATATATATATATATATATATATATATATATATATATATTTGTTATATATATTGGGACTATATTGTTACTATTTTTTCTTTTTTTTGGTGGAGTCTCACTCTGTCACCAAAGCTGGAGTGCAGTGGTGTGATCTCAGCTAACTGCAACCTCCACCTCCCAGGTTCAAATGATTCTCCTGCCTCAGCCTCCCATGTAGCTGGGATTATAGGTGCATGCCACCATGCCCAGTTAATTTTTTTGCTTTTTTGTATTTTTAGTAGAGACAGGGTTTCATCATGTTGGCCAGGCTGGTCTCAAAATCCTGACCTCAGGTGATCTACCCACCTCGGCCTCCCAAAGTGCTGGGATTACAAACGTGAGCCACCATGCCTGGCCTTGTGAGAGTTTTTTGTTAACTGATTCTGAAAACGGTTAGAAAACCTGCTTGAGAAAAAATGGTATGCAGCCACCCAAATGTCTGCTTCTTTAAAAAATACTTAAGGTCTTATATACTTCTTAAAAATTGGCCAGTGACCAAACTGCAGAATGCTTTACAACAAACAGCCACTAGTTCATACAGGAGACATTTATTGAGCACCTACAACATGGCAGCCAAACATCGTGTTAGGTTGGGGATCCAAAAATTTAAAAAACATAATCCTCAAGAGGATTATAATATCGTGAGGAGAAGGGCATGTGAATAAGCAATACTATAATGTCCTTGATATGGGGGAAAGTTGTACAAAGTGTAAGGACAGGATCGTAAGCAAGTCCTTAATAATAACAGCTAACACTCACTAGTACCGTCTATATTCCAGGCTCATACTACTAAATTACCTCATTTAATCCTCACAGGAACCTTACAAGGTGAGCACTGTTTCCGAGGGAATCAAAGATGGGTGATGTAAAGAGTGACAATCAGGCTGAGGCAAGGCAACGGGTTAGAGGGACACGACTGAGAAGTAGGCGTAGCTAATGAGCAATGTGCTGGGTAGAGTGGGATGAGAGCTGAAATGACGCTTAAGATACAGGCACAGGAAGGGACCAGTTCATTCAGTGCCTTGGTGACACCCGAAGGAAGTTTATCTTGTAGACGATGGGGAGCTGATGAAGAATTCTGAGCATTTATTTGGGCTTAATCCCGTTTAATACAGCCAATCAACTCGTGGGGGAGGCTCACAAAGACAAGGGTAAGAATTAAGTGCTGAGGTTGTCCATCGAGGCATCAGCAAAATGGAGGAAGCTGAAAGACCTCGGAACACAAGCGTTTTGCTTGGTCACTAAGCCTAGACAAATGTAAGTTTCCCCGCCCCAGCTCCCCTCAGCCTGTCACACAAAAGCGTTCACATCAGCAGTCGTCAGCGGCGATGTCAGGCGCCGTGTCGTTCTTCAAACCCTTGGGAAAGCTTTAGCTTCTCAAGCCAATTGCACTGCATTGTCAGTAGGGGTGTCCGTGAGCTCCCCCTCGTGGCTGAAGGCCAGCATCTCTGTTAGGCTTAACTGAGCCCAGTCTCCCTGCCTCTGAGCCTGGCCACTTCCCAGGCCAGACGTGGAGGAGACACTTGCCGCTCAGTGCTGTCCAGAGGAGCATGATGAAAATAGCTGGTGTCTTGGCTATCCTGGAAATCTGAGCGACTCCATTTAATTCTCCTACGAGGGCCAGGCGAGGTGGTCTTTGACTCAGCTTCAGCACTCCATGGAGGGCCCTTGGCCTAACCATGAGAACGAATTCCAGTTGCAACCAAAGCTTGTTTGTACAGTGAAATGAATAAATGTGTTTAAACCTAGGTTCTGACTTCTTACCAGTCTGTGTTGCTAAAATACCAAAGAGTAATTATAACGATATTTCTAGTTAACAATTTTTGTGTGTCTGCTATAACATTTAAATTAGACTAAATTCAGCTGTTTGAATGCCCTCTGACAATATTTTTTCTCTCAGCTCCATGACTGTTTTATCACTCCATACTCACTTGACCTAATCGGCACCATCCTGCACTCTGAAATGTTTATACTGTTAAATGAATTTTTAATCTAACTTTTACAGCATTCAATTTCAGTTTCATCAGCCATCCACAGTGTAATATCTAATGTTTTAAAATAATCTAGACAGTTACAAAAGGGGAGGGGGAGGGGGAAAATCGTCGTGTTATGAAGCAAATGATTAATTAAAGCAAATTAAATTCTGGCAGCTCTTGCTATCATTATCATGTGTTCCCCGACTAGACTAATAAATCTTTGTTGAGAATGTGTGCTTTCACAAGGTTCAAGAGTCACCTGGGAAAGGCCATTATTGACTAATATTTTTGTATTGCTGTTAGTTTTATTTTCTAATACCCTATAGAATAACAGCTAATCTTTCTCAAACATTTAGAGTGCATTCATAAATCCCACTTTGCTCACTCTTTAGAGGTAGGTTTGAGAGGGGGTGGGAAACAAAATGATTTCTCTGTAGATGCAAGTAAATTACAATTAAGCAATACAGCTAATATGTCGGCAAATGCTGGAAAACCTAAAAAACACTATACTTTGAGCGCCTGCTGCATAATGCCGTCATAGCTGGGGCACAGTCCTGGGATTTCAGCAGCTGCAAACCTTCTCCAAACTGCACAGAAAAGCAAGAACAGCACAGCTCTCCTCTATTTTAGAGGTTTGCCTTCTTTCCTTTCTTTCCTAGGATCTGGCACTTCCACATTGAGGCAAATAACAATGCCGAGGCAAGCCGCTCTCTCTAAATCCAACCAAATGCTGCTGCCATGCAAACTAGACAGTCTGCGTTGTTTCTGAAGGCACAGAAGGGAGATATTGACAGATATTTCAAGAAAAGAGCCACATACTTGCCTTTATTTAGACTGTTCAAAGTGCTGTCACTTAAATCAACCTTTAATAATTTTTTTCTGATCTCAAATATTGCAGTTTTAACATCCATACAATTCATTGCTTAATTTGTATGTTTTAAAGTATATTTCCTACAACTTTCCCATTTGCTTTTCCTCTAGTTTAACCAGTTGTGTCCTTTTCATCCAAATCCTAGCAAATGCCAGTATCAACTGTAAGCTCAGTTCTCCATGGTCTCCAGTTACTGCATGTCACATTGTCTTAAAACTTATGAAGAGAAGGCACAGATTTATTTGAAGTCTGTGATACTGTGACAGAAAAAAAAGAAACAGTTTTATAACAATAATGTAAATACCAGGTCTAAATTTATTTTGAGGTTTGTTAAATGGGGTGGGGGGAGCACAATTCCCAAAAGCGAAATTTCAGATTGTAATGAATAATCACATGCCACTAAATATTTGTGCTGGTTTTGAGACAGCGTGCCCCATAAAACTCCAAGATGTGGTCGAATGTATTAATGTTGCTCTAGACAATTCAGGTTTCTCTATGTATTTAACCTCCACCCCTGCCATGGCCTTGTTAATTTTGATTTCTAAGTGACTTGGGTACGACTACAAAAACTAAACATATGTTTAAATATGTACATACAGGCATTCCTTTTTTGCCCTTTCTAACTGCAGATTATGACGTGAGCTATGATTATCCATCAAAGTAATTTCCTCTACCCACTCCCTCTCTCATCCTCCCACCCTCCACATTTGAACATGCTTCTCTTTTCCTTGGGGCTCCTGTTCAGCTTTCTGCAGCACAGATCCCTGCTGCCTCGGCCGCCTGGAAAATAGCCTACAGTGCAGCTCAGTATGGCAGCACATCCCCACGGCCTGGGTGTTTTTCCAGACGGTTTTAGAATGATTCGGTATCGCATGAGTTAAAAAAAATTCCCCCTGGAAAAGCTAATTATTGCATGCAGATACTTCTTTGTGTGATCAAGGAGGGGACAATTTAATAGGCTCTGTAATACAACCAAGAACAAAATTGCTTTAAAGGAAGTCTCTTGTTGAGTGACAACTCTGTTGCCTGAGCCAATTAGGTCCCAATAAAGAGTGTTGAATTGGCTCCTGCTTTCTCATTAATTATGTTCTGTCACAGACATGGGGCTTGATTTAGCAATTTTGTATTACATTAAGATACTGAAAGGCCGGGAACAAATGGCTCACTCTGATAATAGGCATTCTCTACACGGTGTGACATTTACTATCCAGCTGTCCGTAAGGCAGCCTAGCACTTCAGTTCAGGGGTTTATTTGTCATTGCTTCAAAGGGACACTCAGCTTTTCACAAAAAAAGAAACAGAGAGGCTAATAGATAGGACAAAATGTACTGCTGATATGCTTTATTAGAGATAGGATGCTAGGGTTTTGCTAACAAGCTCATCCGTTGGGACTCAGCCGACTTTGCTGCCAATCATCCTCTACACAAAGGCGCACTAGTTAACAAGGAGAAATGAATTACAGACACTTATTCTGCCGGTGGGATCACAAATACACCAATCTGTGAAAGAGGCACAAACTCCAGAGACAAACTACATATTTGTCAATAACCTCCTAGAAAGAACCCTAGTAATTCTTTGAAGACCTTTGATTTAGCTTCCCTCTAAAATACATGTATAGGAAATGTTTTAGTTACCATGACATTCTTTCTTTGTTATTTGTACAAATTTTCATCACATTAAAAACAGAAAACTGAGGAGGTCTGCAAATGTTTTAGTAGGTATCTATACACTACTTTTCATATCCCACCACGGGGAGCTGCTGCTTTGGTTATTTCATTAAGAACAACAGAAAATTAAATCTTTAAACTTTAGGTTTGAGCTGTAATCCACCAATGCCACAGGAAATAATCTATAACTCTGAATTTATCGTGTATACCAATTAAGAGAGCAAGGTTAGGGACCGAATGAAAACCAAGTCTGTCTGCTTAAATAATTAGATGACTTTTAAATCATAAATATGTGTGTTTGTGTATATGTATATGAATTTACAATACAGAAACATGAACCTAAATCAATGTCTCTATATATTAAATATGGTGAAATATTTTATACATTGTATTTATGAAACTAAGCCAAATCTCTGACAGTAGCATTGATCAACATATTTGCCATTTATATTATTTAAACATTCTCCTGCAAATATATCACAGAGAAGGACCTATTGTTGATAACAAAAAAAAAAATCTTCAGCTGAAGCTTACCTACTGACCACATGAGATTAATCAAATCTGAATATGTCATTTCAGGTTAATTACAAAACAGCTCTCCAGAATAGTTCCTAGAGACAGTACACTGCATTCATCTGATTGCAGGCTGCATCAATTCACTTAATTTATTCTTCTGCCATCTTGGATGATAGCAACTTTAGGCTCAACTATGGAAGAGATGAAAGGATAAAGAGGACACAAGGATTTACAAGACTTCCTTTCCTCAGACAGAAACTCAAAGTATGTGAAGGCCTGTTGAGCTCAGTTGCAGCCTCAGGAAGAATAGTCCATCTCTCCTGCTTTTACTCTTTCAAGAGGCTCAAAGCATTCTCTTCCAATTGGTAAAGGCACCTCAAGGAGCAACATGGTGCCCCCGTAAGGAAGCTACTTTTCCTGAACTAGTCTTCTAGTTCAGGAACATGGATTCTCTGCCTCCTCTATTTGCCTATACTTTCCTTAATTCTTGGGTATCTGAAATTCTAAAGAATCCTATCTTTGTTGACTTACTAATGTAATAACTGCAGGAAAAGGTGGCCATGAAGCAGAGATGCAGGAGGTCTACTTGCTCTACCTGTGTGTAGGATACAACTCTTTCTTGTTCTGGTTCCCATCAGCAGAAAAGGATGAATAAACTAATCCATTTGAAGAAGGAGGTCTTAATATAACCCCTTAAACATTTTTTCCAACTTCTAAATCTTTAAAAAGTAATTTTTGATGAGGCACACTCCAAATCATCTCTTTTATTTTAAAATAAAGCCTTTATAATGTAAGAGAAAGAGAAAACAAAAATCATGTAAAAATACGGTGATTTTTTTCCCATCTCTTCACCCCCGCCCACAAGAAAACATCATATGCGAGAAAGAAGTTGCAATGTAACTTCTCAGCACCAATAATACCCAGGAATCATATTTTTTAAAAGCATGGATTGAACACAGACCTGGCTGAAAGAGCTTACAATCTAAGGGAACCATGAAGTCCTTTTTTTTCTCTCTCTCTCTAAAATTTTCCATGTTTCTATTTTAGAAAAGACTTTGTGGTAGGTAAATAATATACACAATAGAGGCAAGAATCATCTTATCCTCACTTAGTAGGGTCTTTATCTTCACTATTCAGGTACTCTATAAGGTTGAAATCTTTCAAAAAGCGATAGCCCCCCTCAGGCTGAAGCAAAGGTATTTATATAGACAATAAGTATTTATGCAGCAATTTATATTTTCAAAGCCTTTTGTAACCACTCATTAGTTCATCTAAATAATTTCTGTCTGAAGTATGTGAGTGCTTTGTTTCCCAGGCACAGAGAATCAGGTTCAGGGAGGTGACTGACATGCCCCAGTTAGATCCGACATAAGGAATGATTGTATCTCAGAATAGGTTTCCTAAGCATTTTGTGGAAACTTCTTTTCTTCAAGTCTTTAAAAATAGGTCAGAACTCTACTGAAATACTTTAGTTATGATTTTGTTGTGGTTTGTCTGTGGACAAAGTAACTGAGTAGGTGATTCCGGCTCTTGTAACCCTGGCTTTATATACTCTTGGGATGTTTATGACCACAGGAAGGCTCAGGAGCAGGCTGGAAATTGAGGGACAAAACTAATGTCTCTACCTTGGGGATTGAGTCTTGCTACCAATAAATACTATGAAGGGCCATTTGGGGAAACATTTTAAAAAATGCTTTCTTGGAAATATATTTCCATGGCCATGCCAAAGTAGATGTGGAGTGCAAACCCCACATGCATGATCATGTTCATCTCAAAAAACCCTATTCTGTTACTCCCTTTAGTTGCCTACTAATATGCTAATTCTACCTCTACTTCTTCTCTTAAGCTACTGTGGTAGCTGGACTCCAAAGATGGCCTCCATTAATTCCTTTCCTCTTCCTCTGCTCAAGTGTGGTCTCTAGCATTTGGGCTTCGTAGGACTGCTCTGACCACTAGATATGGTGAAAGTGATGCTGTCAACCCTCATTAAATAGTTTGGATATTGGTTCCTTCCAAATCTCATGTTGAAATGTGATCCCCAGTGTTGGAGGTGGGGCCTGGTGGAAGGTATTTGGGTTATGGGGGCACATCCTTCATAAATGGCTTGGTGCCTCCCCATGGTAATGAGTGAGCTCTGGTTCTGTTGGTTCATGCAAGAGCTAGTTGTAAAAGAGCATGGCACCTTCTTCCTCTTCCTCTTGTTCTCACTCCTACCATCTGACTTGCCTGCTCCCCCTCTACTTCTGCCATGATTATAGGCTTCCTGGGGTCTCACCAGAAGCTGAGCAGATGCTGGTGCCATGCTTGTACATCCTGCAGAACAGTGAGCCAAATAAACCTCTTTTCTTTATAAATTACTCAGTCTCAGGTATTTCTTTATAGCAATGCAAAATAGGCTAATACATCTCAGAACTATGAAGATAATAATAGTTATTTTAAGCCACTGTTTTAGAGTAACTTAAAATAGATCACCAGAATAACCACTATCAGTGTTGTCTTCTCCATCGCCCTATGTCACAGCTATGAGAGAAAGCTACAGGCTGGGATAAGCTAGCTTAACATAGAAGAATAGGGCTTCTGAGAATTGGCAGCATAGCACAAAGGACTAAAGTCAGTCTTGCGAAACCTTGGGAAAGTGATTTTACCTAAGTATCCAGTCTCCTCATCTGTGAAATGAGACTAATGATATTACCTCAAAAGATTATGAGGATTTAATGTCCTAAACGATGTTAAACACCTAACATAGTGCTAAGACAGGCAGGTCCTTAAGAGTTATTAATATTTTTATTATCATTACTGTTATTAGTAATATTACCTAAGCATGCCAGACTCCCTTTTGAATATCTGTCCCATCCACAAGCCATTGCCCTTTCTCATAATTGCTTTCAGATTCATTAACGTGGGCATCCAGAAGACACTGTGTATGATCCCACCCCTACATCTTAGCTAATCGGACTAGAACAAAACAATTGACCTGAGCTAGGCCAATCAGATTCTTGATCCTCTCTGATGGGAAATGAGACTGAGAAAAGCCCATTCATTTCTGTGTGCAGCTGCAGTAAGAATGTGTAATAGGGGAGCTAAAAGATGCTCAAACTCCACTTTGTGAACACAGAAAGTCATGTTGGGGGAAGTGGGGAGAGTAGAGAAAGAGAGAGGAGAAGAATTAGAAACAGAAATAGATTTAGGAGGAGGAGAATGAGGAGGAGGAGGAAAGGAGAGTGTTTTCTAGAACTCTGGTTTTCTAGGTTCTGTTTCTTGACTCTTTCTGAGACCCAATTGTAATCCTTCTCTAGGGTGTTGTAAGATAGCCCTAAATCCTTATATCATCATTCCCCTTTCTCTTAAGATAACTAAGTTGTTTTCTCTTATGCATCCGAAGAGTCCAAAAGAAAAGGAGAGGGACGGAAGGAGGAAGCTCCCTATGAGATGCTATCAGCAGCCTCCCTATGACAAAAAGCAGTCAGGACCCAACCTAAATCCACTGAAGGCTTAAGCCTTACCCATCTCTGTTTCTCTGCCACTAAGGCTGTTTATTATTGCTAGAATGGTCCAATGTCTTTTTTTCTGATAACAGCTTTATTGAGGTATAATTTACTAACCATACACTTCACCCATTTAAGGTGTACAATTCAACAGTTTTTGGTATATTTGCAAAGTTGTACATTTGTCCTCACAATTTTAGAATATTCAATCACCCCTAAAAGAAATCACGCACCCATTAACAGTCACTTTTCATTTTCTTTCTCCCCAACCACCAATTCCCCTCCCCCTCCCCCCGACCTCTAAGCAACCACTACTTTCTACTTTCTTTATCTATAAACATGCCTATTTTGGGCATTTCATACAAATGGAATTATACAATATGTGACCTTTTGTGACCGGTTTCTTTCATTTAGTTCCTTAAATATTCATTTGATGTTTTCAGGTTTCATCCATTGTAACATGAATCAGTACTTCTTTCATTTTTATTGATGAATAATATTACATTCTATGGGAGAAAATTTTTGCAAACTATGCATCTGGCAAAGGTCTAATATCCAGCATCTATAAGGAACTTAAACAAGTTTACAAGAAAAAAAAAACAAACAACCCCATTAAAAAGTAGGCAGAGTGAAAAGACACTTTTCAAAAAAAAGACACTTTTCAAAAAAAGACATAGATGATGCCAACAATCATATGAAAAAGAGCTCCACATCACTGTTCACTAGAGAAATGCAAATCAAAACCACAATGAGATACCATCTCACACCAGTCAGAATGGCTATTATTAAAATGTCAAAAAAATAACAGATGCTGGCAAGGTTGCAGAGAAAAAGAAAGGCTTATACAGTTTTGGTGGGAGTGTAAATTAGTTTGACCATTGACAGTGTGGTGATTCCTCAAAGACCTAAAGACAGAAATACCATTAGACCCAGCAATCCCATTATTGGGTATATACCCAAGGGAATATAAATCATTGTATTATAAAGACACATGCACACAAATTTTCATTGCAGCACTATTCACAACAGCAAAGACATAGAATCAACCTAAATGCCCATCAATGATAGACTGGATAAAGAAAATCTGGTACATATACACCATGGAATACTATGCAGCCATAAAAAAGAAAAAGATCACATCCTTTTCAGGAACATGGATGGAGCTGGAGGCTATTAACGTTAGCAAACTAACACAAGAACAGAAAACCAAATACCGCATGTTCTCACTTATAAGTGGAAGCTAAATGATGAGAGTACATGGACACATAGAGGGGGACAACACACACTGGGTCCTATTGGAGGGTGGAGGTTGGGAGGAGGGAGAGGATCAGGATAAATAATTAGTGGGTACTAGGCTTAATACCTGGGTGATGAAATAATCTGTACAACAATCCCCCATGACACAAGTTTACCTATATAACAAACTGCCAATGTACCCCTGAACTTAAAAATTAAAAAACATTTCATTCTGTAGATACATCACCTTTTATTTGTTTATTCACCAGTTGATGGATATTTGTATTGTTCCCACATTTTGGCTATTATAAATAATACTGCTATGAACATTCATGTACAAATTTTTGTATGGAAATATGCTTTCATTTCTCTTGCCTCTATATCTAGAAATAGAATTGCTGGATCATTGGTAACTCTATGTTTAATAGTCAGTTTTCCAAAGTGAAGACACCATTTTATATTCTCACCAGTAATGTATGAGAGTTGTAATTTCTTCACATTCTTGTCAGCACTTCTTATTTTCTTTTTTGTTATAGCCTTCCAGCGTGTATGAAGTGGTTATCACATTGTGGCTTTTACTTGCATTTCCTTAGTGACATTTATGTTGAGAATCATTTCATGTGCTTATTGACCATTTGCAAATTTTCTTTGAAGAAATGTCTGTTCAAATCCATTGCTCATTTTTTATTTGGGTTGTTTGTCTTTTTGTTGAGTTGTAAAAAGTCTTTATACATTCTAGATACAAATCTCTTAGATATATAATTTACAAATATTATCTCCCAATCAATGGGTTGTCTTTTCACTTTCTTGATGGTGCCCTTTGAATAAAAAAAGCTTTAAATTTTGATGAGGTCTATTTTGTCTATTTTTTCTTTAGTTGCTGGTGCTTTCAGAGGCATGTCTAAGAAATAATTCCCAAAATGAAGGTTATGAAGATTGCCCCCTGTGTTTTCTTCTAAGAATTTTATAGTTTTTATTCTTACATTTAGGTCTTTAATTCATTTTAAGTTAATTTTTTAAATGGTGTGAGGTATGGGTCCAACTTCATTTTTTTACATGTAGATATTCAATTATCCTAACATTACTTGAAAAGACTATTTTTCCCCTGTTGAATTGTATTGGTACCCTTGTGAAAAATCAATTGACCATAAATATGAATGTTTATTTCTGAATTTTCAATTCTATTCCATTGATTTATTTATATTTTTCTATGCCATGACTATGCTATCTTGATTACTATAGCTTTGTAGTAAATTTTGAAATTAAGAAATAGCAATCTCTTGCTTTGACCTTCCTTTTCAAGAGTATTTGAGTATTCTGGGTCTCTTGAATTTCTATATGAATTTTAGGATCTGCTCATCAATTTCTGCCAGGAAGTCAACTAGGATTTTGATATAGATTGTGTTGACTCTACAGATCAATTTGGAGAGTGTCACTATCTGAACAATATTAAGTTTCTGATCTATGAACATGCAATGCCTTTTCATTTTAAATTTCTGTCCACAATGTGTTATGGTTTTCACAGTATAGTTTTGCATTTCTTTTTTAAAAATTATTCCTAAGCACTTATTCTTTTTTGATGCCATTATAAATGGAATTTACAATTTTCTTAGTTTCATTTTTGCATCATTCATTATAAGTGTATAGAAATACAATTGATTTTTGTATATTGATCTTGTATCCTATAACCATGTTGAGTTTATTAGTGGATTCCTTAAGATTTTTTGTATATAAGATCATATCACCTGCAACGAAGAGAGTTCTATTTATTCTTTTCTAATCTAGGTATCTTTTACTTCATTTTCCTGCCTTATTGCTCTGGCAAGAACCTCTAATGCAATGTTAAACAGTGAATGAGAGTAGACATCCTTGTCTTGTTCCTGATCTTGGGGGAAAGCATTCAGTCTTTCACCATTAAGTATGATGGTAGCTGCTGGTTTCCAATGTCTTTTTGGTCACTAAATATCCAGGTTATAACACATATATGAACACCAAATCTTCATATTTACAAATGTCTTAGTCTATTTGGGCCACTATAACAAAATGCCTTACACTGGATATTTATAAATAATCAAAATTTATTGCTCACAGTTCTGGAGGCTGGGAAGTTGAACATCAAGGTGCCAGCAGATTCAGTATCTGGTGAGGGCCCATTCCTCATAGATGGTACCTTCTATGTGTCCTCACATGGCATAAAAGAAAACATAACTGGAGCCTCTTTTTTAAAGGCATTAATCCCATTCATAAGGGTAGAGCCATCATGACCTAATCACTTCCCAAAGGCCCTGCCTTCTAATACCAATCACCTTTGTGATTAGCTTCAAACATATGAATTCTGAGGGGTCACATGTATGCTATAGCAACAAATATTAGTAAATTTTGTTCACTTTTTATAGAAACTTGAAAAACTCTGTTAGCATCCATATTCCAGCATATTTATAGAGATATAACGGCAACACTTTACCTTGGATCACAGACAGAAGTATACTGGAATGAGTTTCATAATATTGTCCTGGTTGTCCTCTTAACCCTTAGACCTATTCTGAATGTCACTCTTCTGCAAACTGAAGATACTAGCACTAGTTTCTTCTACCTCTCTGTGAGAACCATGTGAGTAAATATAAAAAGTACTTTGGAAAATGCAACAACTTAGGCAAATATAAAGAATTATTATTTATCCCTACTAAACTTTTTAAAGCTTTTCTCATGTGTTCATAATATTGTTGAAGAAATCAACTCCTTCCCACCCTTTATGTGTATAATTGATGATTCTGTATTATTAATATAGAAATATTTTTTAAATTTTCAATCTAGACAAAAGAAGATTTCCACTAAAACCAAGGCTGCTTACTTTTCATTAAAAACTAGAATTCAGACTCAACATTTAAAGATTTTCTACATTTTTTTTTAATTTAAGACAGAGTCTCACACTGTCACTTGGGCTGGAGTGCAATGGCGTGTTCTCGGCTCACTGCAACCCCTGCCTCCCAGGTTCAAGCGATTCTCCTGCCTCAGCCTCCCGATTTGCTGGAATTACAGGCACGCACCACCATGCCCAGCTAATTCTTGTATTTTTAGTAGAGACAGGGTTTCACCATGTTGGCCAGGATGGTCTTGATCTCTTGACCTCGTGATCTACCCACCTTGGCCTCCCAAAGTGCTGGGATTACAGGTGTGAGCCACTGGCACCCGGCCTTCTACATATTTTTAAGTGAAGATTTTAACCTAAATCAGAAAAAATATTTTGAAATTATTCACAAGTTAATTTTTTCTTAAATATTTTTAAACTTGTATGGTTGCTACAAATATGTCAGTTTAAATCTCTGCCCTTCAGTTTTCATCATTTGTTAATTGAGGGAGCTAAAAAGCATGACTTATAAAATCCTTTACAATGACAAAATTCATAATTTTCAGAGTCTACGAAAGTAAGATTTTTAAGCTGATGTAAAATTTTTCTGAAGACTAATTCAAGTAGCTGTCTGATTTATGATAATGCCTATTTCAAATATTATTTTTGAATTCTCTGTTAAATGATATTTTTTAACTTTTTAAAAAACGAGTACAATTTTTTCCTTTGAAATTAAATAGATTACTTGGTTTCCAACATTTAATTATGTCTATCATCAGAAAAACTTTTCGCTTAATGGAATTATTTAAACAATATTATATTAATGGAAAACATTATTCTCAGGACTAATTAGGTGCCTTTGATGTGAACTCCTTTGCATTCACTGTATGCATGACATACTACTGTCTTATAGTGCAATGAATAGCAGAGCAATGATGATTCAATAAATGTAGATCCATTTTGCATATTTGCATAACTTAAGAAATACCAACATCATTTTCTGAGAAGCCTTCCCTGATTTTCAGCCTAGATCCAATTTCTCTGACATATGTTCACAAAGCTGCATACTTTTCCTTCACAGTATTAAGTATCTAATATCACATTTCTTTGTTAATAATTATTAATGTCGATCTACCCACTAGAGTGCCATTGCTTTCCTAGTGTTACATGAATAAATGAATCAGTGAAGTCATGCGTCATTACTAGAGTATGTTTCTACTCCATTCCATTTATTTATTTATTTATTTATTTATTTATTTATTTATTTATTTATTTTGAGACAGAATCTTGCTCTGTCGCCCAGGCTGAAGTGCAGTGGCATGATCTCCGCTCACTGCAAGCCCCGCCTCCCGGGTTCAAGTGATTCTCCTGCCTCAGCCTCCCGAGTAGCTGGGACTACAGGCACACACCACCACGCCTGGCTGATTTTTTGTATTTTTACTGGAGACGGGGTTTCACCGTGTTAGCCAGGATGGTCTTGATCTCCTGACCTGGTGATCCGCCCGCCTCGGCCTCCCAAAGTGCTGGGATTACAGGCGTGAGCCACCACACCCAGCCTATTTTCTTTTTGTATTCAACAATAATGAAAACCTATAAGCCCCTCAATAATGGAAGCTAAATCTTATTTCTCTTTGGGCCCAACACAGTGCCGGGCTCTTAAAACTCAGGAACATGGCTTTAGCTGAAAAGTCTGTGTCAGAGCCCGAAGCCCTTTAAGGTTGAGCGGCGTCAACCAGGAAGTCTTTAGCCACTGCCACAAAAGGGCTCATCTGGCCTCCAGATTTGACAAGAGTTTTCACTTCTACTTATGTCCAACTTCCTTCCTTTTTCTTGATTTCTAGGATCCAGCCCAGCTTGGTTTGGACTTTTTCGGTAACATCTATCCCCAGACTCTGGTTCCTCTCTCACTGGGCCCTACCTCTTGACTAGTTAGGCACCTTTCCTTGAAGAAGCATTTCTCAAGCTTCCTGGGCTTTAGCTCTCTGCTGCCCCCATTAGGCAGTAATCATTGCCAGAGTAACTCCTAGAGAAATCTGCCTGCTCAAACTTAAGTAGCTATTCTGATTTGTCTCAAGATAAGGTCCCAATGCTTTCAACTTGTTTATGTATAAAAATTATATGTAACCCAAATTCTCCATTTCATTTTTAAAATCATTTAAAGCAGAATACTAAGTGTTAGAAGGAGACCCACTGTGACTTTGTGCCCACTGAATAGGCTAGATTTACAAGGCAAGCACTGAAGATAGTTATTTCTGGCTGAGGCTACTTTTGCAATCCAAGTAATGACATGAAGGCAATAGTTGAGATGATGTATGTCCATCGACACATTTGCTTGTCATCCTAACAACAGTCATAAAAATTAAAATGCACACTTTAATATTGAACACAGTTTATTTGTCTGAAAAAATTCTTTATTAACATAACAGAACCCATATTATTGAAACACAAGTTACATACGTTGTGCATTACCACTTAAAGTAAATCAAGGAATAACAAAAAATTAACCACTGGACAACTGAGTTGGTTAGAGGAGAGAGAGTGAGGAGTTACTTTTTATTTTTTGCCTTTCTGTTCACTTTGAAATGTCTAAATGTGTACATATACGCTTCTTATTCTTAAATATCAGCAGAGGCTATCAAGGTAGAGAGATTGTGGAGTATATTTTCAATGTCTTCTGTATATTTTTGTTTTTAAGAAGCTAAAATTCATTTTAATAAAGAAATAGGGCAGAAATTTTTTAATTAAGAAAATGACACTTAGAGGAATATCGAAGTAATAAAACTAGCTAGCATAGATCAAGTACTTCCTGACCAATTTAAAATATATTTATTTATTGCCTAATGATCAAACATTGAAGAAAGACTTCGCTTACAAAGTCTCCCATAAAAATCCTGAAAAGTAGTCCTAGGTCGCAGTCAGCACAGAGGGCAGAGGTCACACTGAGAGCGACCTGCCTCCTGTAGCTTCAGAGAACCTGGTATTTACCCAGCAGTAAGCATTGGACTGGGTACCTGTTACGTGCTATTTATACAGTTATGACTTGGTGGTACTTCTTGCCCCCAAGGTGCCTACAGTCTCATGGAGGAAACAGATGCATGTAAAACAAATAATTAAAATATTCTATCACATTTTACATAGTTAAAATATTTTATGTACAACACCCCAAGAGTGCACAGAGGACGAAAGAGCTATCTTTAGGGGGAGAGAATAGAAGGTATTTCATTGAAAATATAATATTGCCAAATACCTTATGAAGCTGAAAATCAAACTACTTAACCAAGAAACAGTTCATAATGTACTAACATAAGAGAATGACACTCAAAATTTTTACCACGCTAGCCTCAAACTCTAACTTCATCTTACTACATGTGCCCATAAATATTATGTTTCCACCGCATGAAAATCCAAGCAACGCCAAACACTCTATTCATTGTCATCAGATTCTTTTTCTGGTGCTCTTCCCTATGGGTTGAATGTCCTTCTTCTTTTTTTGATCTGTCAAAATCCTAATTATCCTTTAATTAATTTCATCTAAATGCCACCCTACCTGACATTGCCAATTGGAGCTTTTCCATTCTTCCTCTAACATGTTTTGCATTTACTTTATATTAGGCATTGTTCTACACTTTTTACATGTATTGACTCATTGATCTGCAAAACAGCCCTTGAGATAAGCACCAATGTTGCTCTTATTTCATAAATAAAGTAACTGACACACGGCAAGGATCAGTAACTTGCTCAAAGTTATACAGTAATAATGGCTTCAATGTATTGAGAACCAATGGCTTTATACAATTGATTTACTACTTATAACAACTTTGTGAAGGGGTGATTGTTTTATCCATTTTAAGTTAATAAAAGCTCCCACTGCAATAAGTGGGTGGAGCCAGGATTCAGACCCAGTTAGCACAACAACCTCAATCCCTTTCACGCCCTCACTCTCACCACTGCCATGATGTACTCTCTCTTTTTCCCCACTTCCTAATCAGGTTCCCAGATCTCTTGGAACCATGGCCCCCTCATTGTATATATGTGGAAACTG
The DNA here is from genome assembly GCF_000001405.40 of Homo sapiens. Taxonomy (NCBI): domain Eukaryota; kingdom Metazoa; phylum Chordata; class Mammalia; order Primates; family Hominidae; genus Homo; species Homo sapiens. The sequence continues at coordinate 30,286,080 of NC_000014.9, forward strand.
GAGCCCAGAGAGCTGCTCAGGTCCCATTTCCAGACTATGGTTCTTGCCACGTATTGCCAGGCCTCCCTCAAAACTCAAGAGAGTGGATATAACCAGTCACTGTAATTGCTGACCACCTATATTGACCTCCACGTTCTGGGTGACTGCTCTCTGGGTGTTTGTTACAGTAAGATAGCATCTCCTGGAAAAGAAGGCGGCAGATTATATGGCAGACGGTCAGGAATCTGAGATCTGCTATTCAGATAATTTCATGTGAGCACACATACATGCACCAAATTAATCTGTGGGCCACTAGGATAATTAATTTTAATGCATGAATAAAATGACATACATATTTATAATAAAAATGTGTAAATAAGGCTACTGCTGAACCAATATAAAATCTCTAGATTATGCACAACACAATGAAGGAGATAAGAAATGGTCATCTCTTCACATGCCTCAGTTTCATGTGAGCTCAGTTGAAAATCTTACTGATTATGTCACTGTCTTAGTCTGTTTTGTGTTGCTATAAAGGAATGCCTGAGGCTGGGTTATTTAAAAGAAAAGAAGTGTATTTAGCTTATGGTTCTGTAGGCTGTACAAGAAGCATGGTGCCTCCAGCATCTGTTCAGCTCCTGGTGATGGCTTTCGAGCTGAGTCAAAACTTGACAGAAAAGGTCAAAAGGGAGTCAGGTATGTGTGAAGAGAGACGCAACCTGATGGGCTTCCTGGCTTTATAACAACCCCCTCTCCAGAGAATAATCCATTTCCCAAGAATCAATCCAGTTTCACAAGAATGAGAACTCACTCTTTACCTCGAGAAGCACCAAACCATTCATGAGAGATCCATCCCATGACCCAAATACCTCCCACTAGGCCCCACCTCCCAACATTGACACACTGGGGATGAAATTCCAACATGAGATCTGGTGGGGATACGCAAAATATATACAAACCGTAACAGTCACCCTGTATAAACTGTTGTAATTTTTTACTTCTCCTTTCTCTAACAAACTACCTAATTTTTTTTAAATGAACACTCTTTTATGATTTCCACAAAAAGGTAGACTTTAAGATCATTTTATACACATAAACAGCTGAATAGAATAGCAGCATTAAACTAACAGTTCTTTAAATATTTTCCCATCAGATTTTGCATGGATTTATTGTACTTTTTGGTGCATAGGAGTGGTATTTCACTGTTTGTCGAGGGGGTTGCTTGACACCTTATTATATATTCTGTTTGTTTTAAAATGAGCACATGATAAAGTGAGAAAGATTGAATCTTAGCTTTTCAAATACTATCTAAGATGACATTCAGTTACAGAAATAATTTGAGTGTCTGGTTAGGAGAATAAATGTAAAATTTTATAGCATCTCAATTTTGCAAAGCGCTTCACAGTTTATGAAATACTTTCATAAACATTATTTTAATTTGATTATCACAACAACCCTATAAGCATAGGATTCACTTTCCAATATTATGTGTGTGTGTGTGTGTGTGTGTGTGTAGTGGTGCCCAGATTTACACAATTAATAAAGTGGCAAAGTCAATTGAAATGCTTTAAGCCAAGTTTGTTTCCACAAGCTATTTATTTTTTTAATGGCCATGAGGGATTTTAGAAATTCTTTAATCCAAGTCCCATATGTCATAGATGAAGAAACTGAGCCCCATAGAGGTACAGTAACCAATCGAAGGTTATTGACAAGTCAGCAGTAAAGTTCTGGAAACCAAAGCCTCCTCCTGTAAAGCATTTTTTCACTGCACCATACTAACCGAGGCTGAGGGCAACCTATTATGAAAGAAGGTAAAGACTGCTAATTTAGTGATTCGTTGCCTTAAGTTTCCATACCAGAGACAAGTGTTTTGGTATAAGCGTATGTTTCACACCAGTCCTACGGTGTCTTATTGGGTTTCTACTAATGATGCTAAACATGCAAGTGTGTTAGGAAAGAAATAGTCATCACTGCAACTAGCATCCCTCCACACTCCACCCCCATGAAATTCTAGGCCCTAGCAGCACCTCCACAGCCCTACAGAAATGCAGAGAGAACCACATTTTGAAGTAGGGCCAGAAGAAGAGGTATGGCAAGGCTGGGAGGAGGTCCAAAAGAAAAAAGCAATTGTCTTGGTTGTGCTTACAGAGATCTCCTGTCTCCACATAAAGCTGAACGCCCACGTGAGCCCTGCTCCTCAGCAAATGTGCCTGGGCTCACCACCCCCACCACCACTCCTCTGCTCTCTGGTTAAATTTACACTCCTGTCCAGCACTGTGGGAATGAGACCATAGCCTATCCTGTCTAACCAGATGGGTTGAGAGTCTCTGTCAACACCAATACTATTTTATACCACTGACTAAAATACTTTCAACATTATTCTTAGGAATTTTTTTATAATAGAAGAAAAATTCTAAAAATTTAATAAAGTGTTTCTTCAAAGTTATTGGTCTTTTTTTTAAAGTCTTAGCTATGATTCTGTGTAGCAGTTGAGAAAATGGGCTTTAAATTTAGACAATCCTGGATTTAAGCTGTAAATCTTCCATTTATTAAATATGGGACCTCAGATAAGTTACTGGACTTCGCTGCACCTCATCATCTGTAAAATAACACATACCTTTCAAGGTCATTATGAAGATTAAATAAGACTATATATGTAAAGCTAAGAACATGGTGCCTGGCATTGGATGAACACAATAAATAATAGCTAGTGAGGTTTTTTCTATAAAAAGTGCCAGGGTTCACAAGGATGTGATGGTCTTTAGTTTTCTAAATATAATGACTGAGACTAAATATGCACATTGAACAGTTAAGTGACATTTATTTATTTTATTTGCCAAACACTGATTGAAAACCTGCCATGTATTGAAACTTACATTTACTACAATTATTATTAAAATCCCTCTCACTGTCAAAGATGGAAGATGAAGAGTTCAGAGACTAATGAAATGTAATTATACACATTACTAACAAATTCCCTGTGCATTACCTCTACACCTTATAAACATGTGCCTCCTCCCCTGCTGCAAAATTGTGGATGGCAGAGACTATGTCTTACTTTCTCAATATCACAGTACCTACCTAACATGCTATCTGGCACTTAGTCAGAACTCAATAAGTAGGTGTTAAATTTGACTTGAATGAAATGGAATTATTGTTCCCAGGAAGCATTGGTATTTATGATTTAAAAGTTTAGGTGGTATTTTGGATTCACATAACTTTTTTAAGACTCACAATCTTCGTATAGTTTCTCACTGACTCAAAGAACACCACTTTGGGAAAGATGAGAGTTAATATAATTACTCATATAGATATGTAAACATATTCCTATATAATGTTAAATCAATAACAAAACTGATACATTTAAATTTACAAAATAGAACAAGATAAAACTCCATTGCAGGGTATTGGAGTATTCAAACCTTCCAATGTCATATTGACAAGCAACCAAGTAACATTTTGAACTGGGTATGACATCTGTTACCTGTTGATGGCCTAATTTGATTCTATGGACCTAGCTGGCCAAGAGGATTAATATCAGATTACCTGGATGTAGTACTGCAACCAACAGATGCCACTATAAAAGATGACTTCCCCAGATAGGTTATTCAACAAATCAGTATTTCTGGCCATTAAAAACCCCTCAATTTTATAGGGGTCACAATCTTTTGAAGTCTCTTCCTCTCCTATCCCTGCCCCAATATGAGAGATTGATGCAATTTTTGCCAAAAATTCTGTGGCTGAGAGACTATGAGATAATATCCCATTTTAAAGCTATGGGCCCATAATATGACTGCTAGAAAGAGGACTCACCCTCTATAATGAATGTTGTCTGGTTTACTATAGCCAGAGTTTATTACATATATATTTTACTTTGCAAAAGGAATTTTTAAAAGAATAAATTAAAATCCATTGATAAAAGGGTACAGTTCCACTAGGTACCCAGAGATTCTAGCAATTGATTTCAAGTAGATGCTGCCTGATTGCTTCTCACCTTATTTATATGCAGAAATCTTAAATTTGACTGTGTTAGTGGCAATCTTATTAGCATGACTGTATCCTCCATTAAAGACCGTCATGGATCTAAGGCACTTTGTGGAGAGTGGGGCTGAGGAAATGATCTCGCTGATTCTGGCAATATCCCAAATATTTGCCACTTCTGTTGTAGACAGTGTGACAAACAGACATACACACATTCTGGTTACCTGGGAAAACAATTCCAGGAAGAAAATCCACAGCAGAATATTAATTTTTGTAGTAAGAGATATGCAAGTAAGACATGGAGAAATAGGATAAAAATCTGATTGGGTTAAATTCTATAAAATGGAAGCTTACTTTTCGGGAGATTAGGCCTCCTATTCTGGAAAATTCTGATTTTCTCTGCTGTTTTCTACCTTTGCCCCAGACTGGGAACTTAAAGACATGGGGCCTAGTATCAAACTTGTAATGAATTTGTAAGAGTTCATTACATTAAGATGACACCTGAAGTGGAAAAATGAATTTATAAACTTTTGTATTTATTCTATGTTATATTCAAACAAATGCAAACAAGTGTTGCACTGGGTCCCTCTAAATAAAGTGTGTTTCAAGGGAATAGAACATAGAAACATGAGTGTGGATAAGCATTATAAAGCAAATACTGGAATACCTTGAGGTGAAAAACAAGTGAAATGTTTAATCTATCTGAGAGCTGGAAGGGTTTCCAGGATGCTTTATTTGAATTGCATGTGAAGGTGTGCAGTTTAGAAGGTCTAACAAAAACCATAGTAAATTTCCATTGTTACTGTACTCATAATTTTGAACTGCTAAAGAACTCTGGTAAAGAAAATCAAAAAGTGCTAAAGTTCCAAATAAAGTACTGTTAAGGGGTCACAATTCCTAAACAGACTATACCCTACCACAAATAATTCTGATTTGTTTTTAAACTGCAGTAAACACTTCAGTTTATATGACTTGATTTGGGAGTTTGAGAATTAGTCCTTTATTGATTCCAATAACATTAATTAATTTCAATAAACAATTAAGTGTTGGACATCTCTTTGCTAAGTGCTTCAAGACACAGGACTGTGACCTCCTTGAGAGCAAGAACAGGGCCTTATTTACTTAGTTAAGGAATAAAAATAGAGAGAAACTAAATTACCATGCATGGTATATATAGTGGGAGAAATGTAGAAAAACAAATTGCTATGCTGTTCAAAGCAGGGGAAAATCACCACTATTTGTGAAGACCAAAATAGGCATCATTGAAGAGGCAGCACTTATATGGGCCCTGATGGAGGGTAAGGATTTTGATGGGCACTGAGGCATGGTTAGGAATTTGACAGGAGGAGAAGTAAAAGAACGTAGTGACTAAGAGCATGGACTGCCAAGATTCCAATGCTGGCTCTACTTTCAATCAGCTGCGTGATTCATGGAAAGTCATTTAAACTCTCTCAACTGGACTTCCTTATTGTAAAATAGAGCTTATAATAGTGTATATCTCTTATTACAACAATCTTGGGAAAGTTGTAATAATTAAATAAATTAATAGACACAAAAGGCTTAGATTATAGATGGGAACATAGAAAGTCCTATAAAAGAATTAGCTATTATTATTTTGTGTACAGCAAAGTCACAGTTAAAGGAAAATGTGCATAGAATAATGAATAATAGGCTGGAGTAGGGGACATAAATGGGTGAGTAATAAAAGATCAAACTAGAATGATAAACCGGTAGTCTGTTATAGAAAGCACTGAATACCAGAGTTGATTTTAAAGTATGTAAGAAAAAGCGAGCCAATAAAATTTTGGTTTTGTTTTTGTTTTTAACCTGGAGGCAAGGTTACATTAGAGGTGCACCTTAGGAAGATGAATCTGGCCTGGATGCACAGGATAGATTGGTGGTGGGATAGACAAGATGTGAATACATGCTACTACAGAAAGCAGACCAGAAGTAATCAGAGACTTAAGTGAGCAGCAGTAGGAATGGAAAAGAGAATACATTCTCTCCTCTGTCCATGATGAAAATTAAGTAACTTAAATAACAGGGAGAATTTTTTAAAGGTTGCTGATAACTTTGTTTCAAGTCTAGGTGATTATAATGTAATTAAATAAAATAGAAAAGTCAGGATAAGAAACTTTCATGGAGTGACAACAAGCAGCTTGCCCTTGAATACAATGAGTTTAAGGTGTCTAGAGGACATCCTACTGGCATTTAAAGCTGTGACTGGAGATTACTATCTATAACTATCTGTATAGAGATAACAATTGAAGAAAAAAGAATGGATAAGGCCTCTGGGAAAGAGGAAGAGAGAAGGAGAAATGACTTCCAGAATGAAACCCTAGGAAATCTCACTGGGTAAGAAGCACAAACAACTGGAAAGTAAGGAACCAATGGCATGAGAAGTGGACAAGATCACCTGTGGAGTCACCCAGGCTTAACAGACATCAGTTTTTTATCAGCATCTTATTTTCTATGGAAACAGTCCCACCTAACTGAAGTTCCATAGCTTTAAGAGAAAGAGAAACATTTTTCCTTAGGTTGCTATGCTTTTCATAACTTTTTATCACTGAGGAGGAGTCATAAATGTCTCCCTGAATGCAAGACTCAGCTTGGTCTCAAGTTCAAAGTCTGAGCTTATGAAACTAATTTATAGAAGCATGTCCCCTGTCTATGCATAAAGACACAGAGATCATTCTCTCTGATCTGCCTTAAGTTTATTACCAAATAGCAGTGATGATGATGGTGATAACAATAACTAGAGAGACAACGATCTATGTCTCACACGTACCTCTTTTTGCAATCACTGCATGTACTATCCCCTCAGGAAGAAAATATTTCCCATACTGACAGACAGTACTAGCTGGATTTCCTAGGCCAACGAAGAATTCCTAAGACTAGCTGGGGAAGGTGACCACACCCACCTTTAAACACAGAGCTTGTAACTCAGCTCACACCTGACCAATCAGGTAGTAAAGAGGGCTCACTAAAATACCAATTAGGCTAAAAGCAGGAGGTAAAGAAACAGTCAAATCACCTATCATCTGAGAGAACAGGGGGAGGGACAATGATTGCGATATAAACCCCAGGCATTGGAGCTGGGAGTGGGAAACCCCCTTTGGGTCCCCTCCCATTGTATGGGAGCTCTGTTTTTACTCTAGTAAATCTTGCAATCGCACACTCTTCTGGTTCATGTTTGTTCCAGCTCGAGCTGAGCTTTCACTCACCTTCCACCACTGCTGTTCGCCACTGTCACAGACAGGCTGTTGACTTCCACCCCTCCAGATCCAGCAGGGTGTCCATTGCGTTTCTGATCCAGTGAGGCAGCCCACTGCCGCTCCCATTCGGGCTAGAGGCTCGCCATTGTTCCTGTGTGGCTAAGTGCCCGGGGCCATTCTAATCAAGCTGAACACTAGTCGCTGGGTTCCACAGTTCTCTTCCGTGACCCACGTCTTCTAATAGAGCTATAGCACTCACTGCATGGCCCAAGGTTTCATTCCTTGGAATCCGTGAGGGAAAGAACCTCAGGTCAGAGAACAAAAGGCTTGCTGCCCTCTTGGGAGCAGCCTGCCACCATCTTGGGAGCTCTAAGAACAAAGACCCACCCGTAACATTACTTTAACCTTCTGCCTTTTGATGTGAGGAATATTTTCATATCCTCAAAGTAGAAGCTATAGAATTAAAGGGCATGAAATTCATAAAATTCTTCTCTTCAAGGAAATAAAATTGTATGTGTCACCCTCAAACTGGCATTGGTAGCCCCTATATGCTACCTCCCTCTCTCCACATATTTAACTTTCTTCCTGACATTAAAATTGATCCTATTGCCCGGGCTTCCTGCTATCCTCACTCAGGATTCTACCAATGTCATCCCAGGCCATTTGTTTTCATTGTCCCATTAGCTCTAGCTCTCTGAAGCACTCAGCCCTCAGCCCCAAATTTTATGCTGAAATAACCATAACTCTTGCCTTTTTTCCTCTGCTATTCTCCTTTTAACCATCAGAAAGAGATCTTTCATTTTAATGAGTCTCTTAATCTTATAAATAAGTCTTGCCCAAACCTCATTACCTTTGATCAATTCCTATTTGTGTGATTTTTAAGTTTTACTTTTCTATGTTTACTCTTTTTTATTCAACTAGAATTTATCGAGCATCTACTTTTATAGAAACTTATTGTTTTTACATCTACTTTTTCCTTTTGAGTCCTCCAACTTTGCTTTGAAAGAATCACTGCATTTCCACTCTTAGTACAGGCAGTTTAAATAAAGCCCCAAGAATAGAATATGTGACTTGGGCTTAAGGCAATCATAGCATTTCATCATCTAGAAGCACAGTCATTGACACAGGGATAAGCGAATGAACCAATTCAGGCTTATGAGAGTTGATCGAAGAACCTGTATGGGAGCTGCAAAGACAGCCTCTCTTTCTTAGGGGCTAGATGCTTTGACGGTAGAAGTCTGAAGTTGTTTGGGGTCACCCCTGGGATTTTCAGGTAAATCAACCAACATATTCCTTTAAAAAAATGAATCCAGTTTGAATTGGTTTTCAGTCACTTAAAACCATGCATCCTACTGATGTATATGTTATGGGTCAAGCGCCATCTGGGGTGCTAGACAAATAGAAATAAAATAGACATATTCTTGCCCACAAAGAACTCAAAGTGTGGCAGATAAAGAAATCATAAATTATCAAAAAACAAGAAACAGAAGGTGCCTTGGAGACCATGGTTTAAAGAACTATTTGAATTATTGTTTTTTCCAGATGAAGAGGATGGGGTGTTCTCACATGCAAAGGAAAAGGGACCATCCATCAAAAATATGTAAATAAATAAATCCAAACTAGACAGGAGAATGGGTAAACTGTAATATAATTACAAAATAGACTAGAATTCAGCAGAATATTTACAACCATGTGGATAACACTGAATGAAAAAAATTAAGGAATACATAGAATATGATATCATTTAAATAAAGTTGAAAAGCAAGCAAACTCTAAAATAAATAAATTATAGATAAATATATATGTATCAAATTTATTGTTAAGCACCATTCAGGATAGTGGTTACCTCAGTGAAGGGCAGGTAGCAGCCAGGGGTTTGCAATGAACAAGTGACCTATAAGAAGTCTCAATGGTGTTTATAATCTCCCATTACCTAAGGATAATGGTGGCCTATTGGGTGTTCAGTTTATAGTTATGTTTCATAACTTACACATATATTATGTATTTTTATGTAGGAAATACTTCTTTTTTTTTTTTTTTTTTGAGACAGAGTCTTGCTCTGTTGCCCAGGCTGGAGTTCAGTGGCATCATCTCAGCTTACTGCAACCTCCACCTCCCGGGTTCAAGCAATTCTCTTGCCTCAGTCTCCCAAGTAGCTAGTATTATAGGCATGTGCCATGATGCCCAGCTAATTGTTGTATTTTTAGTAGAGATGGGGTTTCACCATGTTGGCCAGGCTGGTCTCGAACTCCTGACCTCAGGTGATCCACCCGCCTCAGCCTCCCAAAGTGCTGGGATTACAGGCATGAGCCACTGTACCCAGCCAGAAATACTTCTTTAAATATGCTTTTCAAAACTATCTCCCAAATACGCTGATTCCTTCATATTTACTTTCTGTATTTGCAATTTAAAAACCTATCACTAGTCATGTTGATCCAGATGCTGCTAGGGTTTTAACAAATCTTACTATGATTCATTATATGAATCCCTTTTCTAGATTTATGCAAATATAGTAGAAGATGGCTTGAAGTTCAAATGAATATATTTTCTTCTTGGTCCCATATTTCTACAGTGTGATTTTCAAGGTGACTCAATTTTCAATACTGAAATTTTGAATACTCAGAAAATGACATTTACACCATTAAATCAAACATACATACAAACATCCCCCAAACTCTTGTCTATTAGTGCCAAAATCCCTCCAATAAAAACAATAGAGGAATGATCTGATGACTGCCATAGCTGCAGTTGTGTTGAACTCCTGGGTTTGTTTCATTTGAGTTTAATTATTTGTAATGAAACCTCTCCCTCTGTTTGGCCCTAACTAAGGTGTAGGATCACTTGAACTGTGCTGGCAGGTCTCAACTTGTAAGCACAAGTGGCCTCTTTAGCCCACAGGCATGCTGCCTTACACCTGGTACAGGCAGATAGAGAGAGATTAGGACCTGTGGGTGTAACTTAGTTGTGTCTGTCAACATCAGTCAATGCCAAGCTGTGGGAACAATTGTCAATAATGTAGGATCAGGTCCTGCTCATGAATTAGTTTTTCATCCCATTCAATCACTTTACTAAGTAACTACCCCATACAAGGCACTCAACCAGGTGTTTGGAGTGATTACACAGATGAGACCAAGTTCCTGCTTAGAGGAATTATTCCCAACGTATACCTTAGAGCAGTGGTTCTCAAACTCTAGTTCACATCAGAATCACCTGGAGAATTTGTTAGAGACACAGTTTCCTGGGTTCCACCATCAGGATTTCTGATTCAATACAACTGGAGTATGAATCAAGAATTTCCCTTTCTAACGTGTTCCCAAGTGATGCTGATGCTGTAAGTTCATGGAACACGTTGTTAGAATCATTGCATTCAAATGTTTCGGAGGCCCAGGAATCTCTCAGGTTGTTGGTGTACCTAACAAACAGTCATTCAAAAATTGACTTGAAAGAATTTTTCTTCCACATGTATAGCAATTTTAAAAATATTATTGGCACTATTAATTATAAAAACAGTCATAATTGATGATACTTAGTGAGTATTCCATGGCAGCACTAACTGCTTTATACACATTGCTTCAGTGAGTCTTCACAGAAACTCAGTGCATTAGTTCCTTCTCACACTGCTATAAGGAACTACCTGAGACTGGGTAATTCACAAAGAAAAGAGTTTTAATTGACTCACAGTTCCACAAGCTGTACAGGAAGCCTGGCTGGGAAACTTACGATCAAGTCGGAAAGTGAAGGGGAAGCAAGCACATCTTATCATGGTGGAGCAGGAGAGAGCGAGCGAGCGAAGGGGGAGGTGCTACACACTTTCAAACAACCAGATCTCGTGAGAACTCACGCACTATCACGAGAACAGCAGAGGGGAAATCCACTACCGTGATTCAATCACCTCCCACCATGCCCCTCCTCCAACACATGGGGATTACAAGTGGACATGAGATTTCGGTAGGGACACAGAGCCAAACCATATCACTCAGTTAGGCTGGTATTACGGAGGAGGAAACCAAGGATTACAGATGTTAAGAAATTTTCTCTCCACCAAGATTTCTCATTCTAAGCACTTGACATTGTGAGCTGGATAATTCTTTGTTATGGGGCAGGGGGTTGTCTTGAGCACTGCCCTAGACACATAGCTTAGGAAGTGCCTAGCCATTTAACATCCTCAGCTACCATGAGGTTGTATGTAATTTTACTTCAGAAGCACAGAATTTTTTGTTTGTTTGTTTGTTTTTGTTTTGTTTTGTTTTGTTTTGTTTTGAGACGGAGTCTCGCTGGAGTGCAGTGGCGGGATCTCGGCTCACTGCAAGCTCCGCCTCCCGGGTTCAGGCCGTTCTCCCGCCTCAGCCTCCCGAGTAGCTGGGACTACAGGCGCCCGCCACGATGCCCGGCTCATTTATTTTTTGTATTTTTAGTAGAGACGGGGTTTCACTGTGTTAGCCAGGATGATCTCTATCTCCTGACCTGGTGATCCGCCCGCCCCGGCCTCCCAAAGTGCTGGGATTACAGGCGTGAGCCATCGCGCCTGGCCATCCAGAAGCACAGAATTTTAAAGCTGGAAAGAATATTAGAGATGAGCTGCATGAATCCACCCACTTTCAGCTAGGGAATGCATGGTCCATAGAGGTATTACAGTGCTCTGCCAGGAGCCAGGAGGAATTCACACCAATACACCGACTTCTTCTGCAGTGCACAAACTTTTCCTTATTTTTCTGCCCCATTTATTCTCAAGAAATATTCCCAGCCCATGTGCACTCATGACAAGTGCGCTTTACTCTCTGCCAGCAAACACTCAAAAAGCAAATGGCCTGGCTCCTTCTCATTGCATGCCACAGAATGGATGAGAAAACGTATTGGGACCCCTGGGGAAGTTTTGTAAAAAGGCAGGTCCAAACGAAACAAACTGATGGGAGACGAAGACACTCATAAACCTGCCCGAGTCTGCATTTCAAGAAGACAGCTCTGTCGGCAAAAATACAGAGTTTGCTCAATATGAAGAAATCTTGTAATAATATACAATTACAAAACATATAAATGTTAGCAAGTTGAATCACTCATCCAAGTAGTTTTCCTTGTCCAGAGTACAAATTGCAATAATTGGATGAAGACATCTGCACTATTTTAACCTGTCATGTTAAATATCTGTATTTTGTAACTCATCTTGATAGCTAATTTTCATGGAAGTATGTGTTAATTGAGCAAAAAAGACATCTTTAAGATGGTTATCATAAGATAATCACACCCTAGGGCATTGTGAGCAAGAGGTACTGCTCTGGATCTGTGATTCTCCAAGGATATGATTATCACATGATAGCTGCCTCACCTCCTGGAGTGCTACCTTTCTGGGCTGCCTCCTTCTGACTCAGGTGGCTGGTATCGGCTCCCTCTGCTTCTCACAACATTGCACTCTTCCCGGGAGGTTGTTTGGTTTCTCCAAAATAATACCTTAGGGCAAGACACGGTCAGAAAAACATTGTCCTTCAGAATAAGATCACAGGGAAAGTTAAACTTGTTTTTTTTGGAAAATACACACACACACAAACACACACAGACAGTCACTCTGATCCTGTTTCTGTGACCATCCTTTCCAAACTCCAAATGAACGCTCTTATTCTGTATGCCTTCATTCCTCCTTAATGCTCAACAAGTCCTTGCCACCCATACCCTCTACGTATGAAGTCTATTCTCTTTTTTAACAAAAACTACTTGTTTGATTATTATCTAGCTATTTATCTTTCATACTCCTAGCTGAGTATCATGGGCTTTATTTTCCCCCAAAGACTCTTGCTTAATACAGTACACTTTTCCTGTTCTAAGAACACGATGCAAGACAATTTAATGCATTAAATCAAATTTATCAACTTGCAATGTTGAAAATGACCCCTATTCAGTTGTGACAATTAACTCCCACAACCAGCCAATTTGTACATAAAAGACTACAAGATTATTCAGTTGTATATCCATTCTGAGGAATAGCAACAGATCTCTTCCACTGACAGCAACTCTAGCCTTAGGAGTTCCAAAATTAACATATAAGCCATAGCAATATTTCTTAAAGGTGGTGCTGCAGAAGTCAATATGGAATGAAAACTACATTTTCTTAATTTGTTATTTAAGCCTTTCATTTTACAGAATGAAGAGTTGCTATTATTGTAATGTTTACTTTTGAATACATAAACTGTGAAATAATGGCAAAAACATTTGAAAAGTAGCCAGAAGATAAGAGGAAAAACTCCCTATTGACTGTATCTCAGATTCACACACACACACACACACACACACACACACACACGCAAAGAATGTGAAGTGCTTTAAGGCTGTTCTTGAAACTCCAGTTAGAACAAGGAAGGAGACTGTCAATCCTCAGTAATGTATAAAGATTTGAGGTTCTGGATGCATTTTCCTGCTTTGAGTGCATGAAGTTGTCTTTGTTTCAGGTTTCCTTGGCAACCCTTCTCGAAGTGTATACAGGAAGAGCAGGTCCTAAATGGAGTCTGGTCTGAAGAGGGCCTTTAAAAAAAAAAAAAAAAAAAAGAGTCTAAGTTCCCTATTTTTATTCCAGCAGAAGTGCATCTGCGTAATGAAGAATGCACAAGAAAGGAGAACACATCATTTTCCACAATCACAGCTACCTATGTGACAGTGAGATAACAGTGATTTTTGAAAGCCTCTGTTGTTTTTCCGGCTACAAGACATCTAAGGCGGCATGGACTTCCTAGAAAGTTCTTTTTACAGACCATTTTCATCTCAGAGCTGCCTCAATCGCCAAAGATAAGCGGGAGCTATTTGCGTCTGGTGATGCTCTAACTCCAAGTGATTTCTCTTCATAGGAAATGTTCATGATGTCACCCTCAAAGATAAAAGCTTGTTGGAATTGTTAACAATTGACTTTCTCATTTATAAAGGCAATACCTTGCTTAGTCATTTTCTGCGTCTGTGTCCTCTACTTCCTGACCTCCCATTCAGAGCTTGCTTTATGTCTCCCAGATTACTGGCCCTGTTATCGTACCTAGCGCCAGACCCAGTACCTCTACTCAGACCTTATCCTATGCCACTTCAGTTGATGTCTTTCTTAAAACATTCTTCTGACCTGGCTTTGTGACTGCTGTTTTCTCTTCTTCCATTTCCTTATTTTGCTCACAGAGTCAGGTCTAGAGAAAGGCAATTGGGGCACTTTTCTTGGCACAAAATTTGAGGTGCAAGAAAACTCGGCAATCAAAATAAGTAATATCTTAATGCAGTATTAACAAGTGAAATTAAATGCAAAAAAAATAAATAACAAAATGTTAAAATTATAAATAAAAAGGGATTCATGCTGATTTGATCAAGTCAATATTCATTAAAATGCTTTTACTACCCCCTTTCGGGACTCCACCATACCATGCCCAAATTTTAAATTTTGTGTTGTCATGGTACTTTATTTAGCACTTTTATTACATGTCACCAATCATTATTCATACACACATACACACACACATATTCATCTTTTCTCTTTCAATTATTGCTAGTGGTTTTCTCGAATCTTCTCCCCAGATGTGGTATGTAGATAATACATTTTCTTACTTCTTATATATTCTCAAATATTTATATTTGCCCAAACAAGTGAGGGGTACCTTGATTGGATGTAGGATTCCTGGGTTGCCTTCTTTTACTGTCAGTGTTCTTCAGCTATTATTTTGCTGTCTTCTATCCTCCAGTCTTGTAGACGAGAGGTCTGATTGCCAGTTTGATTCTCATTCTTTCTGAAAATAGTTTGTTCCTTCTCTCTGTGAACTTATACAGTTTTCCTTCTATCCTTTGAGCTCAAGAAGATTATTGGGCTAGGCCTAGGTTGTTTTTTCTTCACAGTCACTCCTGGAACTCAGTGAGCCCTTTCAATCTCTACCTTAAATTTTCTTTCAACACAGAGAAATGGTCTTCTATTATTTGTTTAGTTATTGCCTCTTCTCCATTGATTCCTATTTCTCCTTATGAAATTTCTATTGTTTGTATCTTGGGTGCCCTATAGCTGTCCTCCAAAATCATTTATCTTTTCCTTCTTATTTTCTTTATCTTCTATTTATATTCTGATGTGGTGTCCCCTACCACCCCACACACTTAATTTTCCAGGCCACTGATTCAGAATTCAATGGTGACTATCTTCTCCTTCAATTTGTATATTGATCTTTTTCATTCAAAAATTGTGAGATTTTTAGGCCCAAGAATTTGAGAGATTTTGTAGTATGTTTGAACCTCGAGTGTCTTGTTAATTTTTGTCTAAGTTGTTCTCTGTCTCCACCAGCAGTTCTATTTTTATTTAGGAGCTACATATTCTGGATATTGTTCTTCTATCATTGCTAGATCCCCTAGTTTTCTTCACCAACTTCTGACTCACTCTTAGACCTGAGATTCACCCCTTGGGGTGCCCTCAATAGAAGTATTCTGCTTCCACAGATCATCTCTAGCAGGAGGTTTGTCAGTTTGCTATCTGGGCATAAGAAAAAAGACCCTCATCCCCCCTGTGACTCTCCCCTGCAATCAAGATGTGATGTTTAATTTTATGTGTCAGTTTGACTCATTAAGGGATACCCAGATAGCTGGTGAAATATTATTTCTGGGTGTGTCTGTGAGGCTGTTTCTAGAAAAGATTCACCTTTAGGCCGGGCACGGTGGCTCACACCTGTAATCCTAGCCCTTTGGGAGGCCAAGGCAGGATCACTTGAGGTCAGGAGTTCAAGACCAGGCTGGCCAACATGTGAAACCCTGTCTCCATTGAAAATACAAAAATTAGCCAAGCGTGGTGGCAGATGTCTGTAATCCCAGCTGCTAGGGAGGCTGAGGCAGGAGAATTGCTTGAATCCAGGAGGCGGAGGTTGCAGTGAGCCAAGATCGTGCCACTGCACTCCAGCCTGGGGGACAAGAGTGAAATTCCATCTCAAAAAAAAAAAAAAAAAAAAGCAAATAAAAAAAGATTCACCTTTGACACAGTGGGCTAAGTAGGATGATCTGTCCTCACCAATGCCAGTGGGCATCATCCATCCCATTGAGGACCTGACCTGGGTAGAACGAAAAGGTAGAGGAAAAGTGAATTTTCTCTCTCTCTATCCTTGAGCTGAGAAATCTGTCTTCTCCTGCCCTTGGACATCAGAGTTCCTTGGTTCTGGACCTTTGGGCTCTAGGACTTATACCAGGGCACCTGCTCAGCATTCCACCATCCCCACCCCTGGTTCTAGGCCTTTGGCCTTAGACCAAATTACACCAGTAGTTTTCATGGTTTTCCAGCTGCAGATGGCCTAACTCAGGACTTCTCAGCCTCCAAAATTGTGTGAGCCAATTCCCATAAGAAATCTTTTTGTATATCTGTCTACCTATCCTATTGATTCTGTTTTTCTGGAGAACCCTGACTAATATCCTAACAAAGTGAGGGTTCTGCCAGCCTCCAGGGTAGAATGCTGGCACTCACCTGCTCAGCCTCCCCTTGACTCCTGAAGCCAGAAAGGCCACTTCCTTCAGGGACTGCTCTTCCTTGGAAAGAGGTTGAGGGTGCTCCCGAAATGTCCATGGGCTAAGGCCTCTCCCGGATGTGTGCTGTGCTGGTTGCTCACAGCTGAGTGTTCTGCTGCAGTCCACAGGCCCTCCTTCCAACCAGAGAGCAAAAGGCTTTGTGCTTGCTCTTCCCATCCAACCCTGGTAGAGCTCAGGACCTTGCTCACCCTTCCATATCCTGCCCGTAGCCAAAAAACTCCTCAGCATCCCAGAGGTGGCTGATACCTAGAGTTGGACAAGGAGCATAGTACCTGTTGATTTAAGCTCCGTCTCTCCAGAATTGGACATGTTCATTTTCTTCAACCCTTGAAACTTTCCTTTCCTGTTGTCTTTATTTCAGTTAACGTCATTGGAATCTCCTATTGCTCTGGTGCAAAAGGTTGGTTATTTCTAACTGCTCTCTCTCTTTCTTATCATCCTCTTTTAATTGGCCTACAAGTATTTGTTTTTAAATTGTATCTCTACATTGTCTCTTAAATTCATTTCCTTATATACATTTCCAGCTGCCACATCATTTTTCAAGCCTTCATTAACCTCCAGCCTAAATTTTTGCATTAGCTTCATAACTGATTTCTCTCCCTCTAATTTATTCTATATTCTGCTAACAGATACTAAAGCAAAATTGTGACTGGGTCATCCCATTATCTACTGAAATCAAATCATCCAAGCTTTTCTCCCGTAAATCTTCACAAATTAATCACACACACACATGCACATGCATACATGAGCATGAACACACACACAGACACACACAAAAACACACACACACTCCTTTCCTCCTAGGACACTTAGAAATTATGGCCTAGCACTTTCCTGAATCCTGGCTAGGTTTATCTTCTTTCTTTTTACTCTCTCCCACTCCATCTCCTCTCCAACTCCTATTTTATCCTCTAAGGCCCAACTGGGAAAGATACATCTTTTTCCACAAGGACTTTTCCCTGTCCTTTCTCTGATTTAATACATACCACTCTCATTCTCCTGCAGCATTTTCTTGAAACCTGTACTATAATTTGCATTTCACTCACTATAACTTGTAAACTCCTTGAAGACAATGATTATGTGTGGCTTACCTTTGCTTCCTTCCCTACCTGGGGCATAGCAGGCACTTCTTTAGTAGTGAATGGAGTAAAACTGTTCAGATCAACATTTATTTGTCCTCTCCAATGTGCCAAGCAGTGACTTAGTACTTGAGATAAAAGATTAAATTAACATAGATGCCATCCTCAGGGGTTCAATATGCCAAGTTCTGTATTTCATCTAAATAACCTGATGTGCATCAATGTATGTATACATGTGCATCTACATGCAGACATCCTCTGGAAAGTGCTGCCTGATGGTTTTGCCTGCTTCCCCATCTGCTGCTGAGAGTAAATGTTATACCAGGTCTAGAGATCACTTCAGGACAGAGGTAGTTGATGCAGGGAAAATTAAGATTCAAGACAACGTTGAGACTGTATATCAGGTAAGCAACACAATTCAAGTCAGAGAGATTTTGGAAGGATAGTTAACATTGGAAACTTCACATTTCTGCATTGGCCAGCAGTTGGTGGTTTTCTTGTCTGTCTTAGCCCTCACAAATCCCAACAGAGTATGCTCCAACACAAGCCCTCCTGTGCCTGGCTTCCCTGCCCACGTTTCCAGGCAATGGTCAATGTTTCTTTTATAGAGATATTGAGAAATTAAGGATGTCTTGGGTTCAATGCCAATCTCCCCATCAGTTCCCATCTGTACCCTGATTCACAATCTTTCGCTCTATATCCATGGGTGGTATCCAGGTGCATAGGATGCACCTCTCTGTGGATTATCATTGTATTTCCTCTGAGTCGGCAGGCTCACTGAGAGTCTATAACAGTTACTGATTCTGGCCTGACAAAACCATGCATATAATGAGACAGACAGGCCACAACCATTTAGTTTCTGAGAGCTCAGGTGAAATTTAAGACTTTGAAGAAGTTGGAGTCAAGATAAAATACCCTCTTACTGATACTGTTGACAAACTATAAGCCTGGATACTACTCACTTCTGACTCAATATAGGAGTGTTATATTAGGGCTTGTCCAAAAAGGAAGAGTGTGGAGGTAATAAATTGCTGCCCAAGAAGAGTTAATGATGAGCTGAGTTCTACATTACAGGGTATGAGTTAAAATCATTTCCTGCTGAACCATTTGATTTGGTGCAAAATATTTAACTTCTCTGGTCGCAGTGTCCCATTTGATAAGGCAAAGGACTAGAACTACCGACTCTTTATTTATATAGAGCAAGAGGCTATGGTTCAAAAATATTTTCCAGAATTAGAGTAGTTAAATATAAGTCTTCTGAGGACAATAGAAGGGGAAGACAAAGTCAAAACTTGGGAGATTTGAGAGGCACTAATCTACAAAGTGGCTTGTTAACCATCCAGTTGCAGGAGACAGAATTCTGGATTCCTTTCTTTACCATCTGCTGCCTGGTGCACCAGGCTGTTTTTGTGAACATACATTGATTATTCCCCTAAATTTACTCAAGCGGATATGATAGAAAATTATTCCAAAAGTACCATGACTGCATTTGTCAAGGAAGAAATGGGTTAATGTTAGGAAGCCAGTGACTCTTTTGAATTCCAGTGTCTAAATGGCTATTGTTCCTCTCAGCATAGAATTTTCTAGAAGACAAAACACATACTAAAGCTCTAACAAGAAAATATCCATTAAAGATACAAAGAGACTGGGGCTCCACTAATGTAATATAAAAATTCAACGTGCAAGTAAGATGCCAGAGTTGGATTGATTGCTGTGTACAACAGTGACATGAGTATAAAGACTCCCTAAGGTTAAATTGGGCTCCTGCATTGAAATTCTAATTAGAAATATGAGTGCCCCAACTCTGTGAAAAGTACATGTGTGTTTAATTATTCTCCTTTTCACCTTATCTCTTCCATTACTTTATACCCTTTTCCCTCCTCCTTTCTCACTGTTTTCAAGAAACCCATGCTCCTCGCTTAATCTAAGTGCAGGCCTTCCTTTAAGCTGGCATTAATTGACAAGCAGTGTTTAATTATTATTTTTCATGTCTGAAGAGGGCTAATATTAACTCTCCATGAGCCCAAAGGTGACCTCAGCCCCCTTGTTTCTGGTGGCACCACTCTGCCTTCATCACTGGCATTTCTTTAGTCAGAGAGACATGCCACATGCTCTTCTTCATTTTAATGGTCTATACCTATATTTGTGCTAATCGAGGCTGCTGGGTGCCTCACTTATCTTCTAGCATTGCACGTGAAAAACTGGCACCTTGGACAACTGAAGATTAAGTCATGTCTACAGGACCCAAGAAGTATATATGTGTATTTTAAAGTAGCTTTGATGACTGTCGACCTCGAGTCTTCTTAAGGCCAGGAATGTACCTTGTGAGATTGGCATCCTCAGCTGACACCCAGCACCTGATATTGCTCCATGTTTGATTGACTAATAGCTATATCTAAAAGGACCTGCAAACCACATGTTTATACATTGGTGCCCTGGATTAAGACTGGGAACTCACATATTGCCTTAATCCTGACGATCTGGCTTTTCCCTAAATTCATCAATCACCAGAAATCTAGCTAGTCCACCTGCCTAATCAAGTTTCCAAATCAAAGCTGGAGAAGCCCTGTTGACATTAAGTGTGAGATAATCTGCTTTTCAAAAAGAGGTTTTATTCAGTCTTCTTTATCACTATATGTGTACCATGAACCTCAAGGATAAATTTATTCAGCAGATTTTCTAACTTAGAAACTAAAAGGCAAAGAAGCTCATGGCCTGAAATCTGAGCCTTTTTCTAAACACTTCTTAAGTTACAATGGGACCTGAAATGCCAAAGAGAAATGAAAGTTACCCCGGTAAGTCAGAAGTCAAATCCAGTAAGGACAGTTAAAGTAGAAAAGTGTCAAGGATTAAGACACAAGGGACGAGTAGGTCCTCTTTCCAAGATCAACAGGTGCTAAGCCCAGGAAATTCAGGTCAAAAACATGTTAGCTTCAGAAGTTGGTGTTGTCAGGCACAGCCATATGTCCCCAGAGTCTCAGGGTTTTAGGTGGTCCTTAGAAGTAACATGGCAAGTGGAAAGAGCACAAGGTCTAGAGTCCACAAACCCTGCACAGCAATCCTGATTCCATTATACAATCTTAGGCAGAACGTATCTTTAAAGTTATTATATTAAAGAGCTTTCTCATGCGATTATTGTGGAGGATTAAATGAGATGATACATACGAACGCACTTTGAAGATTTTCAGTTGCTTTATAAATTTTAATTATTATTCACTTGGGACACGCATTTCCTTACAAGTACTGGAAAATAAGAGTTCAACTGGTACTGTGGTTCAGACAGATATAGATTTGATAGGATTTTTCCCCCATTAGTTAGTTCTGCCATCTATGGAACATACAAAAAGAAACAACAAACTTTGGAAAACAAGCCATTCGTAAACCAGGAACTGCCCGCGTATGCGTTGTGATTGAAAGCCTTCAAACTATTAATGCCCATAAGGGGCAAGAATTTGGAAGGGATCCTATGTCGAACATTCTTCTTTCAATCTAGATCTATTAACTTGCACTATTAGTCATGAAGTAAATAAATCACGGACTCAAATTTATCTCTGCCAGTCTCCACAAATACCCGCTTGTATGCTAATTATCAAAGAAAATAGTAATTGTAATTCAAAAAAAATCCATTAGTGGTTTTCAAAATGTGGCCCTGCACCAGCAGCATCAACATCACCTGGAAACTTGTTAGTTTCCACATTCTTGAGCCCCATTCAGATCTGCTGAATCAGAACCTCCAGAAATGGGGCCCAGCAATCTGTATTTTAATAAGCCCCTCTGGTGATTCTGATGCTCTGTAGAAGTCTGAGAACCACTACATTAGATTGAGAACAAAAACAGCAACATAGCATGGTGTTCTTATTTGTAAATTATTAGGGATCTTAAATCATTTTTAACATGTTTTAGTATGGCTGAAATTTCAATACAATATCTACCATTAAAAATCACAACTAGCGAATGCATGACCAAGACAGCATAGCTCTGTAACTTGTATCTATAGGCTTGTTGTTTAATAAAGTTCACTTTTTCATCCTTAGTCTTAATAGATAAATGCCTTGGCCAATAATTTCCTACAACACTCAAGCAAATCAAACACTCTCATAACATTTGAGCATATTTTTATTTACTAAAGACTCTAATCAAGGTGGAAGCTCTTACAAGTAGTCTTGGTAGTAGAAATGTAAATTAAACTCAGTTAATTAATTTTTAACAAAATTCTTTCTCGTTTAACTTTTATTTATTTATTTATTTATTTATTTATTTAAACAGAGTATCACTCTATCACCGAGGCTGGAGTGCAGTGGCACCGTCTCAGCTCACTGCAACCTCTGCCTCCCGGATTCAAATGATTCTCCTGCCTCAGACTCCCGAGTAGCTGGGATTACAGGCACATGCCACCACGCCTGGCTAATTTTTGTATTTTTAGTAGAGATGGGGTTTCACCATGTTGGCCAGGCTGGTCTCGAACTCCTGACCTAGGTGATCTGCCTGCCTCAGGCTCCCAAAGTGTTGGGATTACAGACGTGAGCCACTGTGCCCGGCTCTTGTTTGACTTTTAATGGTATTTAAGCCTGGCTATTATGTTAATACCATGCCTTATCAAGCTTATAATGCACTTTAATAATATAGATTATAAAAATCACAATTTAATGGGGGAGGGTGAGAACAACATAGACTTTCAGGAAAAATAGAGGTTGGCACTTTTTTTATATACAATTATAGAAAAGAAATTTTATTTGACAAATGATTAGCAGTAAAACATCAATTTTTCTCCTTTTACCCATTTTACCATCAGCTACACATGTATTAATAAGAGCGTAAACATCTCCTAAGAACCAGTCAACCATTTTTTCCTTTCATAAATACCATGGCTTTTAGATATTATGTAAAAATGAACTTTTATTGCATGCTTTACCCCAGTGTTTACTTCACATCATGTTTAGGTGTGAGGGTTAGTGCCCCTTGGTGGGAGGACTCAGAAATCTTGGCTGTAGAATACTACCAGTCTCCACCACACTTCTGGGTCACTGGAAATGATGCCCAGATAGTTTGGAGGAAGCACTGTATAAATATTTTCAGAATAAGTTGGATTTTCCCAAAAGTTCCTCATCTGCAATTACCAATACTAAATGCAATCTTCCTACCACAAACCATAGTTTGTGAAGCTAAAAATAAAGGCAGACCAGAGCACTCTCTACTTTAATTTATTCTCACCCACTCTCCTTGTCCTTGCAACATCTGGAACCAGCATCAGGGCTTCCTTCCATTTTCCAGTCCCCTCAGCACCAGTAGCATCCACCTGGGGAGAGAAAGCCCAGCCACACCCTCCAGCCTGACTATAATTCTGTCTCCAGGCAACTGCAGTAGGATGTCTACACTTCTCTATTACCCCCTATTTTAAGTGTTGCTCCACACAGCTTGACATGACACTTCTTGCCTATGAGAAAGTTCTGTTTCTCCCCAAATGAAAACTGAAATCGACAGAATAACATTTGTAGCCTTAGGGAGCCTACTGATGAGAAAACTGGTGGTCTAGGATTTAACATGTAAATCTTGGAGGTGTGGGATTGAGAAAAAGGGAGTGAGCTGCTAAATTTATGAGAATACCATAGATCATGAATCATGTAGGTATAAAACTTAACATATCTAAATACTTTTTAAATAATCCTTCATAATAGCATTTTATAATTACAGCGGGACCCTCTGGTGTGTGAATTATGGTGTATTCATGTTTAGTTGCATTGACTGCACTCGGCTTTTAGCCATGTGCATAGCAACACACTGGGTATGAATTAATGTGCAATAATTCATGGCCTGTTGTGCTGTATTAAATATAGCATTGATTCAATTTTAGAACTGCAACATAATGACTCAAATATTTTTCAGAATGCTAAGTGCCCCATACAATTTTCATTTGAGAGCCTGTTTTCACATTTGCAACCCTCAGTTACAATAGTAATATTTTTCTACTGCAGAGCAAAGAAAAATGCAATTGCCCACCAAAAATTAAAATCAAATGCCAAGAGGAATTACCTCCTGAATCACCCTATTTTTTCCCAATAAATCTGAGTCTCCAAAAAAAATCTACTCTAAATGGAGGGAGAGAAGGTTTGAGGGTTTTTATTTAGGCCATTTGAAAAACTATTTTTTAAAAACTTTCAATGTATTTGTTCTCTATTATGCTGGGAATCAGAGCAAAATAATAACAGATCATGTTTAGAGGGGAAAATGCCTGGCGGC
Source organism: Homo sapiens (assembly GCF_000001405.40). NCBI lineage: Eukaryota > Metazoa > Chordata > Mammalia > Primates > Hominidae > Homo > Homo sapiens. The sequence goes on from NC_000014.9 coordinate 30,310,075, forward strand.
AAGTCAGGAGAGTGGTGGTTTAATTTTGATTCTGCCAATTTATTCTACAATTGCCAATGGTCACATAATCACTCTGTGCCTCGGTTTCTCCATCTATAAAATAGGTTTAATAGTATCTCATTTTCTATTTAAGGAGTTGTGAGAATCAAACTACATAAATCTGTGAAGATGCTATATAAGTATAAATTAGTACAGGCAGTGTGCCTAGCCCCACGGTAAGTACACTTTTAGCTAAAGTGCTTTCCTATCCACTATCTCACTGAAAACTCCCAACAATATGGTGGGTGGACAGGGACTATTTTCCCATTTCAGAGCTGGCTTTGGCCACAGGACGCTCTTCCTCTCAGTGGAAGACACACATGAAGCAGTGAATGACCTACACAGAATAAACCATGATTTGCAGTGTCACAGTTAGAATGCCCTCATAACCATTGGAGGAAGAAGCAGAGACAAAATGACACAACTCAGTAGCAAAGTGAAAATCCAAATTCCAGTTGACTGACTTTCAGCCAGACCAAAGACCACCTTTTTTTGAAAAGGTTGAGCAATTGCCTTGTAATTTCTGCTTGAGCCAGTGAGAAGCCTGGCTTATAAACCAAATCACCATTTTATAAATGATGGTATTCAGTCAGTCCAAATCTCAGACTGCAATACTTTTCCAGTGGAGATCCTTCCAAGTCTTCATGTTCAGAATGTACTTTTTAAATGACTTTTGATTTACTTTAAACATATTAGAAGATCTAAATTTTATTAATTGAAAGGGGTTATGAGACTTTTCTTTCGTTATTAGTTAGCTACCATGCCCTACCTCTTCCAGAATTCTGATGTTCTGCAAGAATAGGTTGTAAAAAAACCTGCGACAAAACCAGTGTCTCACATCTAGCTCATGCTTTTGACCCTGCCGTTTCGAGCATAAAATCACCTCTGGCACCAATACTGCAATTAAAAATCTTGGCCTCGGACAATTTAATTATATCTTTTGTAATATGAGAAAAAAATAGTTTGGGATCACAACTCTGACCAGCCTTCCTGGGACAGAATATGTTATAAACTAGGGATCAGTGTATCTTGGTGTATTCACTGCAAATATACAGACGTGGGAACATACTAACAGAGTTCCTTTAGAGTAAGTCAGACCCAGGATTTAACTGCACCTTCATCATTACCATTAAATGGCCTTGGAAAAGGGACCTCATCTCTCTAAGTATGTTCTTCAATTGTGAACAGGACTGATAACAGTTTCTACCTCATATAGCAGGAGAAATCAATGAAATACTCCATTATAAGCCACTGAGGACAGACCCTAACATATAGTAAGCATTCAAAAATGCTAACTAATATTAGGTTAGAGAAACAACTGGGGTCCAGATTTTGCATGAGATATTAATCCAATGCTATTTATTACGGACCAAGTATATCTGAAGCCTCACCTTTGCTCTCATGTTATAGGTTCATCATTACAGGATATTATCAAATATATGAATACTCTTAGCATACTCCTATCACTACACATAACCCTCAATGCACTCAGTATGTTCCTATGTTACAGTTCACATTCTGCCTTATACTAGACAGGGACTGTATACGCTGTGCAAGGACTAGGACAGTGCTATGCATCTATCAAGCTGGAGTCCAGTAAGGGTCAGTTGAATCATATGAAAGATGGCTGGTCTACGTGAGGTATTTGCTGTTAAGAGTTTTGTTCGGGATCCCATAGAGTAAGGCATCCACCAGCCAGGGCTTGCCCAGCATATTGAAGCAGATGCGTTTAGATAATGCAGTTATTGCTTTCTGAATATCCCCAGAGGCTTAAGTAAGGCCATGTATGAACATAAACATGGGGAATGTTAGACGGACTAGCCCAGTTCAACCCTAAGTAAACAGTGACTGTCATTTTGGGTCAGGCTTTTTAGAATTCCAAAATATTCTTCTGCACACGGGAAGACAAAGGGTTAGATGCTCCATGATTCTGAAACACCAATGACTTTTTCACTCTTCAATGCAAAATGAGAGCCCATTTAGACTTCTTTTGCAATTATCACCTATTTGAATTCTGGTAACACTTATTTAGTTAGCAATATAGCTCATTTTCGTGTTTAAAAAAAGTAAATAGCCGAGTGTTTTTTTTTCTGTTTATGCATTCATGAGGCAGCCATAATTTTGATCTTTAATATGACAATAGAGCCTTCTTTAGCTGCAACTAGTCTTCTGAGGCCTCATATCCTCTCTCCACAATCTGACTGAGAAGAAGATAAGAGAAGGCAGGCAGACCTCTTGGCAACAGAAATGAAGAAGCAGGCCTTGCTTCTAAGATCTCAGGTAGGTGGACCATATCCACCCCGGTCAGTCATAGTGAGAGAATGACTCAGTAAATGGCAATAGAATAATGGGGTAGACAGTTGTAGGAGGGATGATGACAATTCCTCTTGTTTCTCCTTTATATGGAACTTCCTGTTATTCTTTCTACCTTCTTTCTTATCAACCTTATCAACCTACTGGTTTGATAACTACATCAAAATACAACTGCACAGGTATTTTTTGTGGACCATGCTTAATAGGTTTTCAGGAAAAAGAGCAAGATGGACCAAGCTTTCAGTATTATACCTGTCTCAGAGAAACCCTTACACATGTAACACAAAAGTTCAACTGTCACCACTCTGCCTCCTTGGAGAAGTCTGTAGGTCTTCAAAGCCCTGGAGAACATATTAGGCAGAGCAGCTGGTAGAATTGCTAAAACACCTTGACAGGTGTGGATAGACTTTGCTGCTTCTCCCATAACATGCTCATACACAAACACAAACACACAAATGTATACACACACATATATATACATGTACATGCAAACATGCACATATTTTCACATATACACACAAACATACACACACATATGCAAAACACCTACACATACACATATATACACATTTACACACCAACATGCATGCACACACACACGGCACTCACCCAGTCACAGATATTTATTCATTGAAAAAATTTTCTGGTCTTCTCTGCTGTCAGATCTCACAGGTTTTTGTTCTACCTCCATCGCAGCTGTCACCATTCTCCTGACCTTCAACTGGAACTCCTAGTCAACACCGTTTCATGCTGCTTCTTTTGGAGGTTGTCCCGTGGAGTTACCAGAGGCAATGGGACATGATTATGCATGTGGGCTCTCGAGCCAGGCAGCTAGATCTGAATCCTGCTTCAATCACTTACAACCTATTTATTTTAGAACAAATTTTTAATCTTTCAATATGACACTTTCCTCACTTAGGATAGCAGTAATAGTACCTATGTTTTATGTTATTATAAATATTAAATACATACATGCTATGTATCTAAAAAGTGCTTGGCACATAGTAAGTCCTCAATAAATGTTAGCTCCTGACAATGTTCTATCCTCCATCATCCCCATATTCTACAAGATATGACTCTGTTCTTGATTTTTTACTAATCTTGCTTTAAAACTCTGAATATCAGATTTCTTTCCCTTGTATGATTTATTTCTAAGAAGACCCTCCCTTTTTTCCAGTGTTCAAGGTCCTTAAGTTGCATAGGCTTCTTATGATGGAACAGGAGATGGGGAAACATACAAAACTGCCCTGAACACTAGATTTTCTGAGATAAATCAAAATTATAATTTTGAGAATTCAATAGTGTCTGGTACATAATATGCTCCATAGCTACTGAAACAAACAAATTTTCTTGCTTTTCTCATTGAATATGAGGTGACTAATCCCAGAAGGGGGAAAATATTCTCTTCCTTCTATCTCTAGCCTGTTTCTCCACTCTGACTCTCAAAGAATACTCTAAGCAGTCAAACATGACTGCCTTCTCTCTCCAATCAGGCACAGAAACCTAATATCATGCCTTAAAACCCTTATGCGCTTCATAGACCATAGAGATTCATTCATTCATTCAGCTGCAGACAGAGACAGTCTCCCCCTACATCTTAGCATACTTTCTTCCCCAAGCTCCTAACCACCAAACTCTCCAACTATTTTTCCTACCTCCAGACACTCTTTTTCAATCTCTTTTTTTTGGATCCTTGTCTGCTATTCAACCCTAAGGAATGGTGTGCCCAAGAGCTCAGTCCTTGGCACTCTTCTCTTCATATCCCTGCATGCTTCCAAAATGATCACCTCTTATAGCAGGTCTCCCAAGTCAGTCTACAACTCCAGGATAGGCCTCTCCCTTGAGTTCTGGACATGTATATTCACTCACCCTCTCAGTCTCTTCATTTAGATATCTAACACACATTTCAAGTCAACACATCCAAAACAGAAATCTTGATTTCCTACTCCAACCTGCTCCTCTCCCAAGGTTCTCACCTGTGTAAATGGCAACACTGTTCTCTGAGTTGCTTGGACCCAAAACTTCCGCCTCATTGCCTATTTCTGTCTCACACATACTCCACATCCACATCAATCAGAAAGTTCTGTTAGCTCCATCTTTAATATATGTCCCAAATCCTAACTCTCATCCCTGCCTTTTCTTCTACCAACCAAGTCCAAGCCATCATCATAATGATAGGGACAAGAGGCAAAGAAATTCTAGGCAGAAAAGGGTGCATCCCCTGGTGAAGCCCCACCCTCAAGCCAAAACGCCTGAGACCACAGTCTAAATTGAGCACTTACATCCCTGTTTTCCTGCTTGAATGTTGCCTTTTCCAAAACAATCCATGGCCCACTCTGCCCCCATCCTGTGCCTATAAAGACCCTAGGCTCAGCTGGCAGAGAGGAGAAGCAGCTGGATGTTGGACACTATGGCTGCACATCAGAGAGAAGTGGCTTGACTTCAGAGGGACAGCTTGATGGCATAACTTCAGAAAAGAATTTGACCAGAGGTAGCCAGACTTCAGGGGAAGATTACCTTCCCACCCTGTCCCCTTTTCAGCTTCCCTTCCCACTGAGAGCCATTTCCATCAGCCCAAATTTACTATCCTTCAATTCATTCTTGTGACCTCATTTTTCCTGGATGCAGGACAAGAATTCAGGAGCCAGAAGTGTGGATGCAAAAGGTGGTCACACTGACCCTCTGCCCTTGCTGGTGGATGGCAGCCACCTGACATGAAAAGGAAGAGGATCCACTGAGCTGTTAACACTTAAGCCATCCATGGATGGCAGAGCTAACAGAGCACTGTAACACTCCCTCTAGGGCTTCAGAGGTCCTGAGCACCATGCCCCCAGATGCTGCTGTGGGGCCCACACAAAGTTTGCTCCTGCCAGTGCCCAAAAGTGCTCACCCTGGCTCCTGCACCTGCTTACATGTATGTTCCCTCCCATGAGGGGTGGAATGCAATGGGTCTGGGTGAGTGGAGTTCTCCCCTGCCAGAACCAAAGCAGCCAGCTGGTTCCAGCATTCATGCACTCCAGTTCCCACCTTGTTCACTCTCAAACTCCCTTCCGCAAGAAGTTGAAAGCTGTGGACTGGGTAAACGAGGCACCCCTGCTGTGAGTCCCGCAAAGGGTTCAGGGAAATATCCTGCTTTAATGTCACACTAAACTGTAGCAATGCCTTCCTAACTGGCCTCTGCTTCCACTTATCCCTCCTTTCCCACCCTGATAGTCAATGCAATGCAGCCAGCAAAGTGATACTTTTAAAACAAAATTAGATCAGGTCACATCCCTATTAAAACACCTCACCTTTATCTCATACTCCTGCCCACTCTCCAACCACACTGGTCCTCTTGCTAAGCTCACACCCACCTGAGGTCATTTTTATCTGCATTCAAACCTTTTCAGGTATATATCCTTTCTCCTCAGCGATTTTCTTAATGGTGTCTGGGAACTTGTCTACTGCCTCTTGTTGGCAAAAGCTGAATCTCCTGTTACTTGACCTTTTTAAAAGCCACATCCTTTCTAAAATTATCAAACCATCCTTTGCTGAAATTAAATTATCCAGCTTTAGATGTGGTAAATTCTTCACCTTCCTTTGCTTTAAGTTGTCATATAATGACTTAACTCTTTCTTGAATCACATTAGAGTCTATAGATATGCCTTTCTTATGGTAAATCTGCACCCACATACAAGCTGCATTTCCAATATGAGATAAAAAGGTATTTTGCAAAAAGTGCGAGGGTTTTGTACCTACTGATGTAGCTGCAGTGGCAGTTTCATGAGTTTCCTTTTATCTTTTTACAGTGGTCCTTACATTTGATTCACTTATCTTAAATGGTGGGCAACCACAGCTGCAGACCTCAGTCCATGGTACATAACAAGCAATTCAGCTTTCTCTTGTAATGGCATGACTTTTCTCTGCTTCTCGGGAGCACTTCCAGTATCACCAGTGGCACTTTACATGGAACCCATGGTGTTATTCAAGGTTTATGATATTGCACTATACAAGATTTGAAGAATGTGTAAAACCTTGAGAGATCACTTTTTACTGTGATACACGATTAACTACAGAGATGAACGCTCATGCATGATTAATGTCACATGGTGTTTTAGGCAGATACTGGCAACACTTGAGCTCACCACAATGGGAACTGAAGGTGGCTACAAAATTATTACAACACAATAGTATCTGCTACAGTTAATAAATGCAGGTATGATTTAATACTACATCTTTACCTCTGTTTACATTTCTCTCAACTGGGAATGGCACTAACTATGGTCTGTGTTATGTAAGTTTTGCTAAATTTAAACTTTTTATAATGGATTTGCGTACATTTAATGATAGTAAATGATAAAATAGATGAGTAGCCACATATATTTTGTGCATTCATGGTATACCTTTTCTTCAATTTTTCAATATTTTCAGGCTATACAAGTTCTTCTGTAAGTTTTTTCAAATTGTTGCAAATCTCCAATTTTCCAATATATTTACTGAAAAAAAAATCCATGAAAAAATAAGTGGGCCTGTGCAGCTCAAACCTGTGTTGTTAAAGGGTCATTGTACACGCAGACACACACACACACACAAACACACACACACAGAATGAGAGAGTGAGTTTGGGAAGTCAATGAAGGCCCCCACCAAGGAAACAACATTTGATCTGTTAAAAGAAAACTTCAGACAAATTAAATTTAACAGAGTTTAATTGAGCAAGGAAAGAAAATGATTTGTGAATTGGGCAGCCCCCAGAATCACAGCATATTCAGAGGGACTCCAGGGATGCCTCATGGTCAGAACAAATTTACAGACAAAAAAAAAAGGAAAGTGACGTACAGAAGTCGGAGGTGAGGTACTGAAACAGCTAGATTGGTTATAGCTCAGCGTTTGCCTTATTTGAACACAGTTTGAACACTCAGCCGTATATGAGTGGTTGAAGCATGGCTGCTGGGATTGGCCGAGAATTAGCTGTTGTTACAGGCACATACTCCTAAATTAGGTTTTCAATTTTGTCTACCTATTAAGTTAGGTTACAGTTCATCCACAGGGACTCAAATACAGAAGTATGGAGTCCTTTCCAGGCTATATTTAGTTCACTTTAGCAAGTACAAGGGTAGACAGCAGACAGGACCAGTTCAAAGGGGGTATGGAGATTATTCTAGGCAAAGGAAACAGCCTTTTTAGTGCCATACGGTAAAAAAAAAAAAAAAAAAAAAAAAAAAGGATGGCACTGAAAGCGGATCAGCACTGGCAGGTTGATTGTCCTTGCATGAGAGGTGCAACCTAGATGTTTTATCCGGCAGGCCTCTTCCTGTGAAAGTCAAGCACGCTGCCACAAAACCCCTCTCAACAGAGGTCGCAGTCAGTCTGATCCAAAGAAAAACATTATACATATTCATTCTTCCTGTTGGCAAAGTTCATGCCCTCCCTCTCTACACAGAGATAGAATCAGTGAAGTCTGACATAACTCCAGGCTGCAGACTCCCAGGAAAAGAGCAAAGTCTTTATGAGGAGAGACCTCATTCAGCCTCGGAGTGGTCCAGTCAGCAGTCACTCTGCTCTGAACCTGTCAGACTGCACTGCTGCTCAAGGCTGTTGTTTTGACATTAGCTTGACACATTCACATGTCGCCCTCCTTGTGTGAACTCCTACTCAGTGTTTTGTAATAACAGCAAAGACATCAATATTTAAAAACAATCAAATGTATGTTTGGTTTAAATAGGCAGTTAAGCCACCATCCCTTCTGAAATGTCTTCTATGTGTATTTGCCCATTTATATATATATATATATATATATATATATATATATATATATATATATATATATATATTACGTGAACCACTCATATTGGAAGTCTCTCATATGCTTCAGTTCAGTACAAAGGATGAGTATCTAATGAATCCAGGGTTCTACTTTCCTCTTTAAAATACCATGATGCAAGTTACTTTTCCACTTCCTATCCTGCTTCCATCCTCACTTTAAAGATGACATAAGATTCTATAGGTATATACGAGTAGATGAATGTCCTCGAAGCTGGTCATAAGGTACAAATATCTTAACAGACAACTCCCCCATGGAGGAAAACTGCTGAACTCATTCGTTTTATTTTCACTCTTCTACTTGGCAAGTGTAGATGAGGACCGACACTAGGTGCCTATGAAAGTGGCTGACATGCCACCTCTATCCTACCCCATATTTCCTTGGGCCCCTACATTTCAATACAATTTTCTTTTTGCTAAGAGATTGATGAATGAGGGCTTGTCTGGAAGTTGTTACACAGACGACTCAGGTCCTCGAGCTCGCTCATGTTGGGTAGAATTAACCTAATATTAACCTAATATTCTCTCTGTGGGGTCAAGACTCAAAACTTAAGTGAACAGGATAGTTTAAAGGGGAGTTAGCTGAACAATCAGTCTGGCTAGTTGCTTAAAAATAGTTTTTGGATCTTTGGATAGAATCCTAAAATGTTGGTGAAAGTCTGGAAGCCCCTCTAGAAGAGTCTCCAAAGGTATGACATAGCTCTCCATACTTCCTCAAACCTGGTAGAAACCAGAAAGTTTTTTTCATCCTGCACTCCTAAATTTTGATGTTCCTTAAAAATTGAGTAAAGACAGTAACAAGTATCTGTGAGTTATTTTACTATTTTGAAAGCCAAATTGAAACTATACATCTAACTAAAATAAATATAAATACACACACCAGGTTTTCTTTCTTTTTGCTTTAACTTGGCATTACATCAAATCAATAACACTGGTTATCATACATCAATCAAAAACTCTGTTTGGCAGTTATCTCCAGCTTATCTTAATAAACAAGCAAAACGAAGCAATTATTACTTTGTAAGTGCTATTTGGTAAACAAAGTTGTTGAAGTGTGAGTCCCCAAGGGGAAGAAACTAGGTTTTAAGGAGCCCTTGTGATGGCAAAGTAAAGAGACCCCTCACCCTGACTGTACTTATGTCTCTGGATGTCTGCACAGCCTCCTGGATTCACTTCATTGGAAATGACAGAGTTAGGCCAAGCAACTCTAGGTGAGACACATGCCAGGTTAAACAAGTCCTTTCTAGTCCTCACATCCCAACCTCCTTCTTCACCTGTTCCCCATGGAAACAAGACTAAAGCAGAAGTGACCTGGATATCAGCTGATTTCAGAGAATGGCCATGGTATTCTCTTCAGAGTCAAACTACGGGAATCTTTTGCAATCTCTCTCTGAAAAATACCTTCAGACAAGACAAAATATATTAAGTCACAGGCATGAAAAGTAGAAAGGCGTGACTATCCTTTGAGAGAACATTGCTTATAATTGGCAAATGATCAGTAATCATTCTCCGACTAGGGATTTTCATTTCAATTTTTCAAAGGTCTTAATTCAGACTCATTGTTAGAAATGTCAAACGCCAAAGCAGAATGCATGCAGTGGCTGACTTGCATGAAAATACTTGGACTTCTGATTTTTCCTTTCAGTATTTGGTCTCTTTTAGCTACTGTTATCCGAAAATTTAAGACTTGGCTTGTCTTAAATGTTGCCAATAGTGAGAGTGAGCAGGGCTATCTTAGTGTACATCTGTAGAAGTCATCAAACTTTGTTGTGATAGTCTCAACATCTGGCCACTCCATCCCAATATTTTCCATCTCAGGTGACCCATATTCTCCAGGTCCTCTCCTATACAACCGTGTCCCTAGAAAAAAATCTTTAAAACTCATTCATGTGAAGGTATAGATGATTGGCTTTTCATCCTAGGGTTACTCTTTTCTGGACTGGAGCTAGGATCCAGGATGCATCTGGTGAGTAGAACTGGATAACCCTCTCCACTTCACCAATGTTTATTTGCATGAGTAATATTCATGGAAGGTTTGTGGAGGGCCCCTGGGGAGGAGTCAGGTGAGCTCAATACAGGGAGTGCATGGTTGTATCCTCATCTGCCTTTCTGCCACATACACACAAAACCTGACCAGATGGACTTATTTTGAGTCCCTATAAGACAGAGGTTAACTTAAGAAACAAAGGGGTATGTATTTACGAAAGACTGTGATAGAGAACTATTACCCCAACTCTGTCATAGACTGCAGGCTGTAGAGTCAGGACAGCCTCCAGGGAAGGAAAATTGTGCCACCAGGGCAACATGCTTATAGGGGCCCCCAGGACAGAGACAGTGTCAAGGTCCATTGATGAGGAGACAAAAACATCACAGGTGGCTCTTTCCAAGACACACATGAGACACTACCTGGCCTGAGGGTACCAGAAGAAAGTAGAGAAGAGTCTAGAAAAGAGGGGGTTGTGGGGATTGAGATCTATGGAACCCACATCCAGTGAGAGTTCCCTCACAATTGTATAAGTCAGGAGAAGTATTTAGAAGACAGTTTGGTCCACCTTGCAGCCTAAATTCACCCGTGTGGCTGACACCTTTTTAGGAAACCTCCTTCACTAATTGTGCCTTCCAATAAAGTGTATTATTAGTAGCATCATTATTGTCATTACTGGTTAGTGCATAGAGTTTCATCCTATTTTTTAATATTTTTTTTATCTTTTTTACCTATGAGATGGTATGATAATAAGTACCTTTGAAATTGGCATATCACTTTCCTTCTGCAGCAGTTTAGTTGCCTTGTACCAAAGCTTGAATTTAAATAAAATGACTATGACTATACATTGGCCCTGCCCATTAATGCCAGATGAATGCATTGCTGTATCAGTAAATACCAAATTCATTACGGAGTGTTACTCGGGCTCTTACAAATGAGGAGTCAGATCACTCCTCAATCTCTGTGCCTGCCTTTGCGTGTCTTCTACCAAGGAAAGTGATGCTCTGAAATCGTGTTAAGAATTTTGATCACAGATATTCGGTACACATTGCATAGGTGGGAAAAAAAGCGGGGGTGGGCTCCTGCTTCCCCGACTCACGTTCAACCCCTGCAGTTTTCCTCACCTTGGATGCTGTATTCAAGACTTTGATTCATTTTTCCATATTATTACCATCTCTTTCACAGCTGGGGTGAAGGAAAGGAGTGAGAGTGCTACATAGCTATAGGGAAAGTCCTACTTTAAGGGTCAGAAGCCTTTTGCAAGTGATGTGCTTGAGGCTTAGGGTTCTTTTTCTCCACTGTGTCTGAGAAGGGCTATGCTGATGCTCCTGACCCCTTCGGACCATCATGCCAAGGAAAATCTGGCCATGTGTTAGCTTGGCTCCACTAAAATTGAGCTGTTCACCCTGCTCTTATAGCTATCGTTATTTTTAAATTGTTGCACACTAACAGGGATTATATCATTTAATCCGTTCTGCAGCACTAAGAAATACAGGCACTATTACTAGCTCCTACTTTCCACAGGAGAAAATCGGAGCTTGGGGAGTTTTTTGTTGTTGTTGTTGTTGTTTGTTTGTTTGTTTGTTTTTTGAGACAGAGTCTGGCTCTGTCGCCCAGGCTGGAGTGCAGTGGCGCGATCTCGGCTCACTGCAAGCTCCGCCTCCCGGGTTCACGCCATTCTCCTGCCTCAGCCTCCTGCTTGGGGAGTTTAAATAACCACATCTATGGTCCCATCGACAATAAGAACACTTTCAAACCCGTGTCTGTGTGCCTGCCAGCTTGAGTGTTAACACGGCACGACTCAACTGCCCCACAGCTCCAGCTAGGGGAGTTAAATCCAGAACCCTCCCAGTCACCGGAGCAACATGCTGATAGGTTGTGCTGCAGATATGACTCTCTTTCCCAAACTCAGGGCCTGTTTTGGTTGCTTTCAGCTCCCATTTTAAAAGTAGCAGTCCGAGGATTTGCTCTTGGCCTGTGCATTGGAGTGCAGAATTTGAACCTTCAGCTGGTATTCCTGAGACCCATCATTTCTCAGTCTCTTAAGAGAGGTTGGTATTAACTATGTATCCCTTCTTTTCTCTATGTATGTATATTAAAAAAACTTTATTAAAAAAAACTACATGTTTTTATGGACTGGCAAAGGTAGAGATTTACTTGTTAAACCAGAAGGAAATTTTTAAATTATGACAGTGATTGTCAAATATATGCACCATTCCACTATCCTATTGAGCCTCATCATACCTCTATAAGGTGAATGCCATTAGTGTCTGTGCCAATGACAACTCAAAGTCTAGTCCACATACTGGTACCAATCCACAAACTGTTACTGGTCTGCAATCAAATACTGTAGTAATTGAGAGTAAATGTCTAGAAACAAAAGCAATTTGAGAGAGTAATTTTATGTCTGTCAAATTTAAGAATAAAACATTTAAACACTTCTAGGAATTTATTTTTATTGTGTTTTATAAAAGTATCACTCTATGACAGACTGGAAATTTTTTTGAAAATCTGGTTCTTTAACACAAGACAGTTTGAGAAACACTAGAATTGACTTTACAGCTAAGAGAACCAAGATTTAATGAGGGAGATTAAGTAATATGCCCAAAGACACATAGCCTAAGGAAAATGGAATTGCCTTCCCCTTAACCATGGGGGTTAGAATTGTAGAACCCTGCTGTGAGTTTTTTTCTTCTTTTGCCTCCTTTGGGGTCTATGTTCTAAATCTCTAGGCTTTAACTTGGTTGATTTCAATAACACAGGGCCAGGAGTTAAAGAGGTAACAGCCCTTCTCATTATTTACATTCAGCAGCTTCTCCACTGTTCCCTTCTCACCCTCCCTGCCTGCCTCTCCTTCCTCTGTCAAGCAGGTCCCACGCAAGCAGGCTAGTATGGAGCATCAATCCCAAGCAATTTCCATCTACCTTGTGGTTTGGGGTCATCAGGCTTTGCAGCAATTCCAGTTTTACTCCTTGAATGAGATGATTTCTGGCAGTTTTATTCTAAAACCCAGATGTCAATTAAAAGATGCCAGAAGAAATATCTGCAGGGATCAACATTTTACAGGGCATGAGGCAGAGGCCGTGCAGTGAGGACATCTCTCTGTCCACTGCTTTATGGGGGTCACTTTACCAAGGGCAAAACATCCCTTCCTAACTAGAAGGGATACACTGCAGAGAGTCTGTGTCCTTTCTTAGGGTAATCATGTTCCCACCCATCCCCACTTTGACATTGTACTTTGTTTGGCAAAAGAAAGTACCAACATGGCCAGTGTTACCAAATATAAGAACAGCGACTTTTTAAGACTTACAGTGCCTGTCCTCTTGAATAGAAAGTCATTAGAAAAATTCTACCAAGTCAACCAGGAGAAACTTTACCACCAACAGCAATCAAACTTGAAGAAAGACTTGTCTATATTCAGAAATCCTGCTCCCAAACACTGGGCAAAGCAGAGAGAACTGAGCTGTCAGATACAAACATGTCTGTCTCCTGCCTACTGAAGTTGACAGGATTAATGCTCTATGCCCAAAGGCCACTTTTTCTTCTTTTTTTTTTTTTTTAAAAAAAAAAAAAGAAAAGAAAAGAAAGAAAAAAAACAGGAGCAATAATGAAACCAAAGGAATAGCTGGAGCAATTAATCCAAAACTGTATTCTGAGAGCCCTGGGGTTTCTGGGATGGTGTCATAGGATCATGGGAGATGCAGGTGGAAAGAAGGAGGAGAAGAAGAGGGGAGAATGGGCCACTCCCTTCCTTCTTTAACCAGAGTAGTCTTGCTTTTATCCATTTCTCATTTAGGCTTCTCTGTAATATTCAATTTGAGGAAAACATTCTACTCTTTATTTAGAAAAAACTACTTATAGGTAGACCCCATTTTATTGCATTTTGCTTTATTTCACTTTGCAGATTTTGGATTTTTTACAAATCAGAGATTTGTGGCAACCCCTGGCATCAAGAAAGTCTATTGGTGCCATTTTTCCAACAGCATCTGCTCACTTCATGTCTTTGCATCACATTTTGGTAATTCTCACAGTATTTCAGACTTTTTCATTATTATTATATCTGTTACAGTGATTTGTGATCAGTGATCTTTGATGTTACTGTTGTGATTGTTTCAGGGCACCACAAACCACATCCAAATAAGACGGCGAACTTGATAAATGTTGTTTGTGTTCTGACGTGTTCCACTGACCACGCATTTATCCATCTCTCTCCCTCTCCTCAGGACCTCCTGTTCACTGTGACACAGTGATATTGAAATCAGGCCAGTTAATAATCCTACAGTGGTCTCTAAATGTTCAAGTGAAAGGAAGTGCCACACATCTCTCAAATTTAAATCAAAAGCTAGAAATGATTAAGCTTACTTAGAGAGGAAGGTATGTCAAAAGTCAAGATAGGCCAAGAGTTAGGCTTCTTGTGCCAAACAGCCAAGTTGTGAATGAAAAGGACAAGTTCTTGAAGGAAATTAAAAATACTGTCCTGTGAACATACAAATGATAAGAAAACCAAGCAGCCTTATTGCTGATATGGAGAAACTTTCAGAGATACACATGAAAGATCAAACCAGCTACAACATTCCCTTAAGCCAAAGCCTAATCCAGAGTGAGGCCCAATTCTCTTCAATTCTATAAAAACAGAGAGGTGAGGAAGCTGCAGAAGAAAAGTTTGAAGCTAGCAGAGTTTGGTTCCTGAAGGTTAAGGAAAGAAGCCATCTTCGTAACATGAAAGTGCAAAGTGAAGCAGCAAGTACCGATGTAGAAACTGCAGCAAGTTATCCAGAAGATCTAGCTAAAATCACTGATGAAGGTGGCTATGATAAACAACAGATTTTCAGTGAAGACAAAACAGTATTCTATTGGAAGAAGATGTCAACTAGGACTTTCATAGCTAACGAGGAGAAGTCAATGCCTGACTTCAAAACTTCGAAGGACAGACTGACTCTTGTTAGGGGCTAATGCAGCTGGTTGAAGCCAATGCTCATTTCCCACTCTGAAGATCCTATGGCCCTTGAGAATTATGTTAAATCTAATCTTCCTGTACTTTACAAATGGAGCAAGAAAGTTTGAATGGTATAACTTCTGTTTAGAGCATAGTTGCTGAATATTTTAAGCCCACTGTTTAGACCTACTCTTCAAAAAAAGATCTCTTGCAAAATATTACTGCTCACTGACAATGTGCCTAGTCACCCAAGAGCTCTGATGAAGAAGTACAAGGAGAATAATGTTGTTTTCATGCCTGCTAACACAACATCCATTCTGTGGCTCATGAATCCAAAAGTAATTTCAATTTTCAAGTCTTACTATGTAAGAAATTTATTTTTGCCAGGTGCAGTGGCTCACACCTGTAATCATAGCACTTTGGGAGACTGAGGTGGGAGAATTGCTTGAGGCCAGGAGTTTGAGACCAGCGTAGGGACCATAGTGAGATCCTGTCTCTACTAAACTTAGCCAGGCATGGTGGCATGCACCTGTGGTCCTAGCTACTCAGGAGGCTCGGGTGGAAGGATCTTTTGAGCCCAGGAGGTCAAGGCTACAGTGAGCCATGATCGTGCACTTCAGCCGGGGTGACAGAGCAAGAACCTGTCTCAAAAAAATAATTAAATAAATAAAAATTCAAAATAAAAATAAAAGAAATTTATTTTCTAAGGCTATAGCTGTCATGGGTGGTGTGATTCTCTGATGAATATGGGAAAAATAAATCAAAAACTTTCTGGATAGGATTCACCATTCTAGATGCCATTAAGAACATTCATGATTCATGAGAAGAGGTCAAAAAACCAACATGAACAGGCGTTTGGAAGAAGTTGATTCCAACCCTCATGGATGATTTTGAAGAGTTCAAGATTTTAGTAGAGGAAGTAAATGCAGATGTGGTGGAAATAGCAAAAGAATGAGAATTGGAAGTGGAGCCTGACAATGTGACAGAATTGCTACAATCTCATGATAAAATTTGAATGGATGAAAAGTTGCTTCTTAGGGAAGAGCAAAGAAAGTGCTTTCTTAATACGGCATGTATTGATACTTCTCATGAAGATGCTATAAACATTGTTGAAATGACAAAAAAGGATTTAGAATATTCCATAAACTTAGTTGATAAAGCAGTAGGATGGTTTCAGAGGACTGACTCCAATTTTGGAAGAAGTTCTACTGTGGGTAAAATGCTATCAAACAGCATCTCATGCTAAAGAGAAATCTTTCATAAAAGGAAGAGTTGACTGATACAGCAAACTTCATTGTGGTCTTATTTTAAGAAATTGCTCCAGCCACCCCAGCCTTCAGCAACCACCACCCTGATCAGTCAGCAGCCATGGCTCAGATGATCATTAGCATTTCTTAGAAATAAAGCATTTTTCAATTCAGGTATTTACATTTTTTAGACATAAAGCTTTTGCACACTTAATAGACTATATCGTAAACATAACTTTTACAGGCAATGGGAAACCAAAAAATGTGTGTGTCATTCACTTTATTGTAATATTTTGTTATGGTGGTCTGGAACCTGAACCCACAATATCTGCAAGGTATGACTGTATTTAATCACAGTTTTGTTCATAGACATTTTGGTTTGAAATCAGAAAGTTATAAGCCTATTTTTGAATTGAACTGGGTTTTAATTTTTTATTTTTGTAACTTCAAACTTTTATTTCAGAAATATTTGGCTCTAGAAATGAGTCAGACATCTCATTTTAACTGAGACATTTTTGCCAAACAAAATGAAAAGAAAATATGAATATTCTCTCCTCTTGAAAGAGAGATGTTGCTACAGGCTCTGACTTTTTTGTTGCTGTTATAAGAATTACTTAAACACTTGTTAAGGGAGATTTAATAACGGAAATGAGGAGCAGAGTAATGGCCTTTCTCCATTAAAATTTTTATTTGCATTTTACAAGATGCACTTAATTATTTTACAACTGAAACTATTCTCTAAGGTCTTGGTCTGTACATAACGAAAAACTTCTAACCATGGAAGTGATGTTTCCCTGGGCTCTATAGTTAACCAAATCCTCTTGTTGATAGCAGTAGGAATCCTGTGAAATCCACTGGGAGATATGAGTGAGATGAGCTTCCCTATTGTATTATAGGTTTGCAACCAAGAAACCAATAATTCAGTTGTGATGCAGCCATACCCAGAGATATTTTCCTTCTTGAAAAAATCTCAAGTTTCAATTTGGAATTTTGTCAGTTTTAAAATACCAGCATTAGTACCATATTAAATTTGTTATCTTTACAGAACAATCTGGTCCCCATTAAAAGGTTGTTATTCTAAGATTCCTTTCCATAATAATCATAATTATGGCTCTAAATCCTTTATGTACATTATCTCTAACATTCATGATAATCTGGTAAAAGAGGTATTATTATATCCACTTTATAAAGCAGGACATCAGAACTCTAAAAGTCAGATGACTTGCCTAGGACCATAGTACTCAAATAAATGGTATAACATGGTTCCAAGTTCTTCCTGACTGGAATCCATATAGCCACCTTGAGGGTAGGAAGGAGGGTATGAGTTAGCATCACTTTTATTGAGCATTTACTATATGCTAGGCACTGGGCAGAGCACTTTACATACACTATCATTTTTTAATCTTCACAATGCCACAAGATAGATACTAGAATTATCTTCATCTTACAGGTTAGGAAATGAACTGAGGCTTCACCTGGTTCAGTAACCCAAGTCATAGATCTGGAAATACATGAAGCCAGATCTAAAGCCCTGATCCACCTGACTCCAAAACACAAATAAGACCAAATTTATACTTCCAACAAATAATTCTTCTCGAAAGATGACTTGCTTAGTCTCATGATGCCGCCATTGTTTAAAATTTTTCTAGAGTTCATCTTTTGAAATTGCCTTCTTAGAATCAGTTTGTGAACCACATAAGAAAAATTGTTCCCTTAAACCAACTTTATAATAATACTACATTCCAGATGACTTTTGGATTTTTCCAAAAATCAAATTTATCTCCAAAGGATAAAGATTTGATATTACTGAGACATTACTCCCTTAGGGGCATAATTTCTGTATGTTCTTTTAAAAATTAGTATCTCACAGCTCATGACGATCTCTCAGTCCCATTGTCCAACCAACCTCAGCCGCATTCCCACACTGTCCCTATCCCCGGACATATTTTCTGTGCATGCTCTCATGTGATAATTCACAGAAGAAAGTCAGACATCTCTGTATGAAAGGAGCATGAACCTGAAAGAAGAAAAAGAGAATGATTATTTAGGAGAATTCTTAATTCCCCAGAATTCTCTTCATGACAACTCAGAGCCTTTTCCCATAAATGAACATTTTAACCTGGTAAAACAGTCCTATTCCCCGGAAATGACAGATCACTTTCAATATTAGCCTCCATTTTGCCAAAACCTTCTCAAAGGGGCAGGTGAAGCTTGTGTATCTGTAGCCATTGAGCATTTTGATGAAAATTAGTATCATTTTGAAATTCCAAATCACTCATAGGATATCACTTTTGAGCTAAAATCCTACTAAGTTGGGGAGAGATTGGCATTTAAACAGATGTCAGCAGTGTTTGGGGAAATGTAAATTGAGGTACAGATGGTGACTGCTAGGGAGTTAAGAGCATCTGTGTTCTAGGAGAAAAAAACCATATTTGTGAAAAAAAATTTTAAATAATAACTGAAATTCCCAACTCGATTTTGAAAGAAGACAAGAATATATTCTCATTGGATGGCACTGTTTGATAAGTTTCTTATCATGTCAAAGATGACTTGAATTTCTGGATCCTGGATCTAAATTAGATTCAATATGGGGAATTATATCCCACATCTTCAGTAAGCCAAAATTAGAACTTCTACTACAAAAAGCACAACTAACTGAGGGTTAACATGGTCAAGTAACCCAAGTCATACATTTGAAATATATGAAGCCTAGATTTTGGATTCTTCTGTTTCAGTCAATTACATACCTCAATGTAAGCTGTAGGGAAAACATCAGTTATCTGTGATACAGCGGTTAAGAGCAGGGCTCTGGAGACAAAGAGACTGAGTTCAAATTCTAGCACTACCCCTTTGTAGCTATGTGACCTTGGGACACATTACTTAATTTCTCTAGGCCTCAGTTTCCTCATTTGTAAAATGAAGATAAAAATAATAATACCTAAATCCATAGGATTGTTTTGAGGATCAGAGCCACATGTGAAGCGCATAAAGCCTATGGTAAGCATCACTAAATGTTAGCTAGTATTAAAATAGGCTTTCTTTCTAATCCTAGGAGATCTATACAGGACTGGGTATCACTAACCTACTGTCTCCCCGGGTCCCCCATCCCCACCCCTATCATGACCTAGTGAGAACAACAACCTATAAATCTCAGAAACTGGGAAATCCATAGTTTGTGCAGATCACCAGGCTTTAACAAAGGTCCTTTGTTCTCCCTTCTAATGGGTCTCTAGAGATTTCCCATCAAAAGAATCAGTCACTCTGAATATGAACACCTACAAGTTTTTGTTTTGTTTTATTTTGTTACTGTTGGGTTTATTTTTGTTGTGGTCAAAAACACCTAACACAAAATTTCTCATCTCAACCATTTTTAACACTACATATTTGTAGTTTTTAGGTTAGTCCTTTTTGTGAGATGCAGAAACCTTTTCAGGTCGCCAGGATAATTCAGAAAGTTACATTTCTATTAATGTCATTAGCATTCTAGAAACCTAGTGTGCTAAAACACTTTTCCACTAAAAGATCTAATTTACAAGGCGGAGAAGACTGAATCAACATCTCTCTATTCTGTGTGTTTGTTTGTTTGTTTGTTTGCCCCTAAGGATTCTTATGCTCAGCTGCTCATATTAATCTAGTTTTTCAATGAGTTTTCCCCTTAAGGGAAAATCAAGAAACCAAAAGGTTAATCAATTCAGTCATATTAGGGAGCCATGTAGGAACCATATCAAAATCCAGACTCCCAGGTTACAGTTTAATGTGCTGTACATCTTCCTGATTGGAATGAGTTTATGCATTAGATACCATACACAAATGGATGCATTTAACTTACTTCGTTCACGGCATACCCGCAAACTCATTTACTGGATCCATAAGCACTTGTAAACATTGCTAATGGAGTTTGCTAAATGAATATTATAAACGTAATCCAAATGAGCTCTCCACGGAAATTGCAAATCATATGAAAAATATAGTGCATTTGGTTATAGCACATTTCAGGAACGGTATGTTTTAGTTAATTGTGGTAGTATATTATACATGGCTAAATGTCAGTACTAGCACCTAGAAAAAAAAATAACTCTTTCTGCTTGCTGAATACCATTCAACTGAGGATATTAAATATGATATAATCCATAAATCAAAGGTACTTTATTACTAAAGTAGATCTTTGTGGCTCACACTGTATCCCTGGGAGGAAGCTAGGGCTCTTAAAAAGATGTGCAAACTCCTTTGGGCTGTTAGAATTATCATTAGGATCCCTGAGACAGTTTTCAAAATGGTGCACCCTGGTGGCTTGAAATAGTTACTACATCTTTCAAAAGACATTCACATTGGGATTTGAATCAAAAGTTATGCTCTTTAATTAATAAAACTACAGAGGCAGTTTTAAACATATGGTAGTCTTTTTTTCTTTCTTCTTTTTCAAATACTGTCATATTTTCAATTATGTTTTCTATAATTTACGGTTACTTTATTTGAATGAAAATTCGGTTTTAAAGTCATCTCTTGCCCAAACTGGAAGCAAGCCATAATCTGAGACTTCTAAAAGTTTTCTCATCTTGATGATAATGTATTTCAGGCATTTGCAAACTAAAAACGCTATTCACAAATGGAAGTCTGATGCTTATAAGAGTTCAATCCTCTCACAATGTGAACTTTCATTCTTTTGTTTTATAGAGTGAGAGACTGAATATACAAATGGACAGTGGTCAGATCATATGTAAAAACAGAGCTTTGACTTCTAAAATGGAGTCATCTTCCCAGGAAACCAACCCATCATCAATAATAGCTGGCCTCCTATAAGTCAGACTTGTAGGAAATCAGACTGCTATCTCTGGTAACAATCCAGAAAGCCAAACAATTTCCTCTGGAACAGTCAGCCTCAAAAGGTCAGGACTTCATTAATAACCCACATCTTCTCTAATCTTTGTCACTGCTCCCAACTTAGGATCAACCACAAAAAGCTAAACATGCACCCCTAATAAATCACATCAGATGCCCTGCTTCTATTAATGGTTAGTTCATCTACAGCTTTCCAATGCCAATAGCCTCCAGTTAGGGCATACCTGAAGCTTTCCCTTTGTCTACTGTGAAGTTTCTCCACTTCTCTACCTGCCTTTGAGTCTCTGCCAAAACAAAAGTGACAGTGATTGTTGTAGCTGACTCCCTTTCTAAAGCAATCTCTGAATAAATGACCTTTGCTTGTTCTCATTTGGTTGGTCTTTGCTTATTTCTACAAGAACAACCCAGATAATGTTTTAGAGACCAAAGTAAATGCTAAAATACATTTTATCTGGCATATGGAAAGAACTGTTGGGATTTATATTCTGGTAGAGATTATCCTTTGAAGCGTTACAGAGCCTATATCATTCTGGAAGAAACTCTTCTTGAGATATACTTTTCATGTATATAAACAGATTTCCCAGGACAAGAAGGTATGAGCCAAGTTATTATACAGTATCATGAAACTTTCCCTTTTTTTTTTCTTTTTTTGAGACAGAGTCTCACTCTGTTGGCCAGGCTGGAGTGCAGTGGTGCTATCTTGGCTCACTGCAACCTCCACCTCCGGAGTTCAAGTGATTCTCCTGCCTCAGCCTCCTGAGTATCTAGGGATTACAGGCACCTGCCACCATGCCTGGCTGGTTTTTGTCTTTTTAGTAGAGACAGGGTTTCACCATGCCGGCCAGGCTGGTCTCAAACTCCTGACCTCAGGCGATCTGCCCGCCTCGGCCTCCCAAAGTGCTGGGATTACAGGCATGAGCCACTGGCGCCTGGCTGAAACTACTTCTTATTAGCTATTGTTTCTTAATACCCAGAGTAATATAGCCCAACTGGATTATTACTTTAGCTACCAAGTACTAGATTCACCTCTTTTTGAACTCATCTTGGACATTATTTCTCGGTTCCTCATTCAAAGCAAATACTAAACGTCGGAGGCTGTGTTTGTAAATGCAAAGATAATAATGAAAATGGACCCCCCAGCCTTCACCCCAGTCCCCAGTGCCCAGGATGGAAAAGCATTAGTGTGTGACCTTTCCCTTTTTTAAGTTTCATAATGCTGCTTTATTTTTACCTCATTTTTATTCTTTTCTAACTTGGGTGGAGTTCTTAGGCTAAATAGAAACTGGAAAACAACCTAAAACAATAACTTACCTTTGGTAGCTGAGGATGAAATGTGCTGAGTAAACAAATACTATGGCTAGTAAATCAGTATACCTACCAAACATTAATGCCCAAGTTTTAGAACAATAGGTCAAATGTTATTTATTCAGTTATACTAAATGTGTGTTTTTCTTTGTTTAGGTTTTTTTTCTAAATCTAAAAGTGTTTTAAGAATCATGCAGTGACCTGGAGTTATCATTATGAACATGAATTATCATTATATACATAAAGCATAAACATGCATTGATTTGGCCCAGATAAAAGGAGTTTTCCAGGGAGATATGCATTTTTTTCCCCAAAAGATGCCACCAACTTCTACTACTTTCAACAGGACTCAAGATACTATTTGGAGATAAAAATGCTTTGATTACCCAGGTCTGAGACTACAGCACAAAATGTGAGTGCTTATTTTCTCTTTAATGGGCATACCCCAGATGCTACTGAGAATCATAAATCTCTTTTACATCACTATAGGATTTTCATTACAGGAGATCTTTAAACATGACATAAAAATATTCCCTTCATAATGAAGCTTATCTTATATTTCCAATCAGTTTAGCAGACCTTCAGGGAATTTTTCTGTTTCTTCCATTCCATTTTTATGACGAGGTGGCTAAAACTCAACATAATATTCTAGACAAGGATATGCTGTCAATTTATATAATGGCACCTTAATATTGTCCACATTATTCTCACTCCTCTTCCAGTGGCTTATTTTTAGCACTGTTGCCCATTGAGCAAGGCTTATGATCTTTCTCTTGGAAGGTTATGGCTAATTCAATACCCATCACTGTGTATGATTAGCTTAAATTGTTCTTTCAGATGTGCATCACCTCACACTTGCCTGTTTCAGATTTCATCTTCATCATATTGTCCAATTACCTGGTTTTGTTAAGTCTTGCTGGAATCTCTTGTGGTCCTTATTGGACTGAAAATTTAGGGTCATTGAATAATATCACTCCTTTATTCACCTCATCTTATAAATGGTTAATAAATATATTCAACAACAAAGATCTTTTCTGGCACAGATCTCCAGGGCATTCAGCTATTAACCTCATTCTGCATCCACAACTGGACCCACCGCCATTCTCTCAGGGCTCCTTCCCCGTCTTTTTAATCCCTGGTCTGGCTTTTACCTCTGAGGCTACAATGAATGACAAAGTTTTCTTATCAGCTGCTTGGAAGGTAATTTATCAAAATGCCTGTATGGGTCAAAAAAGCTCATATGCACGTCTGGCAGTGTTCATGTGATCAAAACTTAAATGGCAACCAGCATACACAATACCGTAGCCCGAGTTACGCTGATGAGCCATTTTGTATGCTGCTCCCCCTTCTCTTTCTCTCTCTTTACTTCTTTCTTTTTGTTAGAGGAATAAAATGCTTACTTTCAGTTACTTATAAGCCCTCTGGGCTCCTCTTATTAGAGGAGTCGTTGGACCTACCATCTGCCCACTCTATCTCCTTATCTGTTTAAAATAGTAACTGGATTTGACTTGAAACTCACATGACTGTGAGGTGGTTTATGATTCACACAAAGTGCATTATTTATCTTTTCCTGTGGAAACTACACAACCTAAAGAAAAGAATAAGGTTTCAATGTCATCTCGAGAAAAGGAAAGGTTTTACATTGCCAAATGAGTCAATATGAGGAGTCAATTCAAAATTGATTCTTCTGAACATTGGCCAAAAAAGGAAATAAAGTATGTCTTAAAGGGTTGGTTATTCACTCCCATGGCATAGTTTAACTTATATACAACTTTCTAGCAAGACACCCTCAACTACAGGGACATCTGTGTGTGTGTGTGTGTGTGTGTGTGTGTGCGCGCGCGCGCGCGCGCGCGTTTGGCTCTGTATAAATGTGAATTCTTAATTTAAGTGCAATGTGCATTGCCACCTTATCATCCTAACTACACAGAATTTTATACTCTAGCTAAAACTAACATAACACTCTCCTGCATCACCCCCAGATAAGTTCCAAAATGCCTCCTCAGAGCTCTAAGGTAAGTGGTATCTCATTTAAGGTAGGTGGTATCTCATTTCAACTTACAGTTTGAAATCACATAAATAGTGACAGATTCCATTTACCTTTCAGATTCTAGCAGCAGTTAAAAGAACCAAGAGGAAGAAGTGGTTATCTGGACAGGGCACTCATTTCAAAACATGTATTACATTTTCAAAGATCCTAAAATTGCTGATGATAAACCACTTAATGGCACAAACTCTCTCTTCACCAAGAGCATTTTTTGCTGCCCTCGTTGCCACCCTGTAAAACAAAATGTGGGGGAACAATCGTAAGGCTGCCCTTTTAAATCAGAAAAATCATACAGAGCAAGAGCAGATAAAGTAATAACATCTCAGTGGGAAAAGTTACATTCCACAGGTCTCAAATCCCATTCCAAACTTAAAATTGAGAGTTGTTTCATACCCAGATAATTTGCAGATTCAGACTAATGTGTGCCTGCTATTTCAAAGCTGGTATGTTGTGAAGTCTTCCTTAATATCTAGTACATTTATGATGGTTTTGGAGAAATTATCATCCAGCACTGGCATTGCCACTGCTAGCATAAATCAAGTAGTTTGGGGTTGTGCAAAGTGGGGGTAAAATCATATCAAGCCAAACAACAGATGCCAAAAGAAGGTGAACATCTCAGAGGTGAATAATAACTTGAGGGGAGATATCATGTCTTCACTTAAATCTTTCACAGCTTTTTAGTTCCAGGCATTTGGTTCAACCATCAGCTGTTTCACTGAGTTAGACAAGCCTGTGCTGCGTTCTGGTTTGGCTATGCATTTATTCAGTCAACAAAGATTGTTTACTGCCACTGTATGGCATTACTCACGATACATATGAGTATAAAAGTGAAAACAAGTGTCAGAACTTAATAAATGTCTCCTCTCAGGGCTCCACCTTGTCTAGGTTTCCTCATCCTAATTTTCTTTTGACATTGTATGATTTTAAGATATCATAAAGATGACAGCAGCAGGGGACAATTTTATCCCCACTTTGCACAACCCCAAACTACTTGATTTATGCTAGTGGTGGCAATGCTAGTGCTAGATGATAATTTCTCCAAAACCATCATAAATGTGCTAGATATTAAGGAAGACTTCACAACATACCAGCTTTGAAATAGCAGGCACACATTAGTCTGAATCTACAAATTATCTAGGTATGAAATTGAACTCTCAATTTTAGGTTTGGAAGGGGATTTTAAGATATCATTAAGATATCATCTGAAGATTGTTACCATACAAAGAACAGTGGGAAAACCCCTTATTTTATATATTTGCATTTTTCTTGCCTTCTACACTTCTTTTATAGAGCATGTAGTCATGCTAACTGAAGCACCAGAGTGTAGCATGCAACAACATGGACAACATGTCTGAATTTGGTTAAGCCCACAAAGCTTGAACAATCATTCAAGATATTCACCTAAAGACCTGGCTAATGTTACCCATTCTTGGCATCAAAATCTGTGAAATGATCACCTCTAGTAAATTTCTATTTTTAAATCTATTGAGTGAAGTGAAAAGCGTTTCACTATCAGTACCTTATTCTTTAATTATAAAGCGCTATTGAGTTTCAGTTATCATCTCAAAGAGATGGAGGAAAAGGGAAATAAGTTCTAAGTTAATACTTTCCATGTTGCTGGTGGGCCAGGGAGGAGGAGGTGAATTCATTTTCCATATGTGATAATATATTTTAGCAGAAATCCTTTGTTTCATTTTCGTTTTTAATTTGAATTGACAGCATAAACAATAGCCTGGATTCCTGCTTCCTGCTAAGCTATTTATTTTTGTAAGACCTATGTTGTCATATTAAGACTCTTTAATTTTTTTCTGATTACTCAATAAATCTCTGGTACTGACGGAATTCATGCCATTTATTCCTATACATCACAAATTAGTTGATTATATAATATTAACATATAAATGATAGTATTTTAATTTTGTGTGTGTGTGTGTGTGACAGAGTCTTGTTCCATCGCCCAGGCTGGAGGGCAGTGGCACGATCTCGGCTCACTGCAACCTCCACCTCCCGGGTTCAAGCGATTCTCCTGCCTCAGCCTCCTAGGTAGCTGGGATTACAGGCGCCGCCACCACATCCGCTAACTTTTGTATTTTTAGTAGAGACGGGGTTTTACTATGTTGGTCAGGCTGGTCTGGAACTCTTGACCTCGTGACCCACCTACCTCAGCCTCCCAGAGTGCTGGGAATACGGGCGTGAGCCATTGCGCTCGGCCAGTATTTTAACTTTTATGAAAAATGCTTCCAATGTTTTCCAAACATTAAGATATATCGGCCTGGCTTGGTGGCTCACGCCTGTAATCCCAGCACTTTGGGAGGCCGAGGGAGGGGGGGGGTGGGTCACCTGAGGTTAGGAGGTCGAGCCCAACCTGGCCAACATGGTGAAACCCTGTCTCTACTGAAAACACAAAAATTAGCCAGGCGTGGTGGCGGGCGCCTGTAATCTCAGCTACTCGGGAGGCTGAGGTGGGAGAATTGCTGGAACCCGGGAGACGGAGGTTGCAGTGAACCAAGATCGCACCATTACACTCCGACCCGGGACAACAACAGTGAGACTCCATCTCAAAAAAAAAAAAAAATAATAATAATAATAAATAAAAGATATATCACTACTCGCAAAGTCTTAACTAAGATTGTTCCCTACATTGAAGCCACTATTTTCTCGCTGATAATCACGCTCTCAAAGCCCTAAAGGGTTGCACAAATTGTTACTCCCCATTATCTCTTTCTTAATATCTGGCCATTTATTTTTATCATCATCTCTGTCTTAAAAATTCAGCTGTCTGAGTTTTCTTTTTAACCTTTTCCAATCAACAGTACCTCCCAAAAATGAGGAATAAGGAGAAAGAGGAAAAGAAGCAAAAATAGAAGAAAAGTTTTGAAAGTTTGTTTCTAGTGGCTTTGATGAGCAGTTAAAAATAACCAACTTTGTGCTTTTGAATTTGCTGGCGTTGCTTGACAAGAATGGGTGGGGGCCCAGGAAGCAGTCGTTGGACCTCTGGCTCTCTGCTCATCTGTTACTGTATTTACCCAGAGAGTGCTAAAGCAACATCGCTGAATACTTGGTCACAACCTCTTTCCTGTTCTTCTTGTTCTACTGCCTCAATTTGGCCTCAGAAAAAGTGAGGGAAAAGAGGAATTAAGAAGTACAAAATGGGGGGCGGGGAGATCCCCGCCCCATGGAATGGATCTTTGCCCTTTAAATATCCCATAAAGAGTTTTGGTTATCATACTTTGCAATCCTATTCAGTCCTTCAAAAATTTACTTTCAAAGAAAGATGTAAGCCCATAGAAAAGCATTCCACCTGATTCCCAGAACTTAGCACAAATTCTGGCATAATCCAGTCTTAGAAAAAATAATATAAAGAAGTATACAAGAGCTCAAATATAATATGAAATTGTAATAATACAAATGATATCAACAGGTTCTCCATGCTAAGTGCTTCAGAAATGCATCATTCTTTTTCTAAAGCTCTGTGGAGCTGAGACAAAATTCTTCCCCAAAACAGCAGAAAAAGTGAATGATGACTAACTAGAGTCATTTGCTCCCAATTTTCTGACCAGCCTGTGCTGTGTAGGAGCCCTGCCTCACTCCCACCTTTGGTGTTTGGGTCAAGACTCTGCAGGCAAGCCCTGTTATCTAGAAACCATATCTTAAGGTGTCAAGTGTCATAAAGCTGACCAACTTATAATCCTGTATTTGTCTCTCAAACACCCTTGGTTTTATCATGCATGGAAGCCATCTCACAAACAGCAAAGCAGAGAGGAATAAAGGTTTTTAAATATATATACAAAGCAGAGAGGAATAAAGGTTTTTAAATATATATATATATAATCAGGCCACATTGAAAGAGCTAAACACTGGACACTTAAGCAGCAAAAATCAGTGTGATATGTACAATAACAAGAGTAACTGCAAAACAAAAGTGTGTTTGTTCAATGACCCCACTCTAAATAATCCTACTCTCTAAAGTTGCAAATAAAGAATAAATAAGACTATGTGCCATGTTCTCCTTTATTCTTGATGCTGTCCAGAATAGGTAAATTGTCCTGTTTTAAAGTCGGGTCTCTTACTAAAAAAGCCAAGGTCTCAATGCAGGATTGACGGTAGTCACACGAAGTTAAGGGGTTGGTTGATACCTGGTAAAGATTATGTGAGCTGGGCCATCAAGTTAGTTTATTTCAAAGACCCCCAAATATGTGGTCTGTCCTCAAAAAAATAAACATTTTTAAAACCAAAATTGTATAAAATATACACCGAATACAAGTTAAACTAAGGAAGAACAATAGTGACATTAACTATGCCATCAGCCCAGACACTCACCCACAGAGCTAGAATCTTCTGAGCTCATTTTAATGACTGTTAAGTCTTTCACTAAAGCTTCAATACATCAAATATATTCATTATCTTCCAGGTTTTCAGGAGCTAATTACTAACGTGATCTTCTCCTGAAATACTGTGCTTTTAAGTTAAAACAGACAAATTCAGTGCAACATAAGCTGGTTCTGTGGAGGTTATCTCAATGCTCTGAAATTCTTACTCATCTGCTTTGGCTATGTAAGTGGTGACCCAGTGCCCTTATCTGGGTCATCATTTCACAAAAAGCCAACTTAGTTACTTGATTTAAAAAAAGAAATTCAAGTACAGAGTCTGAATAGTAAATATTTCTATTCGAAGTGTGAACACAAACATGTTTCCTTAACAGTTTATCCACTGGGAAATATTTTTAGAGATGGGTGATGCTGTTCTTTCTCTAAGTGCTCCTAGAGCAAAAATGTGTGTGACTTATTTCTAAACTCAAGAAATGGCATTAATTGAAAACCCAGGTGCCACAAACCTGACGAAGCTAAACGGTGCTTCCAGTGCACCTTGTTTTCTGTGTTTTCTCCTCCACTAGCTGTTCTGGCCTAAATCGAGTCCCTCGGACTTCCTTTGTTGTCTGCTGCTTTCATTACATGTTACACCATAGATTAGCCCAGATCATTGTCCATCTAAACCCAGAGCAATTTTAATTGAAAGAAAAAGAGCATTCGAAAGTTGAACATTAAGACTTTAAAAGTCACAAAGTAATAATAGTGAAATATCTCATTTCCTTCCGTTGCTGGATTCTTGGTGAAACTGATTGTTGTGGTATGTTGGTGCTTTCTGATTTGGAAGATGAAAATGTCAGAAATCTAAGCATCTAAGAAGTAGCTACTTAAAATAGCTAGTTGGGAGAAAACCAGCCAGAGGAGTTTAAAAAAAAAGTATAAAAGCAAGAGCCTATTGTTTCATTAAGAAAACAACAAAGATATCTAAAATCTGAATGAGAAAATATTTAATGAACAAAGAAATATACTTTATTAGCTATAAAACTAAATTAAGTCTCTCAGGTTTTAACTATAATTTCCCTATGATGACAGGATTAGGGGTCTGGGGAAGACACCAAACTGGGCCTCACATATGCCATCTCGGCAAAGAAACAGAGGAGACACACCACAGCAAAGTGAATCATGATGTCTGTCTTCATGATAGCTATATTGTGTCACATATTTAATACACTGAGCTCCCCCAAGGAAATAAAAACACTTTCTGCTTCAATTAACTGACTTTTTTTTCTTTTTTTTGAGACAGGGTTTTGCTCTGTCACCCAGGCTGGAGTGCAGTGGTATGATCTTGGCTCACTGCAACCTCTGCCTCCCAGGTTCAAGCGATTCTCCTGCCTCCGCCTCCCAAGTAGCTGGGATTACAGGTGCACACCACCACAACCAGCTAATTTTTGTATTTTTAGTAGAGACAGGGTTTCACCATGTTGGCCAGGCTGGTCTTGAACTCCTGGCCTCAACTGATCTGCCCACCTCAGCCTCCCAAAGTGCTGGGATTACAGGCATGAACCATAGTGCCTGGCCCCAGTTAACTGACTTTTAAGAATAATGAGAACTAAAACTTTTTTCTCAAATAAATATGTATAACTTTAAGGACTTTGGCACTTTCAAAAACTTCCCAGAGTCAAAAGAAAATAAAAATTTTAAATATTTTAGTATTTCTGTTGTTTCAGAAAGGAAGTGCTGTCTTAATGGACTTGATATCGTCATCTCCTCCCACAGCTCCCCAGGGTAGAGACTGTTTTATACAGTAGCTATTCTGCTCAAAGCTTGTCAGAAGCAGGTCCAGGACCAGGATCCAGATGTATTTCCTGCTATGATTTAATATTACATTTCAGGCAATAAGTGCCTAAAGCAATTGGTTTCTCCACTATAGGAGAAACAGAAGAAAACCCTAGTGAGAATATTTGCATGTGCTATTGTAATAGTAAAAGTGACAGTAATGTGAGTGTGTTTATTAGAGTACACCAAACTGGAATCTACTAATTTTTTGTCATTTGATTCTGGGTGGACAGTATATTCTGCCTTATTGTAACATTAAACCCTGTCATGCCGGACCCCTATTAACTTCAGCAGGAATGGCACAAGGTTCAAGAGGCCAAAGAGGAGACCTGGAACCAGAAAATGAGACATAGGGTTTTATTAGCAGGAAACTTACCTCCAGGAACAGTCCAGTGGCAGCGAGCTGGATAGCAGAACCTCATGGCCCAGTGGCAGCAGGCTGGGCAAGAGAACCGCAACTGCTTGCTAAAAGCATGCAGTTTATACAGCATTTTCACTTAGCACCCTTTCCCTAACAACCTCCAGCCAGCAACCTTCATCCAACCCCAAACAAAGGGCCCCAGTTCCCCACATGGCCTGCGTTCTGCGGGACAGACCATGGGTCCAGATGTTTATCATAGACAAGGAATGAATCTCTGGGTTGGCTAATCCTGGACTCCTCTGCTCAGAATTCCAAACACACATTCAGGTGTGCCTGCCATACAGGGTCATCTAGGATATGCTTAAGTTACTGCTATCAGGTGCATCTCCCATACAGACACATCATCCTATTACCTACATAATACCAAACAGACACTAAATCAATGAAATGAATTCAAGTAAGAATCTATTCTAATCCTCCCTGGACAGTAATGTGATGGATTTAGAGAAGGGCAGGGCTACTTTTCAACAGTTTTTACCATCTCAAGTGTGACTACCACTGGCTCACGGTACCAGCAAGGAATACAGCGTTGTTTGGGGAAGAACACATTCAAATAGTTCTACCATCTTTAAAACATGCCATTTTGCTGATAGGTATCTGAAAGATGAACAAGGTGTGTATTGAGAGAATGAACTCACCTGCCTTATATTTTGGACTTCATTGGTCTTTTCTGAGCTCCTGTTATTTAATCAATTTTCTTTTTCTTTTTCTTTTTTCACACAGTGCTTACAATTAGCTTTTTTATTTTTTCATGTTTATTCAACTTTCATTTTAGGTTTAGGGAATATATGTGAGGGTTTGTTATCTGGGTCTACTGTGTGATGCTGAGGTTTGGGATACAAATGACCCCATTACCCATATATTGAGCATAGTAGCCAATAGTTTTTCAACTCTTGCTCCCTCCTTCCTTCGCCTCTCTAGTAGTCCCCAGTTTCTACTGTTGCCCTCTTTATGTCCATGAGTACCCAGTGTTTAGATCAACTTACAAGTGAGAACATGCAGTATTGGTTTTCTGTTCCTGTGTTAACTCACTTAGAATAATGGCCTCCAGCTACATCCATGTTGCTGCAAAGAACATGATTTCATTCGTTTTTATGGATGCATAATAGTCCATGGTGTATATGTATCACATTTTCTTTATCCAATCCACCATTGATGGACACTTAGGTTGATTCCATATCTTTGCTATTGTGACTAGTGCTGCAATGAACATAAGAGCGCACATATCTTTTTGGTAAAACAATTTGTTTTCTTTTGGACATATACCCAGCAATGGGATTGCTGAGTCGAATGATAGTTCTGTTTGAAGTTTTTTCAGAAATCTCCAAACTGCTTTCCACAGTGACTGAACCAATTTACATTTCCACCAACCACATATACACATTCCCTTTTCTCCACAGCCTCACCAGTATCTGTTGGTTTTTGACTTTTTGGTAGTAGCCATTGTGACTGGTGTGAGGTGGTATTTCGTTGTTGTTTTGATTTGCATTTCTGTGATGATTAGTGATGTTGAGCATTTTTTCATATGCTTACTGGCCACTTGTATGTCTTTTTGGAGATGTGTTTGTTCATGTATTTTGTCCATTTTTTAACAGGGCTGTTTTTTGCTTGTTCAACTGTTGAAGTTCCTTATATATTCTTGGATGCATAATTTGCAAATATTTTCTCCCATTCTATAAGTTGTCTGTTTACTCTGTTGATAGTTTCTTTCGCTGTGCAGAAGCTGTTTAGTTTAGTTAGATTCTACTTGTCAATTTTTGTTTTTATTGCAATTGTTTTTGGGGACTTAGTCCTAAATTCTTTGCCATGGCTGAGGTCAGAATGGTGTTTCCAAGGTTTTTTCCTATAATTCTTATAGTTTGAGGTCTTACATTTAAATCTTTAATCCATTTTGATTAATTTGTATATATGGTGAAAGGTAAGGGTCCAGCTTCATTCTTCTGCATATCACTAGCCAGCTATTCCCAGCTATTCCAGCACCATTTATTGAATAGGATTTCCTTTCCCTGATGCTTATTTTTGTCAGTTTTATCAAAGGTCAGATGGCTATAGATGTGCAGTTTTATTTCTGGGTTCCCTATTCTGTTCCATTGGTCTACATATCTGTTTCTGTACCTGTAGCTGTTTGGGTTACTGTAGACTTATAGTAGTTTGAAGTCAGGTAATGTAATACCTCTGGCTGTGTTCTTTTTGCCTAATATTCCTTTGGCTGTTTGGGCTCTTTTTTTTTTTTTTTTTTTTTTTTTGTTCCATGTGAATTTTAGAATAGCTTTTCTAGTGCTGTGAAAAATGACATTTGTAGTTTGATAAGAATAGCATTGAATCTGTAGATTGCTTTGGGCAGTATGGCCATTTTAATGATATTGATTCTTTCAGTCCATGAGCATGGAATGTTTTTGCATTTGTTTGTGTCATCTATGATTTCTTTTAGCAGTGTTTTGTAGTTCTCCTTGTAAAGATCTTTCACCTCCTTGGTTAGATGTATTCCTAGGTTGTGTGTGTGTGTGTGTGTGTGTATGTGTGTGTGTGTGTCTACTGTAAATGGGATTATGTTCTTGTTTTGGCATTCAGCTTGAACATTATCAGTATATAAAAATGCTACTGATTTTTTGAACACTGGTTTTGTATCCTGAAACTTTACTAAAGTCGCGTACCAGTTCCGGGAGACTTTTGGCAGACTCTTTAAAGTTTTCTAGGTATAGAATCATATCATTCACAAAGAGAGATAGTTTGACTTCTTTTCTTATTTGGATGCTTTTCTTTTTTTTTTTTTTTTTTGAGACGGAGTCTCGCTCTGTCACCCGGGCTGGAGTGCAGTGGCATGATCATGGCTCACAGTAGTCTTGACCTCCCATCCTCCCACCTCTCAGCCTCCCAAGTAGCTGGGACTACAATAAGTAGCTGAGCGCCACCATGACTAATTTTTTTTTTTCATAGAGATGGGGTTTCATCATGTTGCCCAGGCTGGTCTCAAACTCCTGGGCTCAAGCAATCCACCTGCCTCAGACTCTGGATGCCTTTTAATTCCTTCTCTTGCCTGATTACTCTGACTAGGACTTCCAGTACTATATTGAACAGGAGTGGTGAGAATGGGCAGCCTTGTCTTGTTCTAGTTCTCAGGGGAAATGTTTCCAGCTTTTTCCAATTCATTATGATGTTGGCTGTAGGTTTGTCATAGACAGCTCTTATTTTGAGGTAGGTTCCTTCAATGCCTAGTTCCTTGAGGGTTTTATCATGAAGGGATACTGGATTTTGTCAAAAGCTTTTTCTGCATCAATTGAGATGATCATATGGTTTTTGTTTTTAATTCTGTTTATATGGTGAATCACATTTATCAATTTGCATATGTTGAAATAACCTTGCATTCAAGGAATTAAGCCTACTGGGTCATGGTGAATTAACTTTTTGATGTGCTGTTGGATTCAGTTTGCTAGTATTTTGTTGATGATTTTTGCATCTATGTTCATCAGAGATAGTGGCCTCTAGTTTTCTTTCTTCCCTGTGTCATTTCCGGCTTTTGGCATTAGGGTGATCCTGGCTTTGTAGAATGAGTTACAGAGCAGCCGCTCCTCCTCAATTTTTTGCAATCGTTTCAGTAGAATTGCTACCAGCTCTTCTTTGTATGTCTGGTACAATTTGGCTGTGAATCCATCTGATCCAGAGCTTTTTTTTTTTTGGTTAGTAGGCTTTTTACTGCTGATTCAAGTTTGGAATTTGATATTGGTCTGTTCATGGTTTCAATTTCTTCCTGATTCAATCTTGGGAGATTGTGTGTTTCCATAAACGTATCCATTTCCTTTAGGTTTTCTAATTTGTGTGCATAGAGGTGTTCATAAACTCTCTGAGGATGTTTTGTATTACTGTGGGATCAGTTGTAATGTCACCTTTGTCATTTCTGATCGTGCTTATTTGAGTCTTCCCTTTTTTCTTTGTTAATCTAGTTAGTGATCTATCAATCTTGTTTATCCTTTCAAAGAACCAACTTTTGATTTCATTGATTCTTTTTATAAATCTTTGCATCTCAATTTCATTCAGTTCTTCTCCAATTTTAATTATTTCATTTCTTCTGCTAGCTTTGGGGTTAGTTTGTTCTGGTTTTTCTAATTCCTTCCGGTGCAATGTTAGATTGTGAATTTGAGATCTTTCTAACTTTTTAAGGTAGACATTTAATGCTATAAGCTTTTCTCCTAACACTGCTTTTGCTCCATCCCAGAGATTTTAGTATGTTGTGTCTCTGTTTTCATTTACTTCTGCCTTAATTTTGTTGTTTACCCAAAAGTCATTTAGGATCAAGTTGTTTAATTTCCATGCAACTGTGTGGTTTTGAGAGTAATGCCCTTATCTGTCCTTTTTTACTTTTTGTTGTTGGTTTAAAGTCAGTTTCATCTGATATAAGAAGACCAGCCCTTGCCCTTTTTTGTTTTCCATTTGCATGATAGATCTTTCTCCAACACTTTACTTTGAGCCTATGGATTGTTACATGTGAGATGGGTCTCTTGCAAATAGCAGACACATGGGTCTTTTTTTCTATCCAACTGACACTCTGTGCCTTTTAAGTGGGATGGTTAGACCATTTACATTCAAAGTAAATATTGACACATGAGGCTTTGATCGTATCATGAACTTGTTAGCTGGTTGCTTTATAGTTTCTATTATGTGGTTGCTTAAAGAGTTGGTGGGCTATGTACTTAAGTATATTTTTGTGGTAGCAGATATCATTCTTGTTTCCATGTTTAGAACACCCTTAAGGATCTCTTATAGGCCTGGTCTAGTGGTAATAAATTCCCTTAGCACTTGCTGGCTTAGAAGAATTTTTATTTCTCTTTTGCTTATGAAGCTTAGTTTGGGGGGGTAAGAAATTCCTGGTTGGAATTTCTTTTATTTAAGAATGCTTAAGATAGGCCCCCAGTATCTCCTGGCTTGTAAGATTTCTGCTGAGTCAATTTTCTTTTTGAAGACATTAAGTAATATACTTTTCAAATTAATCCTTTTCCCTAAAAAGTCAAAGCTGGTGTTCATACAGTTCACACCAGTATAGTCATGCCAGTTATACACAACTGACAACCATTCTGATTAGTCAGAATTAGTGCCTGTGTTGATCGGTTGGTGAATATTTTGAATATCATCCCTCCCTACCCAAAGTTAGTATGTATGCTTACTTTTTGTTGTTTCTATTCATTGTTGGGCCAGATGGATCTGATAGGAAAGCCTGAATTTACTTTTAACTACTTAGATTTTAATCCAAGTTCCACAGTTTAACTAGTTTTGTGACTAATTTCTGGAGATTAATTTTCTCATCTGTAAAATAAAGATAATAACATATGTCATTATATATATATATATAATGGGTTTATTGAGAAGATAAATTTAATTCATGAAGAGTGCTTTGATCAGTACTGATTCACAGTAAAATGTTGCATTATTGGTAGCTATTATTAGGCATTTAAAGGCCTAACCTCTAACTGCACTCTTCTCACATACTTTCAACATTCTTCTCCTGAAAAAATAAAGGAAGGGAGGGATTAAGATTAATTCATAAGCATTGTAGATTATCTGACACAAAAAAGGACAGAAAAAGGAGACAGAAAAATATAATTTTAAGACAACCTCTTCGAGCTCAAGACAGACTTCCTAAACAGACATCACCTGCCTAGAAAGAAGTTACAAATATCAAGTGAGTTCAAACACAGTATATAATATACTTTCAAATATTTCATGCCATGTGGATTGATTTGTATTTTGTGAGAATATCCTTTAATCTTGTATTTATTTAATGTTTATATAACACAATTCCTTAAGAAATTTGTAAGCTAGTTTCTTCCTTTCTGTAATATATTTCATCTGGGTTAAATAATAATTAGCATTTATTGAATGTTTATGAAGTATCAGGCACTATTCTAGGTGCTTTGTGCATATTAACTATCTTAATGCTCCCAACAAACCTATGTGGTATAAGTACTATTATTATTTCCATCTTCCAGAAGACTAAGCTAATCCATAGAAATGTCTTTAAATTTATATAGATTATACACCTAACAATGATGAACCTGAGATTTGACCTAACATCTGGCTGTAGAGCTCTGGCTATCAGCCATTCTACTATACAGCTTCTTTTCTGGATGCAACATATGTAAAATTTCCTACTCTCTTTTATAGATGTGATTATTTCGGATGTTAAATAACAATTGAATTAACAATTGGACCCAAATCCACACCTACCATTTGCCACTTCCTGCATAGGTCATTCCAAAAGTGTTTTGAATTAAATTGAATATAAAAGTCTTTGAAATAAATTTTGGAAATAAGAGTTGACCAAGTAAATTCAAGAAAGGATACACTCAAAAAGGAATGGACCTTGATCAAGCAAGGTATGTTTTGTTAGTTTACTAGTGATGTCCAAAAAACCATTACAAATGATATTTGGATCCACCTGTTTCAGATAGATCCCTATACCAATAACTCTCAGTTTTATTTTTTAAATAATATTGGTTTAGGTTAGAAAAATAATCTATGATATTCATGGACATATAGGAAACATGAAAAAGCACAAAGGAGAAACTAAAAATCCGCCATTATCCTACCTCCCCAAAATAGTCATTCTTAATAATTGAGTTCTGTTAACTTACAGTTTTCTAGGGAACAAAAATATTACTTCATTAAGAATCTTATTAATAATTATATAATGACAGCATTTTCAATTATTGATAATTGAGGAGACTTGAATCCACAGTAACCATGGAAAGCAGTTTGGAGATTTCTGAAAGAACTTAAAACAGAGCTACCATTTGACCCAACAATTCCATTACTTGGTATATGTCCAAAAGAAAACAAATTGTTCTATCAACATAAAATGTTATCCATAAAAAGAATGAAATCATGTTCTTTGCACCAACATGGATGCAGCTGGAGGCCATTATCCTTAATGAATTAACACTTAGGTCTAAGAAATAATTAATGTATTCATAAATATACATATGCAACAAAGTATAAATAATACATAGGCATAACTAGGAATATGGGCTTTAGAATCATGCATTCAAACCGCTGGCTATATCCTTGCCAAAGTATATAACTTTGGTCAAAATAAGTAAGTTGTCTATGCCTCAGTTTCCTTGTCTATAAAGTAGAAATAATCAACTGTATGTTGTGGGCCTTTTGGGAGACATTAGAAGAAAAGATATATAGAAAACTCTTAAAGCCATTCCTGGCACATCAGGGCACTTAATACATTTAATTCTCCCCTTTTCTTCCTCTCTATGCTTTTGGGTTAGGAGCACATTTATCTCTTCAACAGTAAATGACATTTGTTTACTTATTTATTTATCTAGCTAGTAATAGTGGGTTCAGTGAATATTGAACTCAACTCAAGCATGGGTGGTCTTTACCAAAGATTTATTTACGCTGATTTTGCTTAGTTTCACAATCATTCGTAACATGTCATAATATGACAGTATGCATTTAAACTTGAACAACTCTCAAGTATATAACTGATGACTTTGACTTTAATTAGAATTATTGATCTAAACCTTCTGTGTCAAGCCCAGCAACAGTCAGCTCTTTGCTGAACATGTCAGCTGGTTAGGATGAAGAAATTAGGAAATTAGGGAAAACAATTTTTTTCTTCAAAATCTCAGGTGGGCTGCAACCCAATTTAAGATGGGATTAATTTGGTCACAGATCATATGTTGGACAGCCACGGTTTAAAAAAATTATTTGCCTGGAATGACTAGTTAGTATCTATCATGACTCTGCATTAAACATATTCTTCTTTGACCTCTTAGATCTGTTAGGATCCAAGATTTCCCTCTCTGTTTCATACTGGTTGGTATCTGGCAGTTTTTGTGTCAGAATTGCCTCCCTGATTGCAGAGTTCTCAAGCACTCTGCCTGAAATTACTCAAATTTGGAATTATAAGGGTTTTCCACAACTACACAGATTTGGTCAGCCATATTCCTATTATTCTGACAATTTCTGATCCTATTTACTATTACACAAATTCTTGTAACATGGGAAATTCTAGAGGCATGACACTCTTTGAGTATAAACTTACATCTTGATTTTATATATAAAATATCTCCTTTTGCCAGTGAATGTAGGTGCCACTGTGAAAAGATTATATTATTTTTCCCTGCTTTAAATGGGGACAAAATGAGTCTAAGCTGTTTCCTGGAAGATTCTTCTCTGTTACTCAACTTTCCTCTAGAATTATTTCTTTCCGTTTCTGTCAAATATCTCCCCCAACTCTCAGTTGCAGCAGTTAAGGTTAAAGCTTGTTCTTTGTGTGAGTTTGTGCCTCATGTGAGTTTGTTATTTAATATACGTATATGTATATGTGCATACATGCACATACAATAAAATACATATTTTAAATGTATATATATATTTATTATTTGTGAGGTACATGTGCGCTAATCTTACCTTAAGAAACAGTATCATTCAACTTAAACGATGGCAAAATTGATTTTCTAATTAAATCACTGCATGTTGTTTTCTCAGCAGCTCTGCTCTCATCTGAATCCCTTGCTCTCCTCAGTCCCACGCACCATCCATAGCTTGTTCTCTTCCTTCCCACTGTGCTGTCTTCTATCAACCAGAGCAGTCAAATCAACCCTTAGAGTGTTCTTAAAAGCACCATATGCCCAACAGAAGAGCACTTGAATTACTCTGTATACCAGAACCTGCTGTACATCACAACAGATTATTAACAGAGACCAAAAACTAGGACACTGTGTGATCTTATAACCCATCTGAAACTACCACCTGAGAGCACTTCTTGGTCCATTTATTGTATTTCCCAGAATCTCATTTCTACCAACTAAATTAGTCAGACACTTACAGGCAACTTGGATGCAAATGACTTCTGACCTAAAGCTTAGCCATCCTGCTCCTTTCTTTATAGGCATCACATATATTTTTAAAAAAAGAGTACTCCTTAGCAAGCTGCCTTCTCCAGAATGAAGAAAAGCAATAAAAACAAAGAAATTTTTCTAAGTAACTGACTTGAGCGTCTTTCTTTGTGGAGTTTCCCATAATAAAAGAAGGAGAATGACAGGGTCGAGATAATTTGTTTAAGAACACAGGCAAATAGCATGTAGTTTTTTCTTTTTTAATACATAAATGCTTCTGATAGCTTTATTTAGTTTTCTGATTTGCATTTTCTATTCAAGGCCAAGTCCTGCCTTGTGAAAATTTTTCAGATTGCCTCGCCTCCATTGCGCTATTTAACTTCCCCAGAGTTAAAAACTGTATCTTTTTCATGGAGGCCTGACAGCAGCCTAAAGAAGGCTGTGTTTCATTACCACATCAAATGATTTGGGGTCAGAAAAACTAGGTAGCCTCCCTCCAGCCTTACGTTCCTCCAGAAGAAAGACACTTTGAAAGAATACAGGAATGACAATCTATTCTTAATGACATTACCCTACAAGGCAAAGTATGTGATAAAGTGACCTTACATGGTATAACCTACGTAAATGCAGTTGAGTCTTGTGAGATGTGGCAGGTGAGAGGAATATAAGAAGTTTTACATGATGACACCAAAGGGAGAAGGCAGGATAGGAGATGATCACTTGAAGCAGCATTGGGAGGAATGGTTGCATGTGGACACAAATATGGGGATGGGCTTACTTCAAAGAGAGAGACTGTGGAATATTACAACTTCATGGCCATGCTCTTATACATACACATTTTTCCTAAAAAATATATATATCAATAGAGATGTATAGTTAATCTAAAATGATTCTTAAACTGTAGTATCTAAAATAGACACTGCAATGTAAAATAGATTAAAACTCACACATCAAAGTTGCAAAAGTCATTCAACTGTCCCTCTGCCAGTTATATAAAATCATAATAATGAAAAATTAAATTCATAATATTAGTATATCAAATTGTATTGTTATGAATATTTGTTTGCAGGCATTTTATATTGTCTAGGTGCATTAAAGGCATGGTTACAAATTATTAATACTAATAGCCCTCTAAGAAGAAGAATATTGATCTTCTTTAGTGTAGAAGAAAACAATTTTATTGAGAATTCAAAGACCTGGGTTCATGTTCCATTCTGCTCCATGACTGAAGCATGTCATTTTGTTGCTCTGACCCTGTCACATGTGCTTACAGGGATGCCTTCAGAATCAGGTACACTGTGAGGTACCATATAAATGAAAGATATCAGTACATAAAGGTTTGGGTACTTAAGAAAAGTTAAGTATCTTACACACACAGCTATAATGGATTGATTATAGAGTCAAAATACTTTCAATGCTGTTCTTGTACACTTTTGCTTACCACTGAATCAATTTCTTTCACAGGAGGATATGGATATGGCTGCCAACTTCAGATTAGGAGCACATTTTATGCCGAGATCTATAATATTTAGATAATATATTCACATATATTTCCCTGTTTTGCATTTTATTTTAACCCTGTATAAAGTGGCATTAGTTGAATGCTAGCATAGTATGCTACCATCTGAAACATATGGGGCTAGTCTCTATTAATTCAGGTAAGAAACTGATTAAAGATAGAAAGTGCCCTCCTTTCTTGTGAGAGGGAAAGGCAGGGTCAGCAGATGCAAAGATCTAAGTAATACAGCAGCATCCAGCTGCTCAAGAACTAAAATTAGGTTCCTGGGAAAAACGAATTGCTGAGGAGAAAGAAGAAATTAACAATAAGAAGCAAGGATTATCATTCCCTGCGGCCTCTAAGTAGAAGATAGGGATCAAATCTCCTTAAGTCTTGAGATACCGTCTAAGAAAAGCCAGTTCTTCAACCTTCCTCTTATTCTGCAAACAAGTTCTGCATCTCTCTACAGTGAAGCTTCAATGGAGTTAGAGAGAGCAAAGTTAGAGAGAGCCATAGAGATACCTTCAGGATCCATTCTGACTTCATTGTGCCTTCCTGGGCTGCTGACTACATCCCTCAGGCTTCCCTGAAACCAGAATTCAGGAACAAATGAGGTTTCCCCAATCAAATGTCAGCAAAAGCATCATAGCATGAGGTTTTCTTGGTTTGGTGTTCAGTGTTCAGTGTCCAGTGTCTAGTTTTCTAGGTGTCAAGAGGTAGTCGCACAGGGAAACGATAAATGTTTTAGATGATGGATATGCTAATTACCCTGATCTGAACACGATACATTATATGTATCAAAGCATCACTATGTACCCCATGAATATATACAACCATTATTTGCCCATTAAAAAAACTTAAAGATATCATTTGTTATCTTTCCACTCTTTCTTTCTTTTTTTTTTTGAGACAAAGCCCCACTCTACACCTAGGCTGGAGTACAGTGGTGCAATCTCAGCTCACTGCAACCTCCGTCTCTGGGGTTCGAGCGATTCTTGTGCCTCAGCCTCCCAAGTAGCTGGGATTCCAGGCATGTGACACCACACCCAGCTAATTTTTGTTATTTTTAGTAGAAACGGGGTTTCACCATGCTGCCCAGGCTGTTTTAAACTCCTGACCTCAGGTGATTCACCTGCCTCGGCCTCCCAAAGTGCTGAGATTACAGGCGTGAGCCGCGGCGCCTGGCCTCTTTTCACCTATCTTTAACACCTAGCATGATGCTGAAACGTACTGAAAATACTCATTAAGTAAATTGAATGATATAATCCTAAAAAGAAAAGAAAGTGCCACATTTTCTTAATCCAGTCTATCACTGATGGACATTTGTGTTGGTTCCAAGTCTTTGCTATTGTGAATAGTGCCACAATAAACGTAAGTGTGCATGTGTCCTTATAGCAGCATGATTTATAATCCTTTGGGTATATACCCAGTAATGGGATGGCTGGGTCAAATGGCCGGTCGTGGGGTAGGGGGAGGGGGAGGGATAGCATTAGGAGATATACCTAATGTAAATGACGAGTTAATGGGTGCAGCACACCAACATGGCACAGGTATACATATGTAACAAACCTGCACATTGTGCACATGTACCCTAGAACTTAAAGTATAATAATAAAAAAAAGAAAAGAAAAGAAAGTAAGAGGCAATGGCATCTGTGAGAGCAGCAGCTGTATTCTGTATCCCACTGTCCAGTGAACAGCTTCCTGGGTGCCGAGAGTCAGGGATGGTAATGCCAGCTTTCTGATCGCAGCTTTCTCATCCCTGGCTTGCAGCTACAGCAATGTATTCTGGAACTTCAGAATTTTCTGTTGTAGCCTCCTGATTCCTTCTATTCCCAATTGCAGCATCCAGCAGTTTCCTGGGGCCTCAGTTCTGCAGTCCTCCAGGAGCCATTCCTGAAGGTCAGGCCTGAGGCCTGCCCTTCCAGCCCTTCTAGCAATTTTGTAAGCGCTTAATATCCTGTATTACATTCCTTTCTGCAGAAAATATCTAAAGCAGGTTCTATTTTGTAAACTATACCCTGATGCCAAAGGTTTTGACACAAATGCCTACTTAACTAATTGTCAAGGACTGCCTAGAGCAATGCATTAAGAACATTGAAACTGAGTCCAAATTCAGTGAAAAAGATTT
The DNA here is from genome assembly GCF_000001405.40 of Homo sapiens. Lineage (NCBI taxonomy): Eukaryota > Metazoa > Chordata > Mammalia > Primates > Hominidae > Homo > Homo sapiens. The sequence goes on from NC_000014.9 coordinate 30,353,625, forward strand.
TTTATGCCTGGCATGGGAGAGAGGGTCATTATACGTTTGCCACCTTATAATACATCAGCCTTACCTAACAAATCTCCATGTGTATGTACTAATAAATATAAAATTTAAGATAGATAAAATTTCAAAATTTTATTCCTATGCAAACGGATATAGTGAAAATGAACTAGACAGACCAAAATTAAGCAAAGATCGCATAGAAGGAAATGTTAAATTTATTCACAGGAATGCTAATTGAACCATATGCGAGTTACAATTTATCAAACTCGAAATAGCAAAAGTTACTTCAATACAATCCCACTAGTCTAAACCTAGTCTTTAAAGATAAAATTGTCTGGCCATTTTGTTCTTTGAAGTTGCTGAATTGTGCATTGATGGAAAGGATTTTAAAGGATTAATTTTAAAGAAACTTCAAATCAAAAATCAAACTATTAGAAAAGAATATAACAACAACCCCCCAAAACCCCTGTGTTCCTGTTCCTTTATAACAATTTACCTTGGTAGGGTAGGTTGGTGAGGTTTAGCCCCCATTCCGAATGGTAATCATTCTTTTCCTGAGAGTGTTAATACTTCAGTCATTTAAGCTTCCTAATTTGATACTTTTTGGTTAAGAAGGAAACCTTAAATGAGGAAAGGAAATGCTGAGAGGAAATTACTTGAACAGAATTTAATAGTTTTGTGATGTGAAGCTGTGATCACATTTTTTTCACAGTATGAGTCAGTCATATAAATGTTTGGTTTACTTAGTTTCTTAATTTGATTTGAAACTAAACGAAGCAAAACTTGTCAGCAAAATGTAATTTTTCCTGAGTTACACTACACTGATTTCATTATAATATAACATTCATATTTGTAAATGAAACTGGTTTAAATGGCTTTTGGTCAGCATAAAACTGATTTTTAAAAGTATGTTTTTAAATGAATTTGTGGTCCATGCTATAATTTCAATAAACCTGCCTCCTACATGGGGATTTGAAGATCACGGTTATAGTTACTATTAGTGTCAACACAATGTAAGTAGAGTTCATTATGAAACTCACTGGGGAATTCTAAAGTGATTACATTCTCTTTGTAATCCACAAAAAGGAACTCTTCAAAAGATAACAATTCAGTGAGATGAAATGGGAATCATCTGGTTCACTTGTAAATCATATCCTCATTTTTTCTGCTATGTCATTGCTGTTCTATCCTATTAACACCAGAGAATGAAATTCAAGAAGGTTGGTTTTTATTTTGCATCCTTATAAAAATGGAGAGCGGATTGAGCATCAGCTATTAGGGTAGCTTCCTACCTAGTCTCTGGCAGAGGCCTCCATCAAACCCACAGAAACTCCAAACCACCTTTTTTAATGCAATCAAGTATGTTCCCTAGTGGTTTCATGTTATAAGCAATTACTCAGTACTAATTTTTTTCTTTTAAATTTTACACCAATCTTGTTTTCATTTTTCTATTCCCCACATATTATTCTCAAGTAGTCAGAATGAGCAGTAACCAACTTGACACCTGGAATGCTCCCATGACCAAGCATTGTTTTAAGCTACTACATTTGTGGTAACTTGTTAGAGATGCAATAAAAAACCAATACAGGAGTATTGTAAGAAAGCATAATTACAGGGCCTACTATAGTGCCTGATACAGATTAAGCCCTGAATAAGTCTTAGTTTCCTCCCATAACTTATCTAGGAAACTCCAATTCATTTACTCACCAAAAGCTTAATACTACTACTACTACTAATAATAGCATATTCTAGGCACTGAACGCAATTCTAGAAACTCACGGAGTTTACCTCTTAATCAAAGAAGCAAAATCACTTTACATACTTGAGGTAATTGTTCACACTCTATACAGATCAGGCTCAAGGAGGCGTTTGTTTTTCTCATCTATCACACCACAGGCTCCCACACACTCACACTCACACATGTCAACAAGACCTACCGACAGCTGCTCATTTCCTAATCTTTGACCTGCTTGCTTTGGGTGAGTTGGTTTCTGTGGCATTTTAAATGGAGAGACTTAGTTATGTTTTGCTTTGCATTCAGGGAGCAGATGAAAGCTAAATGCTACTGATAGATTTGGTCTTCGTGTGCCTATCTCTGCCCACACAACCACAAAAATTCCAAAGGTCAAGACAAAAATACCCCTATGACCTCTAATGGCCACAAAGCACAGAAGTTCAAATCACTCTCTTTAAAGGGTTAGACAGGAGCCAGGGAAGCCCGGAAGTGAGGATGGGGGTGGAGTAAAAATGAAATTGCTGCCATTCGCCTTAAAGGTTTCATAGTTGGAAACACTGAATCAAACATCTATTTTGGTAAGTTCAAACTTACAACCTTGAGTGCAGGTGAGCCAGGGCATAAACTCAAGCTGTTTTTCCAAAAGAACTGTAGAACTTGCTAGGCAAGAGTTTATTTAAACAGCCAAGCATCCTGCCTTTGCCTTCTCCTGCTCCACCTTTCCTAGAACGCTTCCTAATTTATCCAACGAACTCAGACCCATCACAGAAGAGAAACAGTTCTCTGACTAGTCCTTGGGACAAAATGCTTCCGGATGCAAGGGACTTAGAAAGTCCTTCATTATCCTGCCAGCGCTGGGTTCTGCAGGGTCTTCCACCCCAGACCAATTCCTCCCGGTAGGACTCAGGTAGTTCTGCTTCTGTAGTCACCATTAAAGTCCCCTTTCCAGAGTTAAGAATCCTACCCAGACATGAACAGCTGGGGGTCAGTAACCACTGAGGAGTGCTCAGCAGAACACATTCTCACCTTGTGATCTTTGTAGTTTGACTCTGCTTCCAGTTGTCTCCTTCTGCTATATTTGGGTCCCTGTGACTAAAAGGAGGACCTACTGGAGAGGAGCAGACTTTTATTAGAGCAGGGATCCTGGTCAGATAGGTTAGGGTCTCAGCGGGGGTTCTGCCAGCCTCATAAACTGATGTTCACTCTGTGATTGCAGCATTCCACTGTCCAGGGAAATCAAGCCTTGCTGTCAGAGAAGGATCTAGCTGCTCCCCTCCGGAGTGATTCTGGAGGTCTTTTGGTTTGCTGGAGCTCTCCTTTCTGCTTCCCTTTCTTCTCTGTGTGTAAATGTCTGTGTGATTTTTTTTAATGTTTTTATTGATGTTGAGACGTTGGTACAAAAACAATACTAACAGTGTACGATTTGGTCTCCTGGTTTCCCACATCTCCCCATCCCCTCTAGCAGCTGGTATAGCTGGAGGACTGTTTATTCCATGGCTTATTTCCCCTTTATCTTTGATGTCCCAGGATGTCAAAGGTTGTAAATTTAATATTGATTTTATAAAGTAGTTTTACTCTAACATGTCAGTTATGATTAACTTCAACCTGGAAGAAGCTCAGCCACCGATCTGGATTCGCACGCAATGTGGCTCCCCAGCTCTCAGACTCTCTGAGTGAATGTTTTATTTATTAGAGTATGTAGCAGGTTTGTAAAGGCCAGAACAGCCCTAAGCCCCCAGAACCTGGGCCCTTACATTAAGCTTGAAAACCTAAGTAGATCAGAGAGACATATCATTTGCTGGCATGTCAACAGACAGAAGAGTTTATAGATCACATTATACCCCAGTGCATATAACCAGAGAGAGAGGAATGAGAAGTCTTAGTTGAATTTCAACCCCTCCCTCCCTTTCTCCAGGCCTCTAGTGCTCTTATGTTCCACCATCAGGATGGGGGTTATTGCTATAATAACAGCGATAAAAGCTGACATTTATGGAAACTTTTCAGCGTGTTGGCCCCTTAAAAAGCGTCAAGCCCAGTGCTAAGAATTTTCTACGTGCCATCTCATTTAATACTTACATCAATCCTATGTAAAGAGTATTTATGATTACCATTATCATTATTTATTATTATTATTACTCCCATTCTACAGATGAAGGAACTAAGAAATCACACTGCTGCAACTTTTGAAGTTAGAATTCAATTCCAGGCATTCTGATCCCCAACACCCTACATTCTAGTCCCTAATGCCGTAATGCATTACATATCAGAAAGCTGGAAAGTGACATTTTTGCACCAATCATGCTGAGATGACATCTTTGGCTAAATTCATATTTTCTGCTCTTTTGATGCAAACTGATCTTCAAGCAAAATAGTAGAATTCATCCCCAAATTCCAATTCATCCCCAATTTCTCTGTTAAGCGAAGGCAAGTGGTGTTTTTTATCCTCGTTACTGAACCTCTCTCCCTCCTCCTACTTTGGAACAATTTCTCCCTGGATGATGAAGCGCAGGATGTTCACCACTTTGTAGCGGGAAGCTCTTCCTGAAGCCATGTGGCTGTGTTCCTGCTCGCCAGCTGCTCACTGCAGGTGCCGCGAAGGGGCCACACGGCCGCTCAGGTTAAAGATATGGATCACAGCCTTCTTATCTTGGGAATCTCAGCTTACAACATTTTAGCATTGCAGAGGCCAATACAACAGGGAGCAGAGGTGTACTTGGGTGCTTTATCACCCAAGTTCAATATACTGCTGGAGCTTATGCATGGCCTAGGTCCTCCACTTCTTCCTCCAGGCTGAGACAGACCAGGCAAAGAGTCTGTCTGGGACTGCTTTACCTGATATTTTCCTTCTTTCTCTTCCTGTATCTTAACAATAGGGGAAAGGATAGATTGAGGTAGAATGAAGATGGTGCCAAATTCTTTGACACACCTCCCATCAAGAGGTCGAATCTCTGTTTCATCCCCTTGAATCTGGGTGGGCTCTGTAACTCCTCTGTCCCACAGAATACCGTGGAAGGAATGCCGACTCCACTTCCACTTCCACTTACATGCCACAAATAAAAAGCCCAACTATCCTGATGGAGAAACCATAGACAAGGCCCTGAGATTACATGGCAAGGGACAAAGGCCCAGCTGAGCCTGCCAAGGCATCACACATGTGAGTAAAGCTGTCCTGAACCCTCCAGGCCAGACCAGACACCAGCCAAATGCCACCAAGTTATGCCAGTTAAAGCACAGGGAGCAGAATTGCCTGAATTCCTGACCCACGGAACTGTGAGATGTAATAAAATGGTAGCTGTTTTGTGGTAGTGGGCAACATAGCACTAGAAGAGAGATAGAGGTGCATAGGTGCCTGGCATAGATCACTTCAGCTTTGAAGGCCCCTGGACTTGCAGTTGGCATTCACAGGTGGAATGCTGCTCTACCTAGCCCAACTTGATGCATTCAAGCATAGAGAAGAGCGTGGTGCCTTCTCCAAATAACTCTTAATTTGTGACTTGAGACCATTTCTGCGAGACAATCACTTGTGTACTGTCCTGGGGAGCAAGTCTTCCCAAGTGATTACACATTGTTAATGAAAGATTCATCCTTTAGCACATTCGCGTCTCATAATTCATGGGCCAGTTGGAACCCAAGCCTAAGCCAAACACACTGAGCCCATGCTTTATTTTTCCCATTAATTTCCTCAGCTACCACATTATTTTCAACAGCCAGAAGGTAACTCTCTTCACTTCAGAAGAAACACATAGAAAGCCCTGCTCCCAAGTGGATAAGGAAACACATTATTTGTTGTAAGGCTTAACAGTTATGGTGAAAGACATAAAGGTAGGCTCTTTAGTTAACAGTTTTCAAAAATAATTTCATTCTTCTATTTAATGACGTGCTTTCATGTACACTCTCGTTTAAATGACTGAGAAAAGGCAGTATATTTTGGAAACATAATGCAAAGTCTTTGAATATTCACAGTTTGTCAACCCATAATATATTTTCATGGAAATGAAATGATTTAAAAACAACCCAAGAAAAAGAAATAACGGAGACTTGAGCCCATTGATTTGACAGAAGATGCTGAGGCTTTGGAGGTTTGGGGTTTGATTGCCAGACTTGCCATGTATCGAAGGTGTGATTTGGCACAAGTGACTTCAGCACATCTCTGAGCCTTACTTTCCTCCTATGAAAAATACCTACCCTATGTGATTGCACACAGGCAAGTCCTCATCTCTGGCTCTGCTGTAGTAGGAAACCAAGCTAAAACACTACCTACAGGGAAATATTAAGTTGGCAGGATTTTATTATTGGAGGAATATATAAAATTGACCATACACTGAAATATGCGACTGTATTAGTCCCTTTTCACACTGTTGATAAAGACATATCTGAGACTGGGTAATTTATAAAGAAAAACAGCTTTAATGGACTCACGGTTCCACGTGGCTGGGGAGGCCTCACAATCATGGTGGCAGGTAAAAGGCACATCTTACATGGTGGCAGGCAAGAGAGAATGAGAGCCAAGTGAAAGGGGAGGCCCCTTATAAAACCATGAGACCTCCTGAGTCTTATTCACTACCACGAGAACAGTATGGGGAAAACTACCCCCATGATTCAGTTGTCTCCCACTGGGTCCCTCCCACAGGACATAGGAATTATGGGAGCTACAACTCAAGATGAGATTTGGCTGGGGACACAGCCAAACCATATCAGCAACCATTAAGAAGAGTGAGAGGGCTGGGCGCGGTGGCTCACACCTGTAATCCCAGCACTTTGGGAGGTCGAGGCAGCCGAATCACGAGGTCAGGAGTTTGAGACAAGCCTAGCCAACATGGTGAAACCCCATCTCTACTAAAAAATACCAAAAAGTAGCTGGGCGTAGTGGCGGCCACCTGTAATCCCAGCTACTCGGGAGGCTGAAGCAGGAGAATCGCTTGAAGCTGGGAGGCAGAGGTTGCAGTGAGCTGAGATCGTGCCACCGCACTCCAGCCCAGGTGACAGCGTAAGACTCTGTCTAAAAAAGAAAAAAATGAAGAGTAAGAGAAATCAATCCAGTTGATTTGGGAAATTTCCATGACATACTGTTGAGTAAGAAAAGCAAGATGCAGGAAAAAAAAAAAAAAAAAAACTCAACCTTCTATCTGTATCTAAGCATAGCTATTTTTAATTTCATATATGTGAACTATAAAAGGGTACATTACTCATTTGCTAAATGAGGTAGGGGGTGTGGAAATGAAGGGAAGGAGGTTAGGAAAACAAAGCCAAAGAGGGCCTTAAAAGTGCCACATGTATGGCATGATGATATGACTCCATTCATGTAAAATCACACATACATGAATCCAGGCCTATGATGAATGAACAATAGTTGTCAACATGCTAATGGTAATTATATCTGGAATGTGGTGCTTCAGGTAGGCATTTACTTTCTTCACTCTTTTCTTGTTTTAAATTTATAATAAGTATAGATTAATTATAAAATCCAAAAAATATTAAAGCAACAAATATATAGACAAAAACTGAAGAAACAGTTTAGCATAGTGGTTAAGACCATGGACCCTGAGGCCAGATGGCCACATTTAAATTCTGGCTCTGTCACTTATGACTGTGTGGCATTGGGTGAGTTATTTCATTTCTTTGGGCTTCTGTTTCCCCATGTGTATGGAGATAATAATAATGTAGTACCAACTTCACTGGGCTATTAAGAAAATTAAGTGGCTGGGTGTGGTGGCTCATGCCTGTAGTCCCAGCACTTTGGGAGGCTGAGGCAGGCAAATCACTAGGTCAGGAGTTCGAGACCAACCTGAGCAACATGGTGAAACCCCATCTCTACTAAAAATACAAAAATTAGCCAGGCGTGGTGGTGCACCCCTGTAATCCCAGCTACTCAGGAGGCTGAGACAGGAGAATGACTTGAACCCGGGAGGCAGAGATTGCAGTAAGCAGAGATCGTGCCATTGCACTCCAGCCTGGAAAAAACAGAAGGAAAGAAAATTAAGTGAAAAATATAGGTAAAGTTTTTAGAATGGTGCCTGGCCCATAGTAAATGCTACACAAAGGCTAGCTGTTATAATTTCTTTTTAATTGATTGTTAAAAGGGGAAAACTGAAGGGCTTAAATGCTACAACCTTTAGTTTGTCAGGGAGAGAAGATATGCCTCACTGTAGTCATGGCCTGTATGAGCATCTGTACATAGCTATTCTACTCTGGCAGGTAAGGCAGCTTCTATTTCCAGAAAGAAAGAAGAGGAAGAAAAAAAGAAGAGAGAAGGAAGAAAGGGGGGTAGACAGAGTTGGAGGAAGAGGGGGAAGAAGGCAAACAGAAAGGGTGCAGGGGGAAGAGAGGAGGAGGAAGAGTTGGAGGAAGTAGAAAAAGAAAAGAATAAAACGCTTCAAAGATTCCACTTGGATGCTGGTGAGATAGGGTAGGTCTGACAAACTCCCCCATCCCCCAAGGTGTCCTACCTGGCCTGAAGAATTCACTTCCCAGCTTTCTGGTCACCCCAGTTCTTCATGAGGCATGCAAGTTCATGTTAGTGATTTTATTTTTCTTAATTGAAATGTAACTGATCATATAGTACATTTTGCTGACATTCATGTCACATTTCCTGGATACCAGATTAAAAAATACTTCTAATTAGTTATAAATGTGAATGTATACACAACAATTCTGAAACGGTTTCTTCATCAAAGTTTGCTTCCAAGTATGATACATGTGACTTTAGTGCCAATTCTTATTAACTGTGCACTGCAGTGTGCCGACACCCATGACACATTTCCCCAAATCCAATCACAAAAATATTTCTAATTAGCCATAAATGAGAATGTACACAAAACATTTCCAATAGCCACTCTGTTCCTATCAAAGTTCACATCAGAGAAAACTTAAACTGTTGCCGCTGAGAGCCTTGCTCCGATTTCAACAACTCCTGTTTCAGAAATGCTTAGAAAATTGACTCTTTAGATCTTGCTAGGTAACAGATCTGAGGCAGATTCATTTCAACCCAAGTCCTTTATTTGATATACATGTGCTCCTGAACCCACCTAAAATGCATACCATAGCCCTTCAAAGGCAGTGATAAAATTACTTGGTTAAATATTTTGGCTGGATTTCCTGTTTTCAGAGGCCTGGGCTTTGCAATCTGCAACTTCTGCATCTGCACGTGGCCACTGGGGCAGTATTAAATGGCACTACAACTGCCAACCTCCAAAAGAACCAGGCCTCACAGGGAAGGCTCCAGGCACCCATCCACCACTATGAGCCACACTGAACGATGACTCTAGGCCTCAGTAACTGCCTTCAAATCCTTGGACCTTTAGCTTTCTATAGCAACGCCTGGCTTTAAGCCTCTTAAGATGATCACAAATCATAAAGCACCCTCCTCAGTTCAAAGTGTCAAGTTTATAAAATCACATTAGTTATAATTCAGATATTCTCCATCCTCAAGGCTGTGAAGCATTCTGATCTGCTCTTAGATTTCTGTATAATCTTTCCTTCGTTTTATAACAGGCTTTGTCTTCTGTTGCTCTGTGCAAATAGCACCCCTTGACAAGTCATAAGGCCGTGATATGTGCACGGTACATCGCAGTGAAAGAGCAGCTTTATGCGAGGGGAGGAGAAACGGTTCTGTGCAACTTTGCTTACTTTCACTACCTTTAAAAACTCATTAAATAGGATTCTGCCTTTTACTTGCTGAAGTGTTTAAAATCCATTTTAATGAAAAATTCTAATCCTATATAATCACACCATAAGTACTTTCTTTCTGTTCAAAGAGGAAACAGTGTTAAATTTTAATGCATACCTCTGGCAGGCTATAATAAAAGTGTTCAGTCAGTTTTAAATCCGATTAGTGTAACTGTTACAGATTAGAAAAAAAATCCCAAGTGATTGGAGCAAGTCCCTAACTCAAGAAAACTAACTTAGGGGGCTTTCATGTCAGACTCAAAGAGAACATCAAGACCCCAGAATTTGTTCAGAAGCTAATAAAAACAAGGACTTGTGCCAGGGATTGCAGGGATGTAAAGGCAAGCTTGCAAATAGGAAGCAGATAGGACAGAATGCAACCCGGAACAAAGTGGACTTACAGCCGGAGAGAGAAAAGTGGGAAATCCTGCAGGAATTCTGAAAGGACAAAATGACATCCCAGGGAGAGAAGCACTGAGAATTTTTAGAGAATGTAGCTTCTAAAAGAAGCCTTGAGGGGGAGGAGCCAAGATGGCCGAATAGGAACAGCTCCGGTCTACAGCTCCCAGCGTGACCGACGCAGAAGACGGTGATTTCTGCATTTCCATCTGAGGTACCGGGTTCATCTCACTAGGGAGCGCCAGACAGTGGGCGCAGGCCAGTGGGTGCGCGCACGGTGAGCGAGCCAAAGCAGGGCGAGGCATTGCCTCACCTGGGAAGCGCAAGGGGTCAGGGAGTTCCCTTTCCGAGTCAAAGAAAGGGGTGACGGACGCACCTGGAAAATCGGGTCACTCCCACCCGAACATTGCGCTTTTCAGACCGGCTTAAAAAACGGCGCACCACGAGACTATATCCCACACCTGGCTCAGAGGGTCCTACGCCCACGGAATCTCGCTGATTGCTAGCACAGCAGTCTGTGATCAAACTGCAAGGCGGCAGCGAGGCTGGGGGAGGGGCGCCCGCCATTGCCCAGGCTTGCTTAGGTAAACAAAGCAGCCAGGAAGCTCGAACTGGGTGGAGCCCACCACAGCTCAAGGAGGCCTGCCTGCCTCTGTAGGCTCCACCTCTGGGGGCAGGGCACAGACAAACAAAAAGACAGCAGTAACCTCTGCAGACTTAAATGTCCCTGTCTGATAGCTTTGAAGGGAGCAGTGGTTCTCCCAGCACGCAGCTGGAGATCTGAGAACCGGCAGACTGCCTCCTCAAGTGGGTCCCTGACCCCTGACCCCTGAGCAGCCTAACTGGGAGGCACCCCCCAGCAGGGGCACACTGACACCTCACACGGCAGGGTATTCCAACAGACCTGCAGCTGAGGGTCCTGTCTGTTAGAAGGAAAGCTAACAAACAGAAAGGACATCCACACCAAAAACCCATCTGTACATCACCATCATCAAAGACCAAAAGTAGATAAAACCACAAAGATGGGGAAAAAACAGAACAGAAAAACTGGAAGCTCTAAAAATCAGAGCACCTCTCCTCCTCCAAAGGAACGCAGCTCCTCACCAGCAACAGAACAAAGCTGGATGGAGAATGACTTTGACGAGCTGAGAGAAGAAGGCTTCAGACGATCAAATTACTCTGAGCTATGGGAGGACATTCAAGCCAAAGGCAAAGAAGTTGAAAACTTTGAAAAAAATTTAGAAGAATGTATAACTAGAATAACCAATACAGAGAAGTGCTTAAAGGAGCTGATGGAGCTGAAAACCAAGGCTCGAGAACTACGTGAAGAATGCAGAAGCCTCAGGAGCCGATGCGATCAACTGGAAGAAAGGGTGTCAGCAATGGAAGATGAAATGAATGAAATGAAGCGAGAAGGGAAGTTTAGAGAAAAAAGAATAAAAAGAAATGAGCAAAGCCTCCAAGAAATATGGGACTATGTGAAAAGACCAAATCTACGTCTGATTGGTGTACCTGAAAGTGATGGGGAGAATGGAACCAAGTGGGAAAACACTCTGCAGGATATTATCCAGGAGAACTTCCCCAATCTAGCAAGGCAGGCCAACGTTCAGATTCAGGAAATACAGAGAACGCCACAAAGATACTCCTCGAGAAGAGCAACTCCAAGACACATAATTGTCAGATTCACCAAAGTTGAAATGAAGGAAAAAATGTTAAGGGCAGCCAGAGAGAAAGGTCGGGTTACCCTCAAAGGGAAGCCCATCAGACTAACAGCGGATCTCTCGGCAGAAACCCTACAAGCCAGAAGAGAGTGGGGGCCAATATTCAACATTCTTAAAGAAAAGAATTTTCAACCCAGAATTTCATATCCAGCCAAGCTAAGCTTCATAAGTGAAGGAGAAATAAAGTACTTTACAGACAAGCAAATGCTGAGAGATTTTGTCACCACCAGACCTGCCCTAAAAGAGCTCCTGAAGGAAGCGCTAAACATGGAAAGGAACAACCAGTACCAGCCGCTGCAAAATCATGCCAAAATGTAAAGACCATCGAGACTAGGAAGAAACTGCATCAACTAACGAGCAAAATCACCAGCTAACATCATAATGACAGGATCAAATTCACACATAACAATATTAACTTTAAATGTAAATGGACTAAATGCTCCAATTAAAAGACACAGACTGGCAAATTGGATAAAGAGTCAAGACCCATCAGTGTGCTGTATTCAGGAAACCCATCTCACGTGCAGAGACACACATAGGCTCAAAATAAAAGGATGGAGGAAGATCTACCAAGCAAATGGAAAACAAAAAAAGGCAGGGGTTGCAATCCTAGTCTCTGATAAAACAGACTTTAAACCAACAAAGATCAAAAGAGACAAAGAAGGCCATTACATAATGGTAAAGGGATCAATTCAACAAGAAGAGCTAACTATCCTAAATATATATGCACCCAATACAGGAGCACCCAGATTCATAAAGCAAGTCCTGAGTGACCTACAAAGAGACTTAGACTCCCACACAATAATAATGGGAGACTTTAACACCCCACTGTCAACATTAGACAGATCAACGAGACAGAAAGTCAACAAGGATACCCAGGAATTGAACTCAGCTCTGCACCAAGCAGACCTAATAGACATCTACAGAACTCTCCACCCCAAATCAACAGAATATACATTTTTTTCAGCACCACACCACACCTATTCCAAAATTGACCACATACTGGGAAGTAAAGCTCTCCTCAGCAAATGTAAAAGAACAGAAATTATAACAAACTATCTCTCAGACCACAGTGCAATCAAACTAGAACTCAGGATTAAGAATCTCACTCAAAGCCGCTCAACTACATGGAAACTGAACAACCTGCTCCTGAATGACTACTGGGTACATAATGAAATGAAGGCAGAAATAAAGATGTTCTTTGAAACCAACAAGAACAAAGACACAACATACCAGAATCTCTGGGACGCATTCAAAGCAGTGTGTAGAGGGAAATTTATAGCACTAAATGCCCACAAGAGAAAGCAGGAAAGATCCAAAATTGACACCCTAACATCACAATTAAAAGAACTAGAAAAGCAAGAGCAAACACATTCAAAAGCTAGCAGAAGGCAAGAAATAACTAAAATTAGAGCAGAACTGAAGGAAATAGAGACACAAAAAACCCTTCAAAAAATCAATGAATCCAGGAGCTGGTTTTTTGAAAGGATCAACAAAATTGATAGACCACTAGCAAGACTAATAAAGAAAAAAAGAGAGAAGAATCAAATAGACACAATAAAAAATGATAAAGGGGATATCACCACCGATCCCACAGAAATACAAACTACCATCAGAGAATACTACAAACACCTCTACGCAAATAAACTAGAAAATCTAGAAGAAATGGATAAATTCCTCGACACATATACTCTCCCAAGACTAAACCAGGAAGAAGTTGAATCTCCTAATAGACCAATAACAGGAGCTGAAATTGTGGCAATAAGCAATAGCTTACCAACCAAAAAGAGTCCAGGACCAGATGGATTCACAGCCGAATTCTACCAGAGGTACAAGGAGGAACTGGTACCATTCCTTCTGAAACTATTCCAATCAATAGAAAAAGAGGGAATCCTCCCTAACTCATTTTATGAGGCCAGCATCATTCTGATACCAAAGCCGGGCAGAGACACAACAAAAAAAGAGAATTTTAGACCAATATCCTTGATGAACATTGATGCAAAAATCCTCAATAAAATACTGGCAAACCGAATCCAGCAGCACATCAAAAAGCTTATCCACCATGATCAAGTGGGCTTCATCCCTGGGATGCAAGGCTGGTTCAATATACGCAAATCAATAAATGTAATCCAGCATATAAACAGAACCAAAGACAAAAACCACATGATTATCTCAATAGATGCAGAAAAAGCCTTTGACAAAATTCAACAACCCTTCATGCTAAAAACTCTCAATAAATTAGGTATTGATGGGACGTATTTCAAAATAATAAGAGCTATATATGACAAACCCACAGCCAATATCATACTGAATGGGCAAAAACTGGAAGCATTCCCTTTGAAAACTGGCACAAGACAGGGATGCCCTCTCTCACCACTCCTATTCAACATAGTGTTGGAAGTTCTGGCCAGGGCAATCAGGCAGGAGAAGGAAATAAAGGGTATTCAATTAGGAAAAGAGGAAGTCAAATTGTCCCTGTTTGCAGATGACATGATTGTATATCTAGAAAACCCCATTGTTTCAGCCCAAAATCTCCTTAAGCTGACAAGCAACTTCAGCAAAGTCTCAGGATACAAAATCAATGTACAAAAATCACAAGCATTCTTATACACCAACAACAGACAAACAGAGAGCCAAATCATGAGTGAACTCCCATTCACAATTGCTTCAAAGAGAATAAAATACCTAGGAATCCAACTTACAAGGGATGTGAAGGACCTCTTCAAGGAGAACTACAAACCACTGCTCAAGGAAATAAAAGAGGATACAAACAAATGGAAGAACATTCCATGCTCATGGGTCGGAAGAATCAATATTGTGAAAATGGCCATACTGCCCAAGGTAATTTACAGATTCAATGCCATCCCCATCAAGCTACCAATGACTTTCTTCACAGAATTGGAAAAAACTACTTTAAAGTTCATATAGAACCAAAAAAGAGCCCGCATCGCCAAGTCAATCCTAAGCCAAAAGAACAAAGCTGGAGGCATCACACTACCTGACTTCAAACTTTACTACAAGGCTACAGTAACCAAAACAGCATGGTACTGGTACCAAAACAGAGATATAGATCAATGGAACAGAACAGAGCCCTCAGAAATAACGCCGCATACCTACAACTGTCTGATCTTTGACAAACCTGAGAAAAACAAGAAATGGGGAAAGGATTCCCTATTTAATAAATGGTGCTGGGAAAACTGGCTAGCCGTATGTAGAAAGCTGAAACTGGATCCCTTCCTTACACCTTATACAAAAATCAATTCAAGATGGATTAAAGATTTAAACGTTAGACCTAAAACCATAAAAACCCTAGAAGAAAACCTAGGCATTACCATTCAGGACATAGGCATGGGCAAGGACTTCATGTCCAAAACACCAAAAGCAATGGCAACAAAAGACAAAATTGACAAATGGGATCTAATTAAACTCAAGAGCTTCTGCACAGCAAAAGAAACTACCATCAGAGTGAACAGGCAACCCACAAAATGGGAGAAAATTTTCGCAACCTACTCATCTGACAAAGGGCTAATATCCAGAATCTACAATGAACTCAAACAAATTTACAAGAAAAAAACAAACAACCCCATCAAAAAGTGGGCGAAGGACATGAACAGACACTTTTCAAAAGAAGACATTTATGCAGCCAAAAAACACATGAAAAAATGCTCATCATCACTGGCCATCAGAGAAATGCAAATCAAAACCACAATGAGATACCATCTCACACCAGTTAGAATGGCAATCATTAAAAAGTCAGGAAACAACAGGTGCTGGAGAGGATGTGGAGAAATAGGAACACTTTTACATTGTTGGTGGGACTGTAAACTAGTTCAACCATTGTGGAAGTCAGTGTGGCGATTCCTCAGGGATCTAGAACTAGAAATACCATTTGACCCAGCCATCCCATTACTGGGTATATACCCAAATGACTATAAATCATGCTGCTATAAAGACACATGCACACGTATGTTTATTGCGGCATTATTCTCAATAGCAAAGACTTGGAACCAACCCAAATGTCCAACAATGATAAACTGGATTAAGAAAATGTGGCACATATACACCATGGAATACTATGCAGCCATAAAAAATGATGAGTTCATGTCCTTTGTAGGGACATGGATGAAATTGGAAATCATCATTCTCAGTAAACTATCGCAAGAACAAAAAACCAAACACCGCATATTCTCACTCATAGGTGGGAATTGAACAATGAGATCACCTGGACACAGGAAGGGGAATATCACACTCTGGGGACTGTGGTGGGGTGGGGGGAGGGGGGAGGGATAGCATTGGGAGATATACCTAATGCTAGATGACGAGTTAGTGGGTGCAGCGCACCAGCGTGGCACATGTATACATATGTAACTAACCTGCACAACGTGCACATGTACCCTAAAACTTAAAGTATAATAAAAAAAAAAAAAAAGAAGCCATGAAGGACAGAGAGAACTCCATAGATGAGGGAATAAAGGCATTTCTGCTGAGGTGGGAAAGGTAGTTTCCATAGAATCAGGGAAAGTTCCTTTTTTTTTTTAGAACTTCTCATGGCCCCATGAGAAGGGGAGGGGAATTCCTCTTTGTTGAGTGCTGCAATTGTACAGGCACTAGACACATACATGTGTTTTCTCATTTAATCCCCACAGCATCCCAGCACAGTGGGCATTTTATCCCCATTTTATAGATGGGAAAACTGAAGCTCAGAGAGACTGTAAGACTTGCCTGAGGTCAAACAGCTAGCCACTGGTGACACTCAGAAAAAAAACACAGTTGAGCCCCTCTCAGTGTTTAGTCTCAGGAACTCCTTGAATCACACCTTCCTCTTAGCCATCATTAAGGCCTAACCTGTTCTGAAAGAGTTTCCTGACCTCCTGAGTCAGAAATGACATTTCTGGTCCCGAATTCACAGCATTCTGATTTTCTATTACCCACATGACACCAATTGTGCCCTGCCTTAGGTTGTTATTTCTCATGGAAACGTGCACCTCAGTGCTTCCGAATTGGTAGGGTCAGCCGCGGATGGCAGGAATGATTTTAAAACCTGAGAAAATGCACATACATGCACTTAAATATTTATATTTATAAAACTGCCCTGTCACTCACTTCACCTCACTTTCTCCCACAGTCTAATACATATAGAGGGGGTGATAGCTGTCTAAACCCTGAAGGCACCAGCAATGAGCACTTAAACACAGTCCAAAACCACCCCTACTCAGGTGAGAACAAGTAAGCTAGCTAGACTCAAAATCAGGTGACTTGATGTTGGGTCCTAATTATGACATTTACTAGCTGTGCCATCCTAAACAACTTATCCTCTCTGAGATCCAATTTTATCATCTATAAATTAAAAAACATTGTATCTGCTTTACCTGCACTTTAGGATTATTGTGCAGATAAGATGGACAAACCTGTAAAGTCATGCATAGCATTATGGTATTAACGTGTGTGGATTAGAAACACATTGAAAATAGAACCTTGTATCTTGCTTTTTTCTACATATCCTCAGTGATTGCCCATAGTAGATATTTAATAATAGGTGTTGAATCGCAGATGGAACTCTTATAACGTTGGGGAAGTAACAGCATATCCAACCATGATGTCAGGAAAGGTACTAAGACGTCCTCCACCTGGGATAACATTTGCCACCCTTGCCTCCCCAACCTAGATATGTTCTGAAGGCAATGTCTGTTTGAAAGGCATGGCTGTGTGGGGCTTTGTGCCTTGAAATGAAAAGCTTTGGGCTCTATTTTATGATCATTTACCAACTTTATTCCATCATGTTCTCCATTTTTTACCTCCAAACCAAGATGCTCACCTATACCTCTTCAAAGTTAAGATGCAACTTCTGCCTTAGATCAATCAGTGGCTGTTCAAGAGCAGAGGACACTTTTAACTTTTCAAAAAGAAAATTCTAATGGGTGACTTAAAAACTTAATTTCCTCATTAAAAAAGGACCACGAAGGGGAAGTGAAAGCCAAATACAAACCCCCACAATAAGAGAAAAAACTGTAAAAAATAAAAGTAAAAACAGGGATTCATGAATGCAGGAAGAAATTAAAACAAACCTGCAGGCCCTCATAAATACAGCAATCAGGCAGCTCCACGCATGCATCCCACATTTGAATTTTTATTTTATGTGGAGTATTTTTGTATCTGCTTTGCCTAAATTTGGCCTGTTACCAAAGCCTAATGACTCTACTTTATGTTAAGCTTTTCGAATGAACTAAACTTAAAACTAGGAAAAAAAAAACTGTTAATTTATCTTGCAGGAAAAGGTGTTATAATTTGAATGAAAAACAGCAAGCAGACAGATAAAAAGGAGCTGGTACAACACTTGGGCAATCAGTTATGGTGTTTTGTACCTGTAGGCTGAGAAATTGTCTCCAGTGTTGGATGATGTTATTACCATTGCCTATTTTCACTTGTACATTAGGTTCAAGCATAATCATGCAAAAATTTGAATGTTCTCCACAGATTTACTATTTTAATAAGCTCATAATGTTAAAACACTATATATGTTGACAGTGGTACTTACATTGTATTAAGAAAACAAATCAAATCATTTTCTTTAAAATGATAAGTAGCCTAGTTTGACCTTTCTATAGGCACTGGTCAGTAGAAATGAACCTCTACAATAGTCTTCTCTCCTACCTTCCAGTCTTTTATCCCATCTATCAATAAGGACACTATTCTCACAGACCATGTGGACTTATCATTTTGGAAACTGCCCTTGTCCTATTGAAGGCCATGGGGCAGAGTGAGACAACAATAAGCTATATTCATGAATATTCATGGCACCAAAAATATTTTCAGATATAAGAAAGCAGATGTGGTGTCTAGTTCATAAATCTGGATTATGAAGTAAAATCTATGGCTAAGTGGGTGATATTCAAACAGCAGTAGTCATAGCATCCATGCATGAGCAAGGGGGAGAATCATTGGCATAGGTAAATTCAAGTTCAGAGGAAACTGGAGGCTGACATTGAATTCAACATGGAAACAGAGAGACAGTAGTGTATCCAATCTCAGTAGGTCCTTTTGGGTCTCTATTTTGAGAAATAATTTAATAGCATTTTTAAAGATATGGGTTCATTGTAAAAAAAATTGGAAAATATAAACAAGCATGAAGAAATCTATGGTTCTATTTCTCAGAAATAATCCTTGCTACTGATTTCAGATCTTATTATTCTAGGCTTCTTCCATGCATATTTTAATAGGTTCATCTGACACATACTGATTTTTAAATTGCCTTTTCCACTTAATGTCTTGTTAATGTCTTTTCATGTGATTAAATATTCTCCAACTGCAGTAATACTTTAATAGCTATATAATATTCCATTAAGGAACACTATGCTGCCTATGGTTGGATATTTATGTGCCTCCACAACCTAAGATGGTAATGAACTTACAGCGAGTTCTTTTTGAATACCAAAGTCTGACCATCCCCCACGCCTCACGAGACATTTTGCAGCTTTCCTAAAGCCTCTGACTCTTGCGAATTTAGTGACTCAGACTGTCCCATCGACTTCTATTTAATTTTAAGGATGTATTACACACACACCGCTCAAAAAAAAGCTCCTCAAAATAATTGCATCTACATCAATTAACATTTTTATTCTATAATTCCATAAGGGCATTTCATATATACCTCTATTTTCTTCTGCAACAACACCCTTAGAATAAATACAACACGAGAAAGTATACACACTTAAGACGCACTGCACAATTACTTCCACCTAATCCAAAGACAATTTTCATTTATCTATTGATTCACTCAAGAAATATTTATTGAGCACCTATTGTATGACTTGCAATGTGCCACATGCTGAGACAGAAATATTTCAGAATCTACATTGGGTATGTCTTGACTTCAAAGCCAAAGCCACAAGGAAAGGTTTATGTTTTTCCTATATTTTCCTCAGATATTAAGTACAGAACCAGTACTTAATTTATGTTATATAAAGATGTCACTCTACTTTTGAATGGTATGTGAACCTTTTTCAGCTTGTTGCCTGATTGATTGATAACAAGAAAATCTAACGAGTCTCTCTGGACACAAATAATTGTACCAGTCAGGGCCAAATACCCAAGGTTTTCAGCAGTTCTGTCCTTCTGTGACCCTTAGATACCAGTTATGCAAGACGCTCATCTTGATAATTGAGATGAGCAAATGAACAGTTATGTTAATAACCTTCCCATCCCTTCCCTCATGACATTTTAGGCCCTGTCCATCAAAATTCATCCAATACTTCCCTTGTGTCTCCTCATGCTAACCTATGTCCTTTTATCCCATCATTTCACTTATACTACATCTGCCCTTATTTCTCAGTTCTTCACTGGTTCAGCTCTAAACCGAAGGCTCCCCCCATTCCATCTCCCAGCCTCCAAACACCCTCCAAAACTCCTATCAGACTAAACAATGGCCTTCTCCTCCTAAGTACTTCAAAGAACACTGAAAGCTGGCCTCAAAAATCTTCCCCGACTGGTTGGAAGGAAAAGCAGCTTTCCAAAGAGTTCCATCTCAACAGCATGCCATTCCCCATGGAAAGTGTATTTGGATATAGATAGTGTTGTTACATATGTATGAGAATATGTCTTACTTATTCACCTGCCTTTTTTCAGCCTGATTGTGAGCCCCTGAAGACTGAGAACATGTTTTCTCTGTATTCTATAATGATCCCACCCCCACAGAGTCATACTGCTAAATGTTGGTGCCACCTTTCTTCAAGGCAGCGATCAGTAATTACAATATTTTTTAACTGGTCAAGTCTAACTGGGAATAGATTTTTAGAGCTGAGAGGTGACATTGCAGGTTACCTAGTCCATCGCCCTCTCTTTTTTTTAAGCTACAATTCTTATCTACCATGTGTCACACACCATGCTAAGCTCTTTAAGTGAATTATCTCATGTGATCCTCACAAAAGCTCCGAGGGTAGGAACTCTAATCATCCATATTTTTGTGTGCATACCAAAACTCTCCTCATGCTTTTTCACAATTAAGTATACACAAATGAATGAATATTAACAGCTCAGCCAGGATCAGGACTTGAGTAAGACAGAAGAAGCACCTGGGGAAGAGAATGTAAGGAGACACTCACTCTCAGGGTTGTGAAAGTGCCTCCTTCGGTTTTGCACTCTGGGTGCCTCCCTTGCTTCACTCCAGTCCCAGCCCCATCCTAAACCTTGTTGCATGTCAGCTACTGCTCTAAATATATTTATATATTTAATACTTACAACAACCCCATGAGATAAGTAATGTTAGTATCTTCTTTTACAAATGAGGAAACAGATTAAGTACTACGCTTAAAAATCTCAGAGTTAGCAGAGACAGGGATGGGATTCAAATCCAGTCATCCTGACTGGAGGTAGACATATAATTGAATGAATACCTGAATGAAGGAATAAATAAATAGAATGCTATAAAATGTTGGGAAATGCAGAAACCTTTACATTTTATATTTACTTTTTATATTTTTACTTCTAATCCACTTCACTGTTTCAGTTAATAAATAAAGCCAGTGTAGTGAAATGGAACAAGTATAGATTTTGGAGCTAGACAAGACTGGTTTTGAACAGTGCTTCTGTGTGGACTTGGGAGATCACTTACTTATCTGCTTTAACTTGCATTATCTCATTTTGTAAATTTTTATGAGTATTAGCCAAAAAGTACATAACCAGCATACAATGCCTAGAGCTGGGTGCAGTGGCTCATGCTTGTAATCCCAGCACTTTGGGAGGCTGAGACAGGGAGATTGCTTTAAGCCAACAGTTCTAGGCTAGCCTGAGCAACATAGTGAGACCCCATCTCTACAAAAAAAAAAAAAAAAAAAAATTAGCAGGGCATGGTGGCATGTGCCTGCAGTCCTAGCTATTCAGGAGGCTGAGGCAAGAGAATCACTTGAGTGCAGGACTTCAAGGCTGTAGGGAGCTTCAAGGCTGTAGTGACCACGCCACTGCACTTCAGTCTGCAAACATTTATCAAGTACTCAATGTAAGGTAACTTTTATTATTTTATCATGTATATTTTTGGGACAAAAGAATCATACTGTAGAAACTATGGCAACTAGATATAATATTCACAACTCTAATGTAAAATATGGCTACCATGGACAAATCACATATTGAAGACTCTTGTATCAGTCAGGATAGGCTAAATTATGCTGAAGTCACAAACTAAAAGCCCACTTCTCAGTGGCTTCACACAACAAAGGTTTGTTTCTTATTAACTGTACGTATCTGAAGCCAGCCATCAGGGGCTCGGCTTTAGTTACTCAGGGACTGGAGCTGACAGAGGCACTATATTGTAATAGCCGCTCCTTCTGGAACGTGCAGTAGCCTCAGTCACCAGCAGAGGGGGGTGCTAGAGGGCCTCATATTGGTAAGCACATATTAGTATTGGAAATGACATATGTCACTTCCACCCACAACCAACTGCAAAAACTAGTCAACATGCTCCCATCCAACTGTAAAGTGGTAGAGAAATGCAGTCCTCCCATGTGCTTGGAAGGAAAAAGCAATCAGACATGGTGAGAACTAGATGATTTTCCCACAGACAGGTCCCTTAGCCCATAAAGCTATCAGAAACAGTCTTAGATTATGCAAACAACTGAAGGACTATTTCCCAAGTTGGTTTATTCTCATTGTTGAAGAAATGAAGCATAGAATTGGGTTCATAATTTAGTGGGGTTTTTTTTTGGTAAGAAATGCATTTTATCCTCATGCTGACTTAGCACGGTCTGAACTGGTCAGTTCAGGTTTGGGGAACAGCCTTATATACAATCATTGCTGGAGTTGTCCTGAGTATGCCAAAATAAAAAATGCTGTCAGCTAGAAAGAAACTTTGCACAACAAAGTGTTAAATGGAATAGTACCAGGCAAAATAAGGTAATGCTCTTTTGCTGTCTAGCACCACATAAGATGCTAACTGAAAGAGTAAATAAAAACACTCAACGTGCATTTAGCTTTCATAATTTACCTTCTGCAAGGTTGATTTCTAGTATGCAGAATATGCCACATTATTTAGGCTGTAAAAAGGAGCTGCTTTACACTACCTGCCATGTACAATTATAATAATCTGTCAGACAAATATAATTAGGGAGTGTGATGTCTGTTTGAGTGTGAAGGCTTTGATTGTGTGGTATTGTCTGCTCTCCCCTGTGGCACAGCATAAACAATTGTACTCAGTGGTAACTCTCAGCCAGGACTAATGCTCAGAGTCAGGAACGCCCCATCAAATAGCACAGATGGTTGGGTTTAGGTTTGAGGTTGTTGGCTTGTTTGCGTCCACCTCCCCACACACAACCCTTTCAAGTTTTGGTCAGCAAACTTGACTAAAATAAAGCCTTCTGCAATACAATCTGGTGGGTCTCCAAGATATTGTTAACAGATCATAAAAGTGAATGGGAGACTCATGCAGAGTATGGTCAATTAACAAGTCCCAACCATTTCAATGATGAAAAACAGGCTGAGAAAACAATGCGTGGGTCACTTTAATGATTAAAAAAAATTAGGTGACACTTCGTGGATTTAAAAGATAAAGTTGTTATTATGTAGAGTAAGTTGTGATTGTAACTTGCTATTAGATTCTCACACCAGCTGGCAAAATAGAAAAGGTAACCATCATTTCAGCTTTTCATAATAGTATTTAGTAAATTAGATTGGAAGCATGTTTCATTTTAAATTAGTCAGTAGTCTTCTTGCCATTCCATCTATACTAACATGAATCAGCCTATTTTACTTAATTTTATTTTATTATTATTTTTTGAGACAAGGTCTCGCTCTGTCACCCAGGCTGGAGTGCAATGATGCAATCTCAGCTCACAGCAACCTCCACCTCCCAGGCTAAAGCAACCTTCCCACCTCAGCCTCCTGAGTAGCTGGGACCACAGATGCATGCCATCACACCTGGCTATTTTTTTGTATATTTGGTAGAGATAGGGTTTTGTCATGTTACCCAGGCTGGTCTCAAGCTCCTGGACTCAAATGATCCTGCCACCTCAGCCTCCCAAAGTGTTGGGTTACAGGTGTGAGCCATGGCTCCCAGCTGATCAGGCCATTTTAAATTTTATTGCCTAATTGATTATCTTTTTATCACTGTAACCTTCATAACCAGAGATTTTGCCGTGGGACTTCTCTACAAGAGACTCTTTTTGCTCTTTAAGAGGAGACTTACCTAGATGGTACTTAAGAGGTATCAACTTACCAAATTCTGCTGTGTTGTAATTCATGTGGTAGAGAAGTTTGGTATTATAATCCGAAACACAGCACCTAAACTAATGGTCAACCCAAAGGAACAATGAAGATTCGACACCTTGTTTTCTTTTAAATTACAAATATGTAACATTCTAATGGTATCTGGACCAACTTAGAAAGATCAACAACTTTGCATTAACAACAGAGGTTTCTTGCGTCTACAAGAGAGCATTAATATTTTCTCTCTCTCTGGACAAATGAGAAAAGAACCCCAGAGATGAATTCTTATACTTCTGGTACTTTTATCCTAGCTAGAGATGTGAAATAATTTTCTGATTGAATCCACTATTGAGAAGGAATATTATTTTTACAATATTTTGATGTTTGAGTCTGCCAATGTAGACTCTAAGGAATATAACAAACCAATAATAAAATAATGACAGATCATAAAACCTTTGCATTGGAAAGACCTCTTCCCAAGTTGAAATGATTAGTTCCTCCCTTGGATCCCACTGCACCTTGTATAGTTTTCTTTTCTGGCTATTATAAGGATATGTCTAACTCTATTGGTCTACAAATTTCCTGATGCCAGAGGTTATGTTTTACTTCTCTTTGCCTCTCTAAGGCTTAAAATAGTGCCTACGTTATCATGAATAGGTTACCATGAATAGCTGAATTGATAGATGGATAGATGAAGGAAACAAATTCTATATTGTAATAGTGGATATTTGTTGGCCCCTCCCCAGAATCCATTTCCTGCCTTCCTATCCCCACTTTTCAACAGTTCCAACTTACATTCGAAGATGCAGGTGGTTCAAGGGAAGCACTTATCATCTCCAACTCCAAGAGTCAAATATGCAACCTATGTTAAACCAATCGGCACATTCCATCCAGCTAATCAGTGATTGGCTCTGCCTTGAGCACGTGACTTGAGTAAAGGCTTGCATTCAGAGTGAATCTCAGGATTGTTTCTGGAAAGGAAGAGACAAAGATGCCCTTTGCTGTTGGCTGTAAATGTGGAAATGTGTAGCCCTGGAGGCTGATGGCAGTTATCGCAGGACCATGAGGAGAACTAGTCTTAGGATGGAGCCAACAATAAGAAAAATATAGCAGAGGCAGAAAGAAATTGGAAACCTCACTTGAAGCCAATCTTATCTTTGGACTTTTCAGTTACAAAAAAAAAATGAAGAAGAAGAAGAAGAGGAAGAGGAAATTTTCTTATGTTTTCATATCAGCATGGGTCAGATGTTCTGTTCTTTGCAAAATGATGTATCCTGATACAATTGTGAATATCATTGAGCAGATGTGATTTGAACAAACACAATGTACTTCAAAAATGTTGACAAATCCTAATCCAAAAACATATATACCATTTCTGCCAACTAGAAGTGTTGAATACCCTTAATTCCCATTTTCCACTAAAAGGAACCAGGGCTTCTTGAAGAAACAATTGATTCTAGGTTTGGATAGGAAATGTACAAGTTCAGCGTGGAACATGTGGTTATACCAAAAATCAGGAAAGTTCTCAAAAGCTGCTGTGTCAAAGATCTTAGAAGCCAACTTGAAAAGGTTCCCCAAAATGGGACAACTTGAGCATCAACAACATAATAATAATTTCCATGGCTTAAAATTAATCAAATATAAACATTCACACATTCGTAATGGTATGAGGGGAAACAAATCTCATTCATCTTAGAGAATATTATGAGAACATCTAAATAAAGAGAAACAATCAAGCACATAACCTGCTTTCTTGTATGAACTGTATCCCAGGAAGATCTAATCATTATTGAGGAAAAGTTTCTCTCTATAGACATGAAGAGAGCCCCATGTCACAAATGCTTAATGCAATAATGGATTGAGGCAATAAGCATCAGTGGCTACTAAAACCCCCCAAAATAGAAACAACTAGACATGTATGCTTCTTGATGTAAGTACACCATATCACCAGTGAAGTGTTCTTGTCAGGTAATCAAACCTGAATGAGATCAAGCTTCTAAATCTAACTACTATTTCACAGGAAATTTTAAAAGAATGCAATCAACAAAATCCAAAATGTGAAACTCTGTAGAGAAAATGACTCAATTTTCGTCAACAAATAAATTGCAAGAAACAAAAAGAAATGAGGGAGAACTTATGGATTAAAAGATTTATAAGAGACATAACAACCAAAGGTAATATGAGGACCTTACTGAAATTTGGATTTGAACAAACCAACCATTTAAAAAATGAGATAATCAGAGATATTTGGAGGCTAACTAGCTATTTGATGATATTAAGGAATTAGTATTAATTTCAATTAATACTAATGATTATTTTTATTGGATGGTGATGATTTTTTAAGGATTCTTCATATTTTATAGACTCATACAAAAGTAGTTATGGGTGCAAACGTATGGTGTCTTGGGTTTGCTTCAAAATAATACTTCGGGAATGGGGGAGAGGAGTAGTAAAGATTAAACAAGATTGGCCATGAGTTAATTGTTGAAGATGAATGATGGGTATATGAGAGTTTATTAGACTATTATCTCTACTCTTGTGCAATAGTTAAAATTTGCCATAATAAAAATTGTAAGTATATCATTCTATTATCACTGAAAATCATACATATATGCCAACCTTCCTTGTTTTTACATAAACAGGCTGCCATTCTTTGATCACATTCTAATTTAACCATGTTCTATTTCACCTGCATACCTAGCCACCATCACTGCAGTCTGCCTGCCTTCTTCCCAATGAGCATTGTCCCGCATGTGCACACTCATCCCCATGGAGGTGGTCATAGCATATCCATCATTCTCCCAGACCACACACAAAATTCATTTTCATACACATGGTTTTCTTCCATTCATTCTCTGACACCTCTGCTCTACACCCATGGCACCGATCATTCCAATTCCCATATCTCTTTTAAAAGGGACATGCTTCCTAACTCATGCAGACAGAGACATAGAGCAAGTGCTAGTTTGAAGAGTTCCAACATCCACCTTCCTGTGGGCCTCTATACATAATCTGGCTCAGTCTAAACCTCTTAAGTGAAATGCTCTCCTGGAAATAAAATCTGCTTTCTATGTTCTATTTTATTTTAAACTCAATACAAAGCAATGGTCCCCAAAGAAAAGTTATGCTGGAGTTAGGTTCACACAATTTCCCTGAAATGTAATATGAGATTTAAACACAGATGATATGACTGGTTAATAAATGTCACCATTGAGCAGCTTTGTTCACCTAATAATATCATTCAGATCATTATAAACAAATTGAAGGGGTTCTTATGTGAAACAAACACGGCAGGACTTATTCCTGAGTAACACAAGACCAAGGCAGGGCAGCCAATCCTAACGGGCAGCGAGAAGGGGCAAGGCCAGCGTGCAGCTTTGTGGTATCCCGGGAGGATTTTATTTCCAAATATAAAATTCATGCCATGCTCACAGGCAGAACCTTAGAATAGTCATAATGATCTAATGACAGTATTACCATGGAAGGCTGCTACTAATACCTTGAACTACTGCCGTTCTATACAGATCCAGGGATATGATTTCAAAGCTCATGTGGAATGAAGACTGCCCCACCTGAAAGCAATCTACCCAAGTAAAAAGAAGAAGGAAGAAAAGAAAAGGGCAGAATGCAACTGAAGCCCACAATTTGGGATATCTAGGATGGGGAGGTCAGAGTTGGTTCTTTGTGGGGTTTCTTTTATTATTGTTGTAGTTTGGGGAGGGAGTGGTATTTTATGGCAAAGAACGAGAAAATATCTCTAAATTGGACAGCATTGCCTGCCTCGGACTTTTTGAATTACCTCTGACTTAAAGATTATAAAGTGTTTATTTTTCTCTTCCAAGAAGGGAGGGCATAGTAATTTCCTCCATTACCCTCATGCTCTCCTCCCTCTGCTGTTGAGGGGACAGTTCATTGATGATAGCTCCCTTGTGCTCAGTCAACACTGATGGCAAAAAGAAAGAAAATAAACAGCATATTACCTGTGAAAGAATGGGGAGCCCCTATAAGTCCAACCTAATAAACATCCAAGGACTATTGGGCCTGTCACTTGACATTTTGATGGAAATGGCTGTTGTTGTATTTCTAGAAATCAAAGGAAACATCAGAACCTTTGCAAACAGGAAAGCTGCATAACATTTCAAATACCAGTTAAGTGCCTATATTTATAGGTAGTGTTCACTGTTTCAAATATAACCCTGCAATTCTTTTGGAGAGAGGTTCTGACAGGGCTAACAGACCTGTTTAATATATATATATATATGTATATATATATCATTTTTAAATGATGCTGAAATTTCCTTTTATTCCTTCGATAATTTGCAGTTGGAATTCATAATTTTAGCAGTATTTCTCACATATAATGCCAAATTCGGTAACACCTACTTAAAGTGCATTGTAGCATGTGTTTAAGATACATTGAGCTCTTTGCAGAAAAGGTGCTATAGAAATCTAATAAATAATAAGTAGATGATTGACAAAGGATAACATTAGGAGCTCATTTTTGAAACTTTATAAAAATACATGCATTTGGGTTAATTCTCAGCTAGACAATCTCCTTGGCAGGTAGTGTGTAAGGGATCCTACATGCCCCAGATTTTAAGGTTCTGGAATATGATGGAGAGGAAAAAAAGGTCATGGCCTGCAGAAGATAGTTCTGAGGTTACAATAGTTCTCAACAAGAATCCAGGCAGGAATCCTCCCAATTTTGGCCTTGAAAATGCATTCACTGATGTTATTTGGAATGTGAAAGAAATCCAAAATATATAGAAGGTAGAGTTATAAAGGGCGGCTGGATTCAACCACATGGCCAAATTTGAATCAGCAAACTGACATTCTCTAAGATAACACACATTATGTCCTTTAAAATTAAAAAAGAAAAACAAGAGCCAAGTATCATTACTCATTTGTTATTTTGTGAGTTGGTTCAACTCAAGAATGCATAATTTTCTGGTTCTAATGCAAACTAAGGAAGGACGAGAGCCAGATATAAACAATTTCCTCCTTCTGGAGTAAAATATATAGCTATCCAGGGATTTAATGTGATTATGAAAAGAGACCAGATGCCTTGAATCTTGGCTGCTACAGGACCTGGCTTGGCAGCCTATAGGTTGATCTCAGAGAGGTAAAGATGAGTCTAAGAGGACTACTTTAAAAATGGAAATAAAATGGTTTATAAGTAAGCAAAAGCAGGAACAAGCTTATCGTAAGCAGAGTAAGCTGATGAAGGTGCAGATAAAACTTCATCAGAAAACCTGTGTAGTATCGTTTATGCCAAAGCATGACATTTGAATCTTCACATAGGAGTATGAGTTTCCAATGCATTTGGTTTTGGGATTACATCTTGGACAAGTTCTTTCTCTTTTTTTTTTAATTTTTCTTTGGTGATTTTATTGACTACTACTACTAATATGTGCATTTTGTAGAGAAGTTTTATATATGCCAGCTAAATAAAATCCTTCATACATGTCTCCAAATGTTGGACAAATGTAGATACATTGTTTATGCCAATGTCATTTGTTATATTGAAGTTGCCCTGATCATTTAATCTCCCTGTTTATTGTGGTTGGAAGTACTTTACATACTACCATATCATCTACAATTTGATCTTATACTATTTTATTTCTTCTTCTTAAAGTGTAATATGATATATTATATGCCCCTCCCTAATGAGACTAGAGAAAGAGACAGGCAGCCATCTTGACTCCATGAGAAAATAGTTTGCAAACCAAATCAATATACCAAGGATGGAGGAGTGGAGAGAAGGAAAAAGCCTGAATCATAATTGACATTGCTGTGCTATAAACCAACCCAAGAATTGTCCCCTGTCCCCACCTCCTCTCATATAATATCATTAAATCTTTTTATTATGGAGGCTACATTTTAGTTAGGCAATCTGTTTCTTGCAGAAGAAAGCCTCAGAATTAATAAAGTAGGGTTTGAGGTTTCAAAACCCTAATCCCTGAAAGACTCTGAGCATAATATTTATGCCAACAGATTTGGAAGCTAAGGTCAAGCCAATTTGACCTAAAAGCTAATTCCTTGGGGCAAAGAAAGAGAGAGAGAGAAGAAACTAAGAAACCTAAGACATTAGTATTTCCTAAGAAGAAGGCCTGCTCCTTGCTAAACTCCTGTCCTAATCTCAGGAAGAAGAGGAAATAAGAGAAATTCCAATTACATGTGCACAGAGAGGAGACAGAAGGAGTCAAGAGAGAACAGGCCAGCATAGCTTGTGATCTGGATCAGGAAGGTGTAGCCACTTGAATGACCCATAAATGGAGACCATGCAGGAGTGAGGAGGCTCAGGTACGCCAGATTGGACAATTAGGGACCAAACATATCCCATCCCCCACCCTCATTCACATCAGTACTTCATAACCTGCCTGGAACCTACACGATCCTTAGGGAAGTGGGGGCTGGGGACAGCAGTGTAGGAAATCTGAATTGATTAAATTTGAGAACTTAAAATCGAAATTTTTGAAAAATAAGAAGAGTGTTCAGACCAGAGCTTATGGTTTGACATTTACACTTACTATTTAATTAATTAACTGCTGGTAATAATGATAGAATGCCAGTTCCTACATTCAAGAAGCTCACAGTTTAATAGAAAAGACAGGCAAGAAAACAGTCAACCATGATACATGAAGTGTTTGACAGATAAATATGCAAGATGGCAGAGTACAAAGTGGGGGTTTGGGGTTGCAACTTGAGCTAAGTTTTGAAGGGCAAAAGCAGTTAACCACAGATGGTGTGGGGAAATGCGGAGTTCTGTTTGGGTCTTGTTGCATCTGAGGAATGATTTTTGTTGTTTACAATCAGGGAATCTTGGGTGTGTCTACCTGTTAAGGGGAATGAGGCAGTAGAGAAGTGGATGATGAAAAGAGTGGCTGGAAATTATGTCCGGAGAGCTCTGAGGAGGCAGAGAGCAAAGGGACACAGATCACAGGCTCAGAGGTTGGCTTTGGCCAGAATAAGGAAGTTGAGAAAAGGCATAGATGGAATACTGCAAATACATTGTACACACCTTGAGAGTTGACAGGAAGGTAAGAGAGTTCGTGCTAGATGACCTCTATTTTATGTGAGGAGTGGAAGTATGCAGGATTTTAAGGAGGGGAGTTCTGTGGACAGATTTGTATTTTAAACATCACACACCGGGGCCTGTCGTGGGGTGGGGGGCGGGGGAGGGATAGCATTAGGAGATATACCTAATGTAAATGACGAGTTAATGGGTGCAGCAAACCAACATGGCACAGGTATACATATGTAACAAACCTGCACGTTGTGCACGTGTATCCTAGAACTTAAAGTATAATAAGAAATAAAAGTAATAAATAATAAATAAAAAATGAAACACTCTGGTAGAGAGTCAAGGAATGAATATATGAGAGAAGCTAAGAAAAGACTAAAAGCTGACAGACTTATTAAGAGATTATTGGAGTCATTCGGTGAAAAGAATCATCAAGGCCTGAATTAAGACAGTGACATTGGAAGGGAATAAGAGGGAATCCATAGATATTTCTAAGCCAAAATCATTCTAAGAAGTGATTGTTTAGTTATCAGGAATGAGGGAGAGAGAGAAAAGGAGGAGGATACCTGAGACATATTTGGTTTATCAGAAATTTGAGCAGGAACAGGGAGAAGTTTTAGGGAGAAAATAATGAGCTTAACTTTGAACACATTGAGATTTAGATAAAGATATTGACAAATTATAGATTTAGACAGGAATTGATTTAGATGTAGATATAGGCAGTTGGATTTGTGGCTCCCGAGTTCAAGAGATGAGGTTTTAGCTGGAGAAAGTGTGGAGAAATCTGTTCTCTCCAGAAGGGTGGTTGAAACAATGGGGATGTAGGTGAGATCAGCCTGTAGGAGTATGTGAAGAAAGGGGTTTTACAGCCTTTGTTTTTAATCCACTCCGTAATTCATCAATTTGTTAACCTCCTCTGTATTCAATGATTCCTAAATATCTACTCCACTTTCACACTTGGAGTCAATATTATTTCCTCTCATTTGGTGCTCCTATTGGTCAAGGGAACCTCCAAAAGCCCACACAAGCCATGGGAAGTAAGATCCACTATAAATATGTCCTATTATAATGAATTTATTTGTTATAGTTCTACTGTGAAGGCTTAAGATTACCAAATGACTATCTCCTTAGAAGTATAAAGCAAGCATAGTAAGCTAAGAGTCAGAATCCCCTTTTGTCAACTCTGACACTACTTATGGCATATTGGACAAATTTTTGCAATAGCTGGTTACTGAGGTTGATGCTCTCATTATGAATACAGTACAATGTATTGTTTTGCTCTTTAAGCAATCTTATATACACAGACATGAAATTATCAAAAATGCTTTTAATCCATTTCAGTGCATGTATTATAATACACTAAATATATTTCCTTTTTTCATCACAGAAAGTCAAAAGATCTGTTTTTCTTGTAGTATTCATAAATGACCTTAAAACTGACCCACATATAACCTACTAATTACCCTCCATGTACCTTCCAGACCCTGATTAATTGTGTTTAGCGTTTATGTGAGACTGTGACTCTACTCTGGAAATCATCTGTATAGCTTGTAATTCCCAGTGGAAAAAAAAATTGCTGTGACCTATACAGTTGGAGAAAAGAAAACACAGCTACACTTTTCCAAAAGCAGAACAAAGCAATGAAATAACATACCTTTCACTAGGGACTTGGTGTTATCTGAAACCCTATAATCCACATCCCATTCTGCTTTTTCAATAGGTTGGATGATTTCAGTGTGCGAGTCAGAGAACTAATCAATTTTGAAACAGCATCTGCAAAAATAGATAATGTTCATGTAAAGGTCAACCTAGTCATAAAACCTCATTGGTGTGAGTAAATAAACACACAGGCTTTGTATAGAGGGGTTCCCCTAAACAGAACAGCAGTGCAGGATTGGCAATGTGATACTGCATCAATACCATCAAAAGAATTTACCAAGCACCAACATGTAGAATGAACTATGTGATTAAACTGACATGGTCCCTGAACTTCTATAATGTAATTTAACTTCTGTGCTCCTAATGGAACACTTAAGAATCTAAAACTCATTGGGTCCCAAACTAAACTTTTCTCCCAAATTGCTTTTTCTCCTGTGCTTTCTATGCTAGTGAAGGAATCCATGGCATCCAAGATTTCTTTCTCTCCCTTACCCGAGTTACCAATCCATCTTTAAAGTTTATTGGCTCGACCTCCTAATTATCCCCTGAACCATTGCCTTTTGCTTCATTTCTATAGCCATCACCGTTTTCACTAAGACTATTGTAATATCAATTGCTCTGAACTCCCCTCTTCCAATGTATCCCTCACACTGTTGCTAGAGTGATTTGACCTTCAAGTCTCAGTATATTGCTCATCTGCTCAAATGCCTCCCAGTCAAAACTCTCTACCTTTTCTTTTGTGCCATTCCTACTCATCTTTTAAGGCTCTCAGATCATTCAACTATTCATTCACTCAGTAAATATTTATTAAGCACAAACTTCATGTTACACAGTGCTAGGCACTGGAAAGACAGTGATGATATAGTCCTGGTCTCACAAAATTTGCAGTGGCAAGAAAGTAAATGAAATAACAAAATGTGGCCGGGCGCGGTGGCTCACGCCTGTAATGCCGGGAGCACTTTGGAAGGCGGAGGCGGGCGGATCATGAGATCAGAAGATGGAGACCATCCTGGCTAACACAGTGAAACCCCGACAATACTAAATATATTAAAAAAAAAAAAAATTAGCCGGGCATGGTGGTGGGCGCCTGTAGTCCCAGCTACTCGGGAGGCTGAGGCAGGAGGATGATGAGAACCCAGGAGGCAGAGGTTGCAGTGAGCCGAGATCGCGCCACTGCACTCCAGCCTGGGCGACAGAGCGAGACTCTGTCTCAAAAAAAAAAAAAGGAAAAGAAAAGAAAAGAAAAAAAGAAATAACAAAGTGTGATAAATATTGTGAGGAAATAACTTTGGTAGAAACAATTTAAAAAGAACTCTGGGGACCCCAAATATTTAAGGTGTGGGTAGAGGAAGAAAGGTCTCCAGAGGAATGGAAAGTAAGGTGGGAGAGAATATGCTGCCCTGGAATGTCAAAGAAAGAGAATATTTCTGAAAACAAAAGAATAATTAAGAGTATCAAATCCTGCCAAAAGGTCAAGGAAATAAGGACTGAAGATTATCTTGGAATTTTGCAGACACTTGAACACAATTTTGGTGGAGTGGTGTCGGCCAAAGCCAGCATGAAGTGAGTTGAGGAATGAATGAGAGATAAAGGAACGGGGGTAGCAAATATAGAAATTCAGCTGTGATGGAAAGCGATTTGGTAGCTGGAAGGGAATTTAGGGTTGAGGGAGACTCCCCAGAAGGACCCATGCAATTTTTAGTGCCTTCTTAATAATATGATTATTGTCTTATATTATGTAATATTTGGCTTTCTGTTCCAGCACTAAAAGGCAGGAAACACATTATTTCATCTTTATATCTGCAACTCTTAGCACGAGTTCAGGTACAAATAAGTACTCCATAAAAATCAGTTTAAAGGCTGAATAAATTAGTGATCTGCTGTAATCCAAATTTGAAATTCATTCAATTGCCATCATCCTTGACTTGTCTCTATTTTTCCTCTTATCTGCCCTTCCTGACTAGTAGCCCCAAGGGTTACACAAGCTTTGTGTCCTTGAACTCCTGCTCTGGCCTGTGTACACTCCTTCCGTACGCCAACCCCTGGAACTTAACACATGTGCAATTGCTCCCATCACTGTTCTCCCCCATAAGTCAGCCTGTGTACTTTTCCAACTTCTCTAAGACTTTTTATACCCAGAGGTATTTGAGGACTGTTCTGAATGTTGTGTTCCAATCCTTGCTTGTTCAGATGTGGTCATGGATATGGCTAGACTCGAGCATAGATCTTTCCATGTTCCAAAAAGGCAGGCTTCTACTTTTCCCAAATAATAAGGTATTGTTTTATTATATATTCCATCAACACTTTATGCCAGATGTTTGCTTGACAAATTACAGCTCTGAATTCTTGATCCAGTGTTTTACCTGATGAAGAGACATACTTTAGATATGATTATCTACCACAAAATAATTTACCAAGAACCAGATTTGATTATTTGTATATTTACTCACTTTATATTCATTACATGTATTTTTATTTACTTTCCCAGTCTTCATTACTCCAGACTGGTTAAGGTCTTAAGGTCATAGGCTAAAGTTAAACACTCTTAACATACAGACTCCCTGCATCATGATATTTCTGCAAAAAATTAAGACAGTAGGAATTTTCTCTGGACAAAGCACTTTTAAAAATCCAAGGGGAATATTTCCTTCTTATTTGTGTGACACAACTTTTTAATGAGCAAGGCATATGCCTTCTATATTTGATAACACAAAGACAGACAATATTTCATACATAAAAATAAGATTTTATCAGAATAACCTAAGATGATCTAGATTTGGCCATTTTGTGTTAGCTAAACATGACCTGAAAGAAGAATTTTAGCTGTAATAATGTAGTGATTCTAAAATTTAAGATATTCTTTTAAAAGTTTCCTCATTCGGTTGCCTCATTGTAAGTACATTTTGCAGACAGCTCGTATTTAGAGGATGCCTCAGAAAATAATCATTGTTCAATAGGGGCTTCATCGACATTTAGCTTAATTTAGCTTCACATCTTAACATTTTTTAGCCTCCTCCAACTAATTCCATTTAGAAAGCAAACTCTCCTGTTGTGCTGGTTAGTTCCTCTGGGAAGCAGACACCATGATGGAGTCTATAATGCAAGAGATATGCCTGAGAAAGGTAAAAGGGAGATGGGCTTAAAGGTAAAAGGGAGATGGGCTTAGACTGTATTTGCATGTACTATACAAAAGGTGGAGCACATGCCAATTATCCATGTCAAAGAATTTGGAGGCAGTGAGCCAGTGAAGATTATGCAGGGGCTAAATTCTCTCCTTGGCCACCTTTGACTTAGACACAGAGTGGTTGTTCAATCAATACTGGCTCATTTGAAATTTCATCGAGCAACAGCAAAGTTAAACATTTGCAAGGTCGCACGCAGTCTCCTCTGAATTATAAAGCACTTTTTGAACATCCTCAATGTAAAGAAGGCAAACTGAGGCACAGTTCATGGGCAGAGCCAGGCAGAGCCTGGAGCTCTTGCCCTCCAACGGGCGATCCTAACCCAGCACATTCATTCCCTTCCCCTCCCCCTGCTCCAAAGCTTGATGTGTGTTGAATACACTCGGTAGTTCTCAACATGTTTTTTCCTTACAGTTCTTTATTAGCAACATTCATTTAGGTTTTGGACTCTTGTCAAATGTAATGTGAATGGAGACCAGATGCCTTTTCTGAACTCAACAGAACAAGAGGAGAGTCACAGAGCCCATCTTGCCACAATCAAAACTAGTGCTTACAACAACACCCACTGTTGGTGACAGGCTGTGTGGAACAGGGCCAGTGCTGATCTAGCAGTATATGCCAGCTCAATGAGTCAGAAAAATGTTTCAGATGTGCCAGGTTGCTCAGAAATCCCCATGAGTTCCTGGGCAGAATAATTGTTGTGTTCCCCAAGAGCAAGGAACCAAGATGATCAGAAGCAACATCCCTGGGATGGTGTGTGTCATTCGTGTCCCTAGCTGGCAGCAGAGGGCCATTGCTTTGAAAAGGGTACCGTAGACCCACATGAAGGGCTGCAAAGGCCAGGGGTAGGGTATCTGGCAGCCATTCAAAAACACAGGATGGGGGAGAAGCAATTGTGGGAAGGAATTCAAGGCAGACAAAAGGATTAACAGCAAAAAGATGCAGGGTGTAGGGGGAAGGATGATTATCGTTTGCTGTGGGTTTAGCAACACTAACATGTTTTTATGAATATTTACAAGAACATTTGGAAGCTGTGTCTTCTGCCCACACAGCCTCCACCCCCAAGCCTCTTGGTAGGAACTGCATCATATTTAATGAGGCTGGGGGTGGAAGGGGGAACCAGGTCTTCTTTCCTTCCAGGTTGCCATTACCGAGCCTAGTTGCCAAGACTCCCAGGGGCAAATATTAAGTGAAGGAACGTTCGAACAAGAGAAGCCAGGCCTAGGTTTCTCTGCTCATAATATGAAGCCTGATGGGTGATGAAGGGAAATGAGAACTGAAAGCAATGGTATCAAAAAGACATGAAAGAGATGAAGTGAGAAAGTCTCAGGAGAAAGGTCCATTTTTATGCCAGTGTTCTTGACTTCTTCAGTAGAGTAAAAGAGTTTATCAGTGTCTCTAAGTTAAATGAACTGTTAACAAAATCCGATCAATTCTCATTTCTTGTGAGTGGACTAACAGGTCAGCCTCCTGTCCCTTCTGACTCCTGCTGCCTGGCTTTAGTCCACTTCCTTCTATCACTACTTCCACCACAAGAGGCTTCTATCCTCGTTGATAGTCTAAGTTTTCAATCCCCTAAAGCATTTATCTAATTATGTATTGAGGCAGAAGAGTAGCAGTCAGGACCACAAGTTCTGGAACTACACTGCCTCCAGTCTAATCCAAGCCCCATCACTCTGGGAAAGTTACCTAGCCTCTTTATATCTCAACGTTATCATCTGTAAAAAGGAGCTGGTAACAGATAAGGGTCAGTGGATGTAAACCAAGGAAAGCATTTGGCATTCAGTAAGAGCTCAATAAGTGTTAGCATTATTATTATAGACCATCCTCAACTTTCATGCAACAAGTGTCTTGCATATGACACGTGTTTACGTACATTATAC
The DNA here is from genome assembly GCF_000001405.40 of Homo sapiens. Taxonomy (NCBI): domain Eukaryota; kingdom Metazoa; phylum Chordata; class Mammalia; order Primates; family Hominidae; genus Homo; species Homo sapiens. The sequence continues at coordinate 30,391,082 of NC_000014.9, forward strand.
ATTGATACCCCTAAAATACTGAATTGAGACTTTCAAATGTCATCTGACTCACAATAGCGTCTAGTTAATCAAGGCACTTGACTACCAGCTACTGAGAGAGAACAGGAGGTTTCATGTGTGGGAATCTCTGGCAGTATTAACCTTGGGACTGATGCAAATCAAACGTTCTGGCAGATTTGTGTTATCTCTTCAGTCATGATCAGCTATATTGTAGAAAATCATAATTACAGTTGTTTGTTTGTTTGAGACGGAGTATCCCTCTGTCACCCAGGCTGAAGTGCAGTGGCACAATCTAGGCTCACTGCAACCTCCACCTCCCGGGTTCAAGCAACTCTCCTGCCTCAGCCTCCTGAGTAGATGGGACTACAGGCACGCGCCACCATGGCCGGCTAATTTTTGTATTTTTAGTAGAGATGAGGTTTCACCATGTTGGCCAGGCTGGTCTCAAACTCCTGACCTTGTGATCCACCTGCCTTGGCCTCCCAAAGTGCTGGGATTACAGGTGTGAGCCACCGCGCCTGGCCTAATTACATTTCTTTTCTAATAAAGTTGCAGTTTGTTTGTCCTGGAGTTAATGTTCACATCTTTTTATTGTTGTTCATTTGTTTGTTTCTTTGTTTGCTTGATTTTCTATGTTCTTTTCTCTAAACCTTTCCAAACTCTTTAAAAGAAACATAAAATCCCTTTTATCAAAATCTCCACATAATCAAGTGATCAAATTCATTTCATTTAACTGAAGACAGACTTGCTGGAACTTTCCATCCTCCTGCTCTGATCTGTACTAGTGGCTGTCAGCATTCATACTGAAATTTGTTCCTAACTATCATCTAAGGGACTTCTTATCTCTCTCCGACATTGGATTCTTTATTTGTTGTATCACCTATATTTCTCTCTGGTTCATTTCTCTCCTTTACTAAGCACAGTCACAAATAGCTTCTTAGGAAAGAGTGCATTGAATGTAAGCTTTTTGAAAATTTGTATACCAAAAAAATTATTTATTCCTCTTTGACACTACAATGATAGTATGGCTGCTGGGTGAATAATTCTAGGTTGAAATAGTAATTCCTCAGACCTTTGAATTCACGTTTCCACAGTATTCCAGTCCACTGGAAGGCAGACTTCCAGTGTTGCTGTTCAAACCTCAGATGTCATTCTCACTCAACCCTTTGATATGATCTGGTTTTGTTCTTCCTGGAAGCATTTAGTGTTTAATTCTTTATTCCCAGTGTTCTGAAATTTCAGGATGATGTTCTATCATGTGAGTCTTTTTTTCTTTCATTTTGCTGGATACTTAAAGACAATTTCCAATCTTTAGACTGATGATGTTCAATTTGAAAAAAAAACTGTCTTTTTCTTTTGTAATTTCTGCCTTATTATTTTCTATGTTCTTTTTTTTCAAACTTAGATGCTGACCTCTTGGATTGAACCTCCAGGGTTTTTTTAATTTATCTCCTACTTTATCTTTTTTTGTCTCATTCTATTTTCTTGGGGATTTCTTAAATTTTGTCTTCTTAGCCTTTAATTAATTTGAAAAATATTTCTATCACATTTGTTTTGGTTTCTTTTCTTTTTTTTTTTTTTTTTTTTTTTTTTTGAGATGTAGTCTTGCTCTGTCACTCAGGCTGGAGTGCAGTGGCACTATCTTGGCTCACTGCAACCTCTGCCTCCCAGATTCAAGCGATTCTCTTGCCTCAGCCTCCTGAGTAGATGGGATTACAGGCGCCTGCAAAAATGCCCAACTAGTTTTCTGAATTTTTAGTAGAGACGGGGTTTCGCCATGTTGGCCTGGCTTATCTTGAACGCCTGACCTCAAGTGATCCACCCACCTCAGCCTCCCAAAGTGCTGGGATTACAGGCATGAGCCACCACACGAAGCCATACTTTTTTTGTTGTTGTTTGTTTTTTGTTTTTGTTTATTTTTTTTAGTTTCTAAGATTTCTTACTTCTTTTCTGATTTTTTTAAAGTATCCTCTTCTGGTTCCATCAAAAGATATTACAAAGTGTTTTATTTTGTTGTTTACATTGTCTTAATCCTTGATTCTTTTTTCTTCTGAATTCTTTAGTGAGTTAGCTAGTTAGTTCTGTTATTTTGGTCTCTGTTGGAGGCTTTCCTTAAATGTCTGGCAATCTGTCTGTCTGCAGACATTTAAGAGTGAGATAATAAAAAGCTGACTGGAAGCCCATGTTCACCAATATACTTTTCTTATCGGCAATTAAGCAGAAATCCAGACTTTTCTTTAGGAAACTCCCCAGATGTCAGTATCCATAGGTCTTTCCTAGGAGCTGGTCTCTAATCTTCTGTCAGCTAGCATTAATGGAGCTTAGTAGCAGAAGGAGGCTGAGAGGAGCTACTTATTTTCCACTGTAAGAACTTTCATTCAACCTCTCTGTTTCTAGTGGGGCCCTTACTCCTGTCTTCCACTGTGCCTGGTGCACCAAAATCCAAAGGCTCTCTTATTCAACATATCTAATAAATAAATAATATAGTCACATTACATATACATATAAACACACAAATGGGATTATACCATCCACATTACTCTTTATCTTGCTTCTTTCTTTTAACAACTTGTCAGAGATGCTTTTCTGTGTCAGTACACACAGCTCTACTTTTCACTAAGCATAACTGTTCCCCAGAGGCATCATCCTTAAAATGACAATTTGATCTGAAAATCATGTTACCTCTTTAAGGAAAAATGTCCAATCAGAAGAAAACTCATTTGCATAAAAATTAATACTTGCTGTTTAACAGACCTATCACATCAAACATGATCTGAAACAGCAATGAAAATGTGTCAGTTTGTCATCATTTATGTTCATTTATTATATTTATGTCATCATTAATATTATTTGTACTTCTATTCATATATCTCTACCACCTTCTCACTATTCCCAAATCACTACACTGTAAGAACCCAAAATTCCAAAATCTTTTCACAGAAAATCCAGTGAGTGTTCTATCCATAGGCCTCCATTTTAATCCCAATAAAGATTTTCATGTGAAGCAATAATGAAAAACTGGGGGCAAAGAGTGGGAAGATGCAGAATATATAAATGCATTTTAGGCTGCTGATCAATTGTTTAGCTAAGTAAGTTAAGAATCTCTCCATACCCCCTCCAAAAAAACTAAAAACAGAAAACAAATGTAAATTTTTCTTTAAAATATGTTACTTTTTGTATTTTTCCCCTTAGGGATTATATTGGTCAAGTCATTTGATTGCAATTGACAGAATCCACTCCCATTATGTTAAGCAAGAAATGGATATATTAAAGTATGTTAAATAACTTACAGAATTTTTGGGAAGGCTGAACAAATGGACCAGAGGCTAGTGGTCTAAAGTGAAATCATGCCAGAAAAGTGGTCTGAGAAGAAAACTGCCACCACGCCATCAATATCCCTTGTGCCACTTCCTTGTCAAGAGTTCATCCTTGCAAATACTCATGTCCCCCAAAAGCTGGATACCTCTAACACAGGCTAACAGACTGGAAGCTATTTTGTTTTGTTGCTCATTTCCGAATTGACGTCTTGCTTAGATGGTCTGTGTCCTAGATTAAAAGTGGCTGAAGATTTTTTAATAATTAAAATAATAACTATGTTTATTGAATGCTTTCTAAGTTAGACTATTGTAAGTACTTCCCAGGTATGAAATTATGAATGCAAACGTCCTCCCAGCTCTCATGTTTGCCATAAAAGTTGAAATATTCTTCCAGTCCTTTTAAGATGTTTTTCCTTTTGGTCTTTGTAATTTTTCTTCAGCTTTATTAAAATTGATAATGCAATAAACTACATATATTTGAGGTGTATTGTTTGATAAGTTTTATTATATAACTTACTGTTGATAAGAGTAGTCTCCTGTTACCTGCAAAGAACATGTTCCCAGATCTCTCGGTGGATGCTTGAAATTGTGGAATGGTACCAAACCCTACAGGTATACTGTTTTTTCCTATATTGAACATATATGTATATATAATAAAGTTTAATATACAAATAGGTACGATAAGAGATCAACAATAATGAATAATAAAATAGAGCAATTATAACACTATACTGTAGTAAAAGTTATATAAATGTGGTTTCTCTCTCAAAATACTCTAACATTTTCAAACCACAACTGAAACCATGGAAAGCAAAACCACAGATAAGGGGGGACTATTGTATACACCTATGACATCATTACCATGAAAAATCCATTTCATGGTAATGATTTATCCATTTACCTCCAAAATTTTCTTCACAACCTTTGTAATCCATTCCACCCACTTCATATTCCCCTATCTATAGTCAATCACAGATCTGTTTATTGCTCATATAGATTAATATGCATTTTCCAGAAATTTTAACAAATGGAATCATTTAGCATGTATTTTTTTGCCTGACTTCTTTTATTCAGCATAATAATTTTGAGACTAATCCATGTTGCTGCATGTATCAATAGTTCATTCATTTTTATTTCTTGATAGCATTTCATTGTATAGATGTAGCATATTGCAGTTATCTATTTATCTGTTGATGGATAATTGGATTGTTTCCAGTTTGGGGCTAATTCAAATAAAGTTCCTATGGATATCCATGGGCAGGCATATGTTTTCATTTCTTTTGGATAGATACCCATAAGTAGAAAGGCTAGGTCAAATAGTAGGTATATATTTTACTTTCTAAGTAATTGTCAAATTGTTTTCCTAAATGGCCATACCATTTCCAAATGGCCATAACATGAGCAGTCTATGAGACTTCCAGTAACTCCAAATTCTCAGCACTTAATATGGTCAGTCTTATTAATTTTAGCCATTTTATTGGGTGCTTATTATAGTTTTAATTTGCATTTCCCTAAAGACTGTGATGTTGAGCATCCTTTGTGTGTTTAATTACCATTCATATCTCTTCTTTGATGAAGCATCTGTTAGAATCATATGCCCACTTTTAATTGGATTGTTTGTCTTCCTATAATTAAGTTGTGAGATTTCTTTATATATCCTAGATACAAGTCCTTTGTCAGATGAGTGTTTTCAAATATTTTCTCCCATTGTCTCACTTGCCTTTTCAATTTCCTAAACATTGTATTTCAAAAGCAAAAGTTCTTGATTTTGATGAGGTCCCACTTACTGATTTTGCAGTTTGTGCTTTTTGTTAGTACTTATAAAATCTTTGCCAAACCCAAAGGCACTAATATTTTTTCCTATGTTTTAGTTTAGGATTTTAAAAATTTTAGCCATTAAGACTGTGATTCATTTTGAGTCAAATTTTTATGTGGTGTGAGATCAGGGTGGCAGTTCATTCTTTTGCATAGGGTTATCCAATTGTTCTAGCACCATATGTTACAAAGATTATATTTTCTTCCTTGAATTTTCTTAGCATATTTGTCAAAAATCACTTGACCAAACCTATTCGGATCTATTTGTGGACTCCTGATTCATTGAGCTGTATTTCTAACTTTGTACCAATACCACACTGCCTTGATTATTATAGCTTTATAATAATTCTTGAATCCTACAGTTAGTACTTCTACTTTGTTCTTCTTTTGCAGTGTTATTCTGGTGTGCGTGTGTGTGTGTGTGTGTGTGTGTGTGTGTGTGTGTGTGTTATTCTAAATGCTTTGCATTTCCAAGTAAATTTTAGAAATGTATATTCTAAGCTGGACGATTTGTACAAAAGCCAACTGGAATTATGATTATATTACATCTATGCATTAATTTAGGGATAAATGACATCATAATAATAAGATGTCTGATCCATGAAAACAATGCATCTCTCCATTGACTTTGGCTTTTTTTAGTTGCTTTCAATGTTTTGTAGTTTTCAGTGTATATGTCTTATGTAAATTGTCAAATTTATCCCTAAGTATTTCATATTTTCGATGTTATAAATGGCATTGTTTTTATGTTAATTTCAATTTCTGCAAGGGAAAATGGCAGTGATTTTATACATATATATATAATTAATTCTCTTCATTCTTCATCTAGTTCATCCTTAGCTCAAGTTATTGTTATGTTTCATCAGCTGAATTCTCACTACAGGTCTCTATTTTCACTTACTTATTTAAAAAATTGATGTTAAGTTGTTACTTTCTAAATATGTTGATAACTAAGCTATCAGATGAGTCATTTAATCTATTCTGATTTTGTTTGAATGTTAATACATAAGTTATGATTAATTACATATTTTATGTATAAATGTATTTTATCAATTGATTGAGTTAATTGGTAAACATACCATGCCAGTCCATTTACTTAAGTTAATCATTAGAGTTAGATGAATAGTAATGTCAGAACTAATATATGTGATAACATGAAAAAAATGAAAGGGGAAGAAATAAGTATTTATAAAATCTAATTTACTTCAAAATAATATTTTTAAAACTGTACCTGAGTAAATGGAACTACAACCTGAAACTGTGACTTCAAATAGAGTTTAGGGTCCAATTTCTTGACACTCAAACAGGTTAAAGCATTGGAGAAAATTAGTGCTTCTCCAAGGAGATAAGCCATGACAGGTTGATCGTGACTGAGCTTCTCAATGAACCAAATGCACATACAACAACTAAATGGATTTCAAAATTCTGAATTGAAATCTGTGTTGTTAATGGTTTTACTGCATAATATCCGCAGAGATGCCTTGATAGTGAGCAAATGATCAAAATCAATGTCAATATGCGAAACAGTTTAAGTCAAAATACACATGACCCAAGCCTTTTAGTAGGTAACAAGTTGTCTTAATCATTTCAAACTATACTTAAAGAAGTTATTCAAAATTCCGAGTGAATAAAACACCTTTTTTCTTTCAAAATCTTTTTTTTCAAATTAGCTTGTCAAGGCCAAAATGATATATCATTACAGACCTTCAATATGACTGCTTTTCAAACACAAAATGTCTGTTACAAATTTCAGATTTGCCTGATTAAATTAATGTGAGGTTTTTTTTTTGTAGAGAAAAATTTTTTAATAAAAGACATATTTTAAAATATAGTCACTTGCTTCATTCCAGACACCTTCTATAAAATCAACACATTTCAAAGAAAAGTATTCAATTATTATGTTTCTCAGCTCAACCAAAATGAATTTGGATTTTGATATTATAGCTGTGCTTCCCAATTATAGATTTATGAACATTTGGCCAGTTTGAAGGGTGGTCCTAGACAAAACATTCATCATAGTCACAGTGGTCCTAAAAATGGGAAAGCAATGTTCTCATCTACATTGAACATTTCTCCAACTCAACAATCACCAGGGGAATTCTGAAAACTGCATTTCCCCAGGTGTGGGGAAGATAGGAAGTAGCCTGCCCTTGTCCTAATTGGCTTTGACCAAATCAAAGCCATTACTTCTGTTGTTTCTACAACAGTGAAGTGCTTTAGGTAGTCACAGCCATTCATAAAGCAGACATTCCTATGGGATTTTTGCTGTCGTTGTCAGAAGCTTCCTTACAAAATACACAAATAGTATAAGAAAAAGACACACAATACAGGAAATCAAGAAAGAGGTGTTATGAGGAGAGAGTTAAATGGTGAAGAACATCATAACAAATAGGTTAGACAAATATAGAAATTTTACATTTAAAATTGTTTGCAATGATAGCTTGAGAGAGAGAAAATTATATGTAACCTATATGCCTTTTGTTATGCAACTTCTCATAGGCAAAGGGTGTTCACAGCAGGGCCAGGAGTTTTATAGGTTAGTAGATAAAAAGAAAATACTAAGCATTCACAATATTCCAGCCAGAGATAGTACTTGTGCTGGTTACTTTCTGTTTGGATTGCTAGATCCATTCACCGTTCTTCTCTGCCCTGCTCTGTATACCAGAAGTCTGATCCCTAAGGACTGCATTACCCAGGCTTTTCATATCACGTGCCCAACCGGGAGCTCAGGACATCAGAGTGTAGGAAAAGAGCTGGTTTAAGATCTTTCACAGCTTCAGCTCTTTCCAGTCTCTGGTAATCATCCCTGCTCTTGGCCCCTTCAAGACTGGGTGGGAATGGTAGACCTATCCTCTGCTGTGAAGTCCCTGGATGTATTATCTTTGCCTTCTGATTTCCATAACTCTGCCCACATCTCTACAAATCATCCCTTCTTCAAACTTTCTTCAGCTAAACCTTACTGAGGATGTCAACTGTTACCTGCTAGGACCCCTACCTTCGGATCACTGCTAATATTCTGTTTTAATCCCATTTAGTATTTTAAGAGTATACTTTCATTTTGAATAATGTATTATACAGTAAGCCCCTGTATTAGTCAGGGTTCTCTAGAGGGACAGGACTAACAGGATACATGTATATACAAAAGGGAGTTTAAGGAGCGTTGACTCTCACGATCACAAGGTTAAGTCCCTCAATAGGCCGTCTGCGAGCTGAGGAGCAAGGAAGCCAGTCTGAGTCCCAAAAACTCAAAAGCAGGGAAGCCAACAGTGCAGCCTTCAGTCTGTGGCCAAAGACCCTAGAGCCCCTGGCAAACCACGGTATAAGTCCAAGAGTCTAAAAGCTGAAGAACTTGGAGTCCGATGTTTGAGGGCAGGAAGTATCCAGCATCAGAGAAAGATGAAGGCCAGAGGACTCAGCAAGTCTGCTCTTTCCACCTTCTGCCTGCTTTATTCTAGTCAGGCTGGCAGCTGATTAGATGGTGCCCACCCAGACTGAGGGCGGGTCTGCCACTCCCAGTCCACTGACTCAAATGTTTATCTCCTTCACAGACATACGCAGGAACAATACTTTGCATCCTTCAATCCAATGAAGTTGACACTCAATATTAACCATCACAGCCCCCATGTTATTGAAAACTTTTTACTAACATCATGTGAAACTAATTTATTTAACCTCCTCCTGGACTATGAAAATTTGAAATAACATAAACAATGCTACAAAGAACATTTTTATGTATAAAATGTTGTTTGGATTTTTGATTCTTTCCATAAGATGAATTTCTAGAATTTAATACTGGATCAAGAGTAAAAACACATTTAAAATTCTTTATACGTACTGCCAAATTGCTTTCCAGATTGTACAGATTCACAGTTACTACTATAAGTGCTCACCATGCTACATCATTGACAGCATTGAGTATTATCATCTTCTATCTTTGCTAATTCCATGAGTGAAAAGGCATGTATCTTTTTCATTTGCATTTTTGTGTTACTTGTAAGAAGAAATTTTCTAACACTGGTTAGTATTTTTTCTTTGATTTTTTTGAATATCTTTCTTTGTTTACCTAGTACAATTTGTATGAGCTCTTCATATTTACAACTTTAATTATATTCTTCTTGTGTTATTTTTATTGCAAATATTTTCCTAGCCTATATTTTGTCTTTGAATTTTGTTAATGATTTTACTGCTTTTTAATGTGATCAAATCTATCAATAATTTGTTTCTTCCTTTTATTAAGCTTGCAAAGTTCATCTTCACTTGAAGATCAAAAATATATCCACCTATATACTTTCTGTAGCATTTTGTTTCAAAACATTTTCAAACTCACAGAAAAGTTGTAAGAATAGCTTGAATAACTCATCTATTCTTTAGCAAGATGCATTAATTTTTAACATTTTGCCACATTTGCTTTATCATCTCTCACTGTCTCATGTATATGCATGTAATTTATTTTTCTAAACTATTTGAGAGTAGATTGCTACAACATGACCCTTTGCTTCTTGATAAATGAATGTGCATTTTCTAGGACCAAGAATATTTGGTTTCAGAACAGTTTTCAAATTCAGAGAATTTAATGTTGATACCATATTTTTACCTTATCTGCAGTCTATGTTCCAATCTTTTCAAATGTTCTCATAATGCCCCTTATGTCATTTTTCCCCCTCAGGTACAGGATCCAGTTAAGATGATGTATTGTATTTAGTTGCCATGTCTCTTTGGTCTCCCTTCATCTGGAGGAATTCCTCAGCTTTTCTATATCTTTCATATCTTAATTTTTGAATAATGCAAGTGAGTTATTTCATAGAATATCCTCAATTTGAGTTTATCTGTTTCCTCAAGAGTAGATTCAGGTTACACAGTCCCAGTAATGTTTTTATCCTTCTCATGGTATCACATCTAGAAGCACACAATATTCATCTACCCTCATTGGTGATTTTAATTTTGATTACCCGGTCATGGTATTGTAAGGTCTTTCTTCTGTGTAATTAGGGATTTTTCTTTTGTAATTAGTAACAATCCATAGGAAGATACATTGAGAGCAAGCAAATATCATCTTCTTCATACTTTCCCCATAGATTTAGCATCTGTGCGTGACTTGCTCCAACCAATCTTTACTATATGATTGCAAAATGCTAATTTTCCAACTCTACTTCTCCCTCTACACTTAGTGGACAGAAAAGTCCTCTAATCTTCCATTCATTCACTCATTTATCTATTTTTATCACTATGTATTCATAGATTTCTTTTTTATTCAATGTTTATTCTATTCTTACAATTGATTTTAAATCTTTGGTCTGCTTTGTTAATTTTTAGCACAGTTGATTTTATTATTATGAAAAAGCTTTATTCTTTGAGAATTTGTGCTACTGTAATTTCAAAATATTTTCATAATTATTATTCATTTTATCTTCATTTGAACTGTCTACTGCTACATAAAAAACCCTTCCAAAATCTAGTGGCTTAACACAACAACAATTTATTATTTCTCACAATCTCACTCATTCAGCCTCAGTTAACTGTAGGAAGATCCTGGAGGGTCTCACTCACATGCCAGGGTGGTTAGCTGGGTCTCTGTCACCACAAGCTCTTGCCTGGGCCTCTCTGCATGGTGATTTCAGGGTTCTACGAGGGCAAGAGTGGAAGCTGCCAGGCTACTTGAGGTCTTGCTTGGAAGTCAAAAGTCACATAAATTCATTAGAACAAGTCACCAGACCAGCGCAGAATCAAGAGGCAAGGAGATGTATTATTCCTCCTGCTGGGAGGAGAGGCAGAGTACTTGTAGCCATCTTTAATTCACCGCAGTCCCAACAGTAATCCCCAAAATGAAGACAGCTGGTTATTATCATTTGTCTTTAACGATGAGGAAACTGAGGTACGGAGAGGTACATCAATATAGTATAAAGCAGTGTCACTTTGAAAATGGACTGCACTCCAACACCACTAATATGAAAATTCTCAGATCCCACCCCAGGCCTACTAAGTTAGTATAGAGATACTATCTCCATACTATGTTATTACTATAATAATAGAGATACTATAGAAATAGATACCATAGTATCATTCCACAATAATACAGATGCTATGCCTAGGAATAGATACCAGGAATCTGCACATTAATAAACTCTTTAGGTGACTCTTATGCACCCTAGGGTTAGAGAAGCAGTGATACCAGAACAAATGAATTGGAAGTGAGTGAAATAACACTTGTGGTCCAGCCTTGCCACCTGCTAGCAGGGTGACCCTAAGTAGATCATGTACCCTTTCAGAAGTTCAGTTTTTCTTATAGGAAAAAAAACTGCTAATAATATCTGCTTTGCCTTCTCCAGCAACCTAATATGAATATCAAGAGATGTTGCATGGAAAAGCAGGCAGTGCAATAATGATGAATATGGTAATATTGTCCAAGATTAAATAATGTATTAGTAAGAGAATTAAGACTAAAACAGCTGATTTTCTGGTCTTAAATCTCTTTAGGAGCAAACACTAACTGGGCCAGAAGCTTTTCAGCCTTTCCTAGATCTTCAGAGCTACAGCAAACCGCAATACTAATTACAAAGAGCAGGCAAGGAGTCAAGTGTGATGTGCTTTCAATGAAATAAAGAATCCCTTTTCTCTCCTCTCTTCTTCCTCTGTGGCACAGACCACTTCATTCCCTAAACAAGCTCACAGACCATCACAGCAGGGCATGGCCATCTTCCTTTTCATGGGAAAGGATTATTGAGTGGGAAGTGCTCAAGATGAGTGAGTGTTACTGGGGAGTAGGAGGTGGAGTGACAATCCTGGCCTAGATTGTGTTTTTCAAGTTTGATGCATGTCAGTGAAATGGCATCTACAGCCTGCTGAAGCTTTTGGAGAGTCAGAATTTGAGAGCTTGTGGGTGAGAAATTGCAATCTCTCCCTGATTATTCACCTCCTCCAATCTATATGTTTAATTCACCCACTCTCAATCTAATCTTCCCTGCAAGCAATTTTCTAAATTTCAAAAAGCTGGTTGCTGTCTTCTCAACTGTCTCCATCTTCCTCAAACTCAGCCTAATGTAGAAAGGAGGTTGGAAAGTTTAGATAATTCCCTCATCCTACTTAACCATAAACCTAATTTTCCAACCGAGAAAAAAGGTGATGTATCCAGGCATTAAAAAGAAGTACCACCTATTGAAAAAAAAGGCAGCATAGATTTCCTGGGTTCAAAGCCTAGCTCCAACCATCCTTTAATGACCTTTGGCACTTACTCTGTTCCTTTCCTCTTCTTTAAAATGAGAATGATGATTATAACACAGAAATATTATAAGAACAATGTAAGTTAATACATACGAAGCCCTTAGAGCAATGCCTGCCACATGAAATGACATGGAGCATTATAGATATTTCTACACCGTACTAGATTACCACAGCAACTGCCTATCTGGTCTCCCGCTTTTAATTTTTCTTTGCATCTCATCCATCCTCCTATGATGAACCTTTCTCAATCACTGTTAAGTCCTCCTTCCCCCAACTTAAATAATGTATTACCCATTGCATGCACTACAAACTCCCTGGCTTACCATTTAAGATACTCTTCTCATCAGTCCCTTTAACTCTATTCAACCACATTACCCAATATCTCTACAACGCAGTTTCTTACCCTCAGTGCTATTGAAATTTGGGGCTAGATAATTCTTTGTTGTGGAGGGGCTGTTCTGTACATCTCATCAGGGATGTTTGGCAGCATCCCTGCCTCTACCCACTAGATGCCAGGAGCAACCTTCAACTGTGACAACCAAATAAGTTTCCAGATATTGCGCAATGTCCTCTAGGAAATAAAAATCTCCACCTAGCTGAGAATCACTGCTCTACAAGACCCATCTCTATTGCTACGCTTTCCTTATCATTTCTGAAATGTGCCTGAACCGATCTCATTTAGGTTCCTTTTCTCAAATAATGTTACTTTTTTAAATTTGGCATAATATACATAACATAAAATTTACCATTTTAAGTGTACAGTTCAGCGGCATTAAGTACATTCACGTTGCTATGAAATCATCACCACCATCTATCTCCAGAACTTTTTGATCTTTCTAAACTGAACTCCTTACTCATTAAACAATAATTCCCATTCCCCCTTCTTCCAGCCCCTGGCAACCACCATGCTACTTTTTGTCTCTGTGAATTTGACTACTTTAGGTATCTCTCAGAAATAAGCATCATAGGATAGTTCTTTTCATGTCTGCTTTATTTCACCTATAATAATATCTGCAAGGCTTATCTGTATTACAAAAGGTGTCAAACTTTCATTCTTTTTTGTTATTTATTTATATTTTATTATATTTTAAGTTCTGGGATACATGGGCAGAACGTGCAGGTTTGTTACATAGCTATACACGATCCATGGTGGTTTGCTGCACCCATCAACCTGTCATCTACATTAAGTATTTCTCCTAATGCTATCCCTCCCCTATCCCCCTACACCCCAACAGGCCCCGGTATGTGATGTTCCCTCCCTGTGTCCATGTGTTCTCATTGTTCAGCTCCCACTTATGAGTGAGAACATGCGGTGTTTGGTTTTCTGTTCCTGTGTTAGTTTGCTGAGAATGATGGTTTCCAGCTTCATCCATGTCCCTGCAAATGACATGAGCTCATCCTTTTTTATGGCTGCATAATATTCCATGGTGTATATGTGCCACATTTTCTTAATCCAGTCTATCATTGATGGGCATTTGGGTTGGTTCCAAGTCTTTGTTATTGTGAACAGTGCTGCAATAAACATACGTGTGCATGTGTCTTTACAGTAGAATGATTTGTAATCCTTTAGGTATATACCCAGTAATGAGATGGCTGGGTCAAATGGTATTTCTGGCTCTAGATCCTTGAGGAATCACCACACTGTCTTCCCCAGTGGCTGAACTAATTTATACTCTCACCAACAATGTAAAAGGGTTTCTATTTCTCCACATCCTCTCCAGCATCTGTTGTTTCCTGACTTTTTAATGATCTCCATTCTAACTGGCGTGAGATGGTATCTCATTGTGGTTTTGATTTGCATTTCTCTAACGACCAGTGATGATGAGCTTTTTTTCATATTTTTTTGGCTGCATATATGTCTTCTTTTGAGAAGTGTCTGTTCATATCCTTCGCCCACTTTTTTCTTGTAAATTTGTTTAAGTTCTTTGTAGATTCTGGATATTAGCCATTTGTCAGACTGATAGATTGCAAAAATTTTCCCCCATTCTGTAGGTAGTCTGTTCACTCTGATGGTAGTTACTTTTGCTGTGCAGAAGCTCTTTAGTTTAATTAGATATCATTTGTCAATTTTGGCTTTTGTTGCCATTGCTTTTGGTGTTTTAGTCATAAAGTCTTTGCCCATGCCTATGTCCTGAATGGTATTGCCTAGGTTTTCTTCTAGGGTTTTTATGGTTTTAGGACTTACGTTTAAGTATTTAATCCATCTTGAGTTAATTTTTGTATAAGGTGTAAGGAAGGGGTCCAATTTCAGTTTTCTGCATATGACTAGCCAGTTTTCCCAACACCATTTATTAAATAGGGAATCCTTTCCTCATTGCTTGTTTTTGTCAGGTTTGTCAAAGATCAGATGGCTGTAGATGTGTGGCGTTATTTTTGAGGCCTCTGTTCTGTTCCATTGGTTTATATGTCTGTTTTGGTACCAATACCATGCTGTTTCGGCTACTGTAGCCTGGTAGTATAGTTTGAAGTCAGGTAGCGTGATGCCTCCAGCTTTGTTCTTTTGCTTAGAATTGTCTTGGCTATATGGGCTCTTTTTTTGTTCCATATGAAATTTAAAGTAGTTTTTTCTAATTCTGTGAAAAAAGTCAGTGGTAGCTTAATGGGAATAGCACTGAATCTATAAATTACTTTGGGAAATATGGCCATTTTCACAAGATTGATTCATCCCATCCATGAGCATGGAATGTTTTTCCATTTGTTTGTATCCTCTCTTATTTCCTTGAGCAGTGGTTTGTAGTTCTCCTTGAAGAGGTCCTTCACATCCCTTGTAAGTTGTATTCCTAGGTATTTTATTCTCTTTGTAGCAATTGTGAATGGGAGTTCACTCAGGATTTGGCTCTCTGTTCGTCTATTATTGATGTATAGGAATGCTTGTGATTTTTGCACATCGATTTTGTAACCTGAGATTTTGCTGAAGTCCTTATCAGCTTAAGGAGATTTGGGGCTGAGATGATGGGATTTTCGAAATATACAATTATGTCATCTGCAAACAGAGACAATTTGACTTCCTCTCTTCCTATTTGGATACCCTTCATTTCTCTCACTTGCCTGATTGCCCTAGCCAGAAGTTCTAATACTATGTTGAATAGGAGTGGTGAGAGAGAGCATCCTTGTCTTGTGCTGGTTTTCAAAGGGAATGCTTCCAGCTTTTGCCCATTCAGTATGATATTGGCTGTGGGTTTGTCATAAATAGCTCTTATTATTTTGAGATATGTTCCACCAATACCTAGTTTATTGAGAGTTTTTAGCATGAAGAGGTGTTGAATTTTATCAAAGGCCTTTTCTGCATCTACTGAGATAATCATGTGGCTATTGTTCTTGGTTCTGTTTATGTGATTGATTGTGTTTATTGATTTGTGTATGTTGAACCAGCCTTGTATCCCAGGGCTGAAGCCGACCTGATCGTGGTGGGTAAGCTTTTTGATGTGCTGCTGGATTCAGTTTGCCAGTATTTTTCTGAGGATTTTCACATAGATATTCATCAGAGATATTGGCCTGAAATTTTCTTTTTTTGTTGTGTCTCTGCCAGGTTTTGGTATCAGGATGATGCTGGCCTCATAAAATGAGTTAGGGAGGAGGCCCTCTTTTTGTATTGTTTGGAATAGTTTCAGAAGGAATGGTACCAGCTCCTCTTTGTACCTCTGGTAGAATTCAACTGTGAATCTGGTCCTGGGCTTTTTTTGGTTGGTAGGCCATTAATTACTGCCTCAATTTCAGAACTTGTTATTGGTCTATTCGGAGATTCGACTTCTTCCTGGCTTAGTCTTTGGAGCATGTATGTGTCCAGGAATTTATCCATTTCTTCTAGATTTTCTAGTTTATTTGCATGGAGGTGTTTAAAGTATTCTCTGATGGTAGTTTGTATTTCTGTGGATCAGTGGTGATATCCCCTTTATCATTTTTTATTGTGTCTATTTGATTCTTCTCTCTTTTCTTCTTTATTAGTCTGGCTAGTGGTCTATCTATTTTGTTAAACTTTTCAAAAAACCAGCTCCTGGATTCATTGGTTTTTTGAAGGGATTTTGTGTCTCTATCTCCTTCATTTCTGCTCTGATCCTAGTTATTTTTTTGTCTTCTGCTAGCTTTTGCATTTGTTTGATCTTGCTTCTCTAGTTCTTTTAATTGTGATGTTAGGGTGTCGATTTTAGATCTTTCCTGCTTTCTCTTGTGGGCATTTAGTGCTATAAATTTCCCTCTAGCTGTGTCCCAGAGATTCTGGTATGTTGTGTCTTTGCTCTCATCAGTTGCAAAGCACTTATTTATTTCTGTCTTATTTTCGTTATTTATCCAGTAGTCATTCAGGAGCAGGTTGTTCAGTTTCCATGTAGTTGTGTGGTTTTGAGTGAGTTTCTTAATCCTGAGTTCTAATTTGATTGCACTGTGGTCTGAGAAACTGTTTGTTATGATTTCCATTCTTTTGCATTTGCTAAGGAGTGTTTTACTTTCAATTATGTGGTCAATTTTAGAATAAGTGCCATGTAGTGCTGAGAAGAATGTATATTCTGTTGATTTGGGGTGAAGAGTTCTGTAGATGTCTATTAGGTCTGCTTGATCCAGAGCTGAGTTCAAGTCCTGAATATCCTTGTTAATTTTCTGTCTCATTGATCTAATATTGATGGTAGGGTGTTAAAGTCTCCCACTATTATTGTGTGGGAGTCTAAGTCTCTATGTAGGTCTCTAAGAACTTGCTTTATGAATCTGGGTACTCCTGTATTGGGTGCATATGTATTTATGATAGTTAGCTCTTTTTGTTGCATTATTCCCTTTACCATTATGTAATGCCCTTGTCTTTTTTATCTTTGTTGGTTTAAAGTCTGTTTTATCAAAGACTAGGATTGTAACTCCTCCTTTTTTTAATTGTTTTTATTTTTTGATTTCCATTTGCTTGGTAAATATTCCTCCATCCCTTTATTTCAAGCCTATGTGTGTCTTTGCACATGAGACAAGTCTCCTGAATACAGCACACTGATGGGTCTTGACTCTATCCAATTTGCCAGTCTGTGTCTTTTAACTGGGGCATTTCGCCCATTTACATTTAAGGTTGTTATTGTTATGTGTGAATTTGATCCTGTCATTATGATGCTAGCTGGTTATTTTGCCCGTTAGTTGATGCAGTTTCTTTATAGTGTTGATGGTCTTTATTTGGTATGTTTTTGCAGTGGCTGGTACCAGTTTTTCCTTTCCATATTTAGTGCTTCCTTCGGGAGCTCTTGTAAGGCAGGCCTGGTAGTGAGACAAAAATCTCTCAGCATTTGCTTGTCTGTAGAGGATTTTATTTCTCCTTCGCTTACAAAGCTTAGTTTGGCTGGATGTGAAATTCTGGGTTGAAAATTCTTTCTTTTTAAGAATGTTGAATATTGGCCCCCACTCTCTTCTGGCTTTTAGGGTTTCTGCAGAGAGATCTGCTGTTAGTCTGATGGGCTTCCCTTTGTGGGTAACCCGATCTTTCTCTCTGGGTGCCCTTAACATTTTTTCCTTCATTTCAGCCTCGGTGAATCTGATGATTATGTGTCTTGGGGTTGCTCTTCTTGAGAAGTATCTTTGTGGTGTTCTCTGTATTTCCTGAATTTGAATGTTGGCCTGTCTTGCTAGGTTGGGGAAGTTCTCCTGGATAATATCCTGAAGAGTGTTTTCCAACTTGGTTACATTCTCCCTGTCACTTTCAGGTACACCAATCAAACATAGGTTTGGTCTTTACACATAGTCCCATATTTTCTGGAGGCTCTGTTTGTTCCTTTTCATTCTTTTTTCTCTAATATTGTCTTCACGCTTTATTTCATTAAGTTGATCTTCAATCTCCAACATCCTTTCTTCTGCTTGATCGATTTGGCTACTGATACTTGTGTGTGCTTCACAAAGTTCTCATGCTGTGATTTGCAGCTCCATCAGGCCATTTATGTTCTTCTCTAAACTGGTTATTCTAGTTAGCAATTCCTCTAACCTTTTTTCAAGGTTCTTAGCTTCCTTGCTTTGGGTTAGAACATGCTCCTTTAGCTCAGAGGAATTTGTTATTACCCACCTTCTGAAGCCTTCTTCTGTCAGTTCATCAAACTCGTTTTCCATCCCTTGCTGGTGAGGAGTTGTGATCCTTTGGAGGAGAAGAGGCCTTCTGGTTTTTGGAGTTTTCAGCCTTTTTGCACTGGTTTTTCCTCATCTTTGTGGATTTAACTACCTTTGGTCTTTGATGTTGGTGACCTTTGGACGGGGTTTGTGTGGTCATCCTGTGTGTTGACATTGATGCTATTCCTTTCTGTTTGTTAGTTTTCCTTCTAACAGTCAGGCCCCTCTGCTGCAGGTCTGCTGGAGGTCCACTCCAGAACCTGTTTGCCTGGGGTATCACCAGTGGAGGCTGCAGAATAGCAGACTGCTGCCTGTTCCTTCCTCTGGAAGTTTTGTCCCAGAGGGGCATTTGCCAAATGCCAGCTGGAGCTCTCCTGTATGAGGTGTCTGTCAACCCTGGCTGGGAAGTGTCTCCCAGTCAGGAGGCACAGGGGTCAGGGACCCACTTGAGGAGGCAGTCTGTCCCTTAGCAGAACTCAAGCTCTGTGCTGGGAGATCTGCTGCTCACTTCAGCGTCACCAGGCAGGAACTTTTAAGTCTGCTGAAGCTGTGTCCGCAGCCACCCCTTCCCCCAGGTGCTCTATCCCAGGTAGAGGAAAGTTTTATCTATAAGCCCCTGACTGGGGATGCTGCCTT
Source organism: Homo sapiens (assembly GCF_000001405.40). Classification (NCBI taxonomy): domain Eukaryota; kingdom Metazoa; phylum Chordata; class Mammalia; order Primates; family Hominidae; genus Homo; species Homo sapiens. The sequence continues at coordinate 30,410,128 of NC_000014.9, forward strand.
TCTTTCAGAGATGCTCTGCTCAGAGAGGAAGAATCTAGAGAGGTAGTCTGGCTACAGTGGCTTTGCCAAGCTGTGGTGGACTCTGCCCAGTTCAAACTTCCAGGCAGCTTTGTCTACAAGGTGAAGGGAAAACCGCCTACTCAAGCCTCAGTAATGGCAGACAACCCTCCCCCAACCAAGCTCGAGTGTCCCAGGTCGACTTCAGACTTAACTGTGCTGGCAGTGAGAATTTCAAGCCAGCAGATCTTAGCTTGCTGGGCTCCATGGGCTTCAGCCCCCTTTCCAGTGGAGTGAACGATCTGTCTCACTGGCATTCCAGGCACCACTGGGGTATGAAAAAAAAAACTCCTGCAGCTAGCTCAGTGTCTGCCCAAATGGCCGCCCAGTTTTGTGCTTGAAACCCAGAGCCCTGGTGGGGTAGGCACCCAAGGGAATCTCCTGGTCTGTGGGTTGCAAAGACCATGGGAAAAGCGTGGTATCTGTGTGACAGCTACATCCCTCATGGCACAGTCCCTTACGGCTTCCCTTGGCTAGGGGAGGGAGTTCCCCAACCCCTTGCACTTCCTGGGTGAGATGATGCCCCACCCTGCTTTGGCTAGCCCTCCATGAGCTCCACCCACTGCCTAACCAGTGCCAATGAGATGAGCTGTGTACCCCAGTTGGAAATGCAGAAATCACCCACCTTCTGCATTGATCTTGCTAAGAGCTGCAGACTGGAGCTGTTCCTACTCGGCCATCTTTGATCTGGGATCCCCAGTTTCATTCCTTTTTCTTTTCTTCTTTTTTTTTTTTTTTTTTTTTTTTATGAGACAGAGTCTTGCTCTGTCACCCAGGCTGGAGTGCAGTGGTGCGATCTCAGCTCATTGCAACCTCCACCTCCCAGGTTCAAGCAATTCTCTGCCTCAGCCTCCCAAGCAGCTGGGATTACAGGTGCCTGCCACCACATAATTTTTTTATTTTTAGTAGAGACGAGGCTTCAGCAGTGCCTCTGCTTTCAGTTCTCTTAGGTATATACCCAGAAGTGAAACTGCTAGATCATAAAGTAATTCTGTTTAATTTTTTGCTGAATCATCATACTGTTTTCCACAGCAGTGGCACGATTTTACTTTCCCACTAACAATGCATTGGAATAACTTCAAGTAACTTCATACCCATTCTCACTGAGTTTTAGTTTCTGTTTTTTTAATAATAGCCATCCTAATGCATATGAAGCGATTTTGATTTGCGTTGAGATTTTGATTTGCCTTTCCCTAATGATTAGTGACTTTGAGCATCTTTTTATGTGTATATTGGCCATTTTTATATCTTCTTTAGAGAAATCTCTATCTAATTCTTTGCCTATTTTTTAATCAAGTTGCTTGGTTTTTTATTATTTGTAGGAGTTCTTTATTTATTTGGAATATTAATCCCATATAAGATACATAATCTGCAAATATTTTCTCCCATGCCATTGATTACCTCTTCACTCTGTTGGTAGGGTCTTTTGATGCACAGATGTTCAAAGTATATTGTTTTAATTTAAAAAACTAAATTAAAATTAAAATTAGATTTTAAATTAAAAACAGAGAGTCCTTGAAAGAGCTGTCCAGCCAGGTGTGGTGGCTTATACCTGTAATCTGAAAACTTTGGCAGGGCCAACGCAGGAGGATTGCTTGAGCACAGGAGTTTGAGATCAGCTTGGGAAAAATAGTGAGACCCCATCTCTACAAAAAAAAAAAAAAAAAAAAAAAAAAGCCAAAAAAAATTAGCCAGGTATGCTGGCACATGCATCTAGTCCTAGCTACATGCATGTGGGAGATATAGGTGGGAAGATGGATTAAGCCCAGGAATTTGAGGTTCCAGTGAGCTATCAACACACTGCTGCACTCCGGCCTGGTGACAGAGCAAGGTGCTATCTCTAAAAATAAAGAAAGAGCTGTCCTCAAACAAACATAAACCTGCAATATGTAATTTAGTACTACCTGCATAAAGCATATATTGATTTTCTGTTACTGCTATAATAAATTACCATAAATTTAGTGGCTTAAAACACTACAAACTTACAATCTTACAGTTCTGTAGGTCAGAGTTCTGAAATGGGTCTTTCAGGGCTAAAATTAAGGTGTCAGTGAGGCTGCATTTCTTCTGGAGGGTCTAGAGGAGAATATGTCTTCTTGCCTCTTCCAGCTCCTAGAAACCAACCATATTTCTTGGCTTATGGCCCCTTCTTCCATCTTCACAGCCAGCAGCTTTGCATTGCTCTCTGACCATTCTTCCATAGCCACATCTCCCTCAGACTCTCATCTCAGAGGAAAGGTTCTTTTAAGAATTCATTTGATGAATTTGGGCTTATTCAAATAATCCAGGATGATCTCCCCATCTCAAGGTCCTCAACTTTTCTCACACCTGCAAAGTTCCTTTTGCCATATAAAGTAACATATTCACAGGTTCCAGAGATTCAAATGTGGACATCTTGGAGACTCCATTTTTCTTCCTGCCACAAAGAGTAAAAAAAATATGAAGCATAAGTAAACCTGGAATTGGTGTTGTTATATGACTTTCTGAACACATTTTCTCTCTCTCATCTCAACTGAGCAGCATGGTAACTGCATCCTCTGGACTTGTGGATGCTAAGTGAATTTCTATAGACTCTCATGACCATCTGCTTTACTGACCAAGATATTTTATGAATTCACACTCTCTTTTCTGGTTTAGAATAATCAATATCAGAAACAGATGGGGTGAAATCTTCTGAAGTTTCTTCATAACTAAAGTTATCATAACTAAAGTTTGTCATACGTGAAACAAAGGAAGTTAGAAAAATCTAGAAAACTTTAAATGCTACCTCCAGATTAAGTTTTAGTATATACACTATAAATATATCCAGTATTCATAGAAAGTATGCTAATTACCTATATAAGTATGTAATAGATGTTCAACCAAAAGTAGACAATGGGATTCTCCCTTAAATATTAATACCCCAGAGATGCCTGGCACTAGACAATAGAGAAAGAGCCATCATATGTAATTATATAGGTTGTTTTCAGCACAAAGTGCCTAAAATCCCTCTTCTGCTCCATCCCTAATCCGTGCCCCCAGGACCATAGAGAAGACGGCGTATTAGTCCATTTTCATGCTGCTGATAAACATACCTGAGACTGGGCAATTAAAAAAAAAAAGAGGTTTAATTGGACTTGCATTTCCACGTGGCTGGTGAATCCTCACAATCATGGCAGAAAGCAAGGAGGAGCAAGTCACGTCTTACATGGATGGCAGTAGGCAAAGAGAGAGCTTGTATAGGGAAACTCCCCCTTATAATACCGTCAGATCTTGTGAGACTTATCTGCTATCACGAGAACAGCACGGGAAAGACCTGCCCCCATGATTCAGTTACCTCCCACTGGGTCCCTCCCACAACACATGAGAATTCTGGGAGCTACAAGATGAGATTTGGGTGGGGACACAGAGCCAAACCATATCAGATGGATAACCTTTTTCCTGGTTTTCACAAAGCTTTTTTTTTTTTTTTTTTTTTTTTTTTTTGAGACGGAGTCTCGCTCTGTCACCCAGGCTGGAGTGCAGTGGCGGGATCTCGGCTCACTGCAAGCTCCGCCTCCCGGGTTCACGCCATTCTCCTGCCTCAGCCTCCCAAGTAGCTGGGACTACAGGCGCCCGCCACTACGCCCGGCTAATTTTTTGTATTTTTAGTAGAGACGGGGTTTCACCGTTTTAGCCGGGATGGTCTCGATCTCCTGACCTCGTGATCCGCCCGCCTCGGCCTCCCAAAGTGCTGGGATTACAGGCGTGAGCCACCGTGCCCGGCCTTCACAAAGCTTTTGTATAAGCTATTGGTGGCCTGACTTGGAGGACATTGGGTAAGAAAGGAGAAACACCCTTAGCAGCTCCTTACTGGGACACACAGTTAGCCATCTTCAGGACCCTAAGAGAGGCTCAACATACACTTTCCAAAGTATTCTAGTTCACGGCCAGCAGAGTATGGAGTAGCCAACAGTGATATATAACTCCTATCCCTAGATATATAGCTGAAATATTCTGTGCAGAGTCAAGCTCACAGTCTCCATATGTAGACATCAGTCTTTCACGGCCTCCACCTTAGCTTCTATCATCCCATTCTATATCCATTTTGGCCAGGTCTACCATGAACTGTTCATTTTAATTCAATGGTCCCTTTACCAACCAATACAGATAGAGCACCAGATATAGCTGCTTTCTGAGAGAAAACATCAGCTTATCTAAAATAGGCCCCAAAAGTGACAAGGGGATCCACCAAAGTAAACCCCACTTACATAAGGCCAATCACTTTTAAGCTTCTCATTTTATCAAAATATATTTGACTAATCTCAACATCAGTCAGTTTAGAACTACAGGCTAGCCACTAAGTCAGGGGACATAGGTTAAGAAATGACTGGTTAATAGTAAAATACATATAAAATAATGTTATTATGTTTCCAGACTTTATTGTTACCCTGTACACAAGCAGAGAGGTAGTGAGGTGGGGTGGGGGAGGAAACAATGAGTCAGAGAGAGAGAAAGATGCATTAGAAACCACCCAGCATAACCTCATATACAAAGATAAAATTCATCATCATCGAAAGAATTCTCTGAGATGCTTTTTGTTAAGAGCCCACAATTTGCTTTTTCCCATGCAAAAATGTACTATTCAAACACTGACAAACAATATCTAAGAATCCCAAGTGGAGATAATGCTATACCATTGGCTTGTCATTCATTTTAAGGACTTTTTATTGTAGAATAGGGAAGAGCTGATAGAAATGATATGGTTCTGTAGAAATAAATATTTTAGTAAAATCACACACATTTCTGCAGATCCATACATTGAATGTCTGTTTCTTTTAGAAAATCAAATACAAATGAATGTTGTTGGAAAGAAATGTATTGGAATTCCTTTTCAAAATCTTTCTTTTCCTTTTGTATACATCTTAGAAGAAATGAAATGCAATCCTTTACAGAGGCAGTGAAGTGAGAGCCTGTCTAATGACTCCAGGATTTTGAGTAAAAGTACACTGTAGCACAATATTCACAACGAACAAATAAAGATGCAGTTTGCAGTCTGCCTGGTTAAGATTTCCAGGCTCGTGTGCAGCCTCTCCCCAGTGTGCGTGGTCATATCTCTAAGCACAGCAGATTTCCTACCCATGTCCTGAGTTTTCTGACCTTCAGTCCTTTGGACAGACTTCCCACTGTCTGTAATCCCCATTTCCCCTTATCAACCTGACAAACTCCCATTTATCAATTAAGGCCCAGCTGACATGCCATTTCTCATTAGTTGCCCTGACCTTTTTTCTGCCTTTTCCTCTACTGTGACTGCAGAATTATTAACTTAGCATTTGTGTTTCCAAGCACTTATATTATGTGTGCTTCTATTACAGCAACTATCACAATGCGTTCTTACTTGTGAATGTGTACATATGCCATCCACCTCTAGGCCTAGCTTCTTCAGGAAACTTTATTCCTCATTTTTCCAGTACCCAGAGGCTAGCACGTTACATGACATAGTTTGGTGAATAGAATTCAATAGAGGAAACGTATAATAAATGAACTTTCTTTTCCCTGAGATGATATCTGTCCCAGAGAATATAGAAATATCTTTACAAGACCAATAATGAGCTTAATGGTACTTAATATCAATTATGTTCAATCTTCAATTTCAGAAATAGCTTCAGTTAGGGTTTTTTTAAACCAATGGCAGTTAAACGAAGATATTAAAGGAAATCTTATTGCAGCAATTGCTCAAGTTGAAACAGGTTTGAGAACAAATCCAATTTAAATACATGCCATTTACTTCTATTTACCTATAGGATGTTTAAAATGGAACACTTTGGGACAGAATTATAAAAGTCTCCATCTTCAATTGTGAGTTGTGATGAAGTCTTTTTTACAGCTTTTCAAACATTATACTGTGGTTGGTTATTCAAAAGTTCAAATTATCACAGATTGTTCCACAGTCATAGATTGCTAACTATAACACTTATTTAAATGAACCTATCCTCTATGGAAAGCCCTGATTCCAAAGGATTAGCTGTTGACTTCCACAAAATGGCACAAATTAGGACAATTTTCCTAGGCCCTCTCTGTACAATTTCATGCTCTTGTAATGATGGCCAGCAACTCAGGGCACCAGCTGATGAAAAGAGGTGTACCTCCTCCAACTGGGGTTTTTTAAACACCTGTGGCTGCAAAGATTTTTAAAATCTTAATACCCAGCTAGTGATGTTATGGAGAAATTAGCATTTTCATAACATTTTGATGAGTTTTGGTAGACCAAAAAAATAACTAGTTTGGAGAGCCACGCCAAGAATATATATCAAGGCCTTTTTTTTTTTTTTTTTTTTTGAGATGGAGTCTCGCTCTGTCGCCCAGGCCGGAGTGTAGTGGTGCGATCTCGACTCACTGCAAGCTCCACCTCCCGGGTTCATGCCATTCTCCTGCCTCAGCCTCCCGAGTAGCTGGGACTACAGGTGCCCGCCACCACGCCTGGCTAATTTTTTGTATTTTTAGTGGAGACAGGGTTTCACCGTGTTAGCCAGGATGGTCTCGATCTCCTGACCTCGTGATTCGGCCGCCTCGGCCTCCCAAAGTGCTGGGATTACAGGCATGAGCCACCGTGCCCGGCCTATATCAAGGACTTTTTAAATGTTCAGATGCTTTCTACTGAATTTTATCCCTAAAACTCTCCCATAAAGATCTCAATGATGCCAGACGCAGTGGCTCATGCCTGTAATCCCAGCATTTTGGAAGGCTGAGGCAAGAGGATTGCTTGAGGCCAGAAGTTTTAGACCAGCCTGGTCAACATAATGAGACCTCGTCTCTACAAAAAAAAAAAAAATTTAATTAGCCAAGCATGATGGCACGCACCTGTAGTCCCAGCTACTCAGTAGGCTGAGGTGAGAGGATTACTTGAGATCAGAAATTTGAGGCTACAGTGAGCTATGATCACACCACTGCACTCCAGCCTGGGTAACAGATTGAGACCCTATCTATAAAGAGAGAAAAATAAAAAATGAAAGGATCTCAATGGTGATGTTTCCAGGTGCTCTCTGAGTCCTTGCTGCATGTAACACTTATTTCTTTGTGCCATTTGTTTTCTGAGAGCAAGTTCATCTTCCATTTACCCAAAAGATCTCAAAGCAGTGCCTATTATTTATGCGGTTGTCATGGCTGCTTTTCTGCTGGAGTCAGTTTTTCTCTCACTTGAATGGTTATGCAAGAATATTAGTCATTATTTGAATAACTTGGTCATATTTTCTTGCATTTATAGAATAACATATTCTGCTCTGTATCATTTGTAGCAGCAAACATAAAACCAGGTTTGATTTCAGAACAAATCCAATTGAGTTGTTCAGCTGATGGCATTTGGGGGAAAAGAAAAAAACTAGACTTGGAAACTGTCCCTCTGTTTTTAAATTGTTTAACCCTTTATCAAAGGAAATCTTACACATATGTGAAAACAAATACTTGTCTTAAAAAGCAGAGCATATGTGATGGGAGAAGAAGTCAAGAGCACTAGATACCATGATGGTCCCACCTCATTCCCTCCCCTGCTGCCTGGCCTCCTCTGAACACAATATGAAAAACACTGTCCCATTGTCTGTAAGTTCTTTTTTTTTTTTTTTTTTTTGTGACAGAGTCTCACTCTGTTGCCCAGGCTGGAGTGCAGTGGTGCAATCTTGGCTCACTGCAATGTCCACCTCCCGGGTTCAAATGATTCTCCTGCCTCATGTCTGCAAGTTCTTGATTGAGAGTTGAAACATTCTGGTTTTGGTTCTCTATATTTGAGTACAGAGAACTTTCATCTCAAACAGCACTTCTTGTATAGAGACCAAGAAGAATGCATAAATGGACACATTCAAGTATGTATTGCTTTTATTTCCCATTATTTGAGTTCTTAAACAAAAATGCTATTTTCCCTGATGCATAGTTTCACTCTCTCCAGCAGTTTGGGTCTTCTGAAATGCTTGCTCCCCTTTCCATGTTATGAGAAAAAAAGAACAGAGCAGGGCAAAGATTTCTGTGGTCAGAAGACCAGTATGGCAGTCCTGGTTTTGCTTTTATCACCATGTGACCTTTACTGAACATTCACCTCCTGGTGTGTTAAATGAAACTAGCAATATTTACCTCACAGAGTTGACATTTGCATTTGATTAAACGAAATAACACAGAAAGTGCTACATAGAAGTCCATTTCTGCTGTCAACAGTGATCTTAGAGTTGGAGAATTTTGCTGCAGGTGTAAAAGATGCAAGACAATCCCTAACAGCCATTGTTTTTACCACCATGGACTGATTCTCTTTCTTTTAAAAGACAAAATATCTAGCATTATCCCTTCCTAATTTTCTGGAGGAGGGAGGGGGTTAGCTTTCCTAAGAGCCCAGGGCTTGTTCAGGACCCCTAAAACTGTTTACCAAATGCACCCCCCAACGTGCCTGAAGTCAAATTGTGAAGTGGCATTGGTCGCTCAAGTGTCCCATCATCCTTAGGACATTTACCCAACCTCAAATCGCCACCTCCTTTTCCCAACACATACACACGGGAAAGCTTACCTATGTTTGATCTCATCTCCTCAGGAGCCCTCTTAGCGCAGCCAGCAGGGCGTGAGTCTCGTAATCTGAAGGTCCTGATCTCATCTCCTCAGGATACCCTTAAGTTGTCTAAATTAATGAAGAACCTGTGGGTTAAAAAGTGGTTCATGTATACATTTCACTATTGCCCTCTTGTCATTCCTATCTTCAGATCAACGTTCCTCATTATCAGGTCACTTACCTACTCAAAAGCCTTCCATTTCCTCCTGTTTTAATTCTAATTCTGATGCCCTTGAGATCCTGGCACAATCCTAACCACACAAAGTTATTTTCCACCACTTCTGTTGGGTTCCTGCCATTCAAGTCTTCAACTACCAATGTGACAAGGCCCTGGGATGATCTCTCTGCTTCTATCCACTCCCTAAAATTATTCCCTCCCTCAAGGCCTAATCCTCAGACACTGAAACCTTCCTCCTACTCCAGGCCTGCAAGACCTCTCCTCCCCAAACTTTCTACAACTCTTGGAAATGAGAACACATAGTTTAGTTATTAATTAACTACTGCCTTATCTTTGTTGTTTTGTTTTAGTGTCTCTTATCTGCCTTCTTTCTCCATCTACATTACAAACTCTTTAAAACAGGAGTAATCCATGTTTGTGTCTCTCATCCTTCCTAGCACATGGTAGAAAATGTTGGTGGCCTGTGTGGCTTACCTTGCATGGTATTTCATTGTAAAAGTCATAGTAACCACACCAATGGAGGAAATTGCAAGCCAGGAGGAATGCTTGGGGGAAAGACAAGTTGGCCCTCTGCGTTCTCCATGCATGCTATGTTCTCTTCTTTCCGCATAGAGATCAGACCTGGACACAAGCTCACATTTTTTGGCTCTAAGAATCACTATGAATTAACTCACTGCTACGTCTCACTAGAAGTTCCCTGGAAGAGGTAAGATTTGCTTGATTGATATACAATAGAGATTCAGCTATCTAGAATACACGGGTAACAAATGAGACTCCATAGTTACATTTCCAGGTAAACAACAATTTACTCCTAAATTTAAAGCATCATCATCTTTTATATTTTAACCATTTGAGGAAATGTGTGCTACATTCTAAAATGTGTAATATATTTCCCTGTTTTCTCAAACAGGCTAACAGCAGCTTGATTTAATAACAGAACAAAAGCTCTCAAATTTTTCCTGACAACTTCTCCTACCAGCAGAAAAGGGTAAACATCTGTCTCCGAGGGAAGAGTCACGAAATGCCCCACTTTTATCTTAAAATATTATCTAAATTTTGTATTTAATACTAGATCTTTGCTTGTTGAAAAGTGAAGTCAATAATTTAAATCAATGGTTCCCTAATATTAGTTCAAAGTGAAACTTTGCCAAATGACCTCTTTTAGGAGGTTTACATCCTTCTTATTTAGTTAATATTTTAAAAAGCCTTCCATTATCAAATGATGTTGACAGATGCCCTTAATTGACAAAAAAAAAAAGAGTTCCTCCCTTTTTAGTTTACTAGTACTTAAAAGAAAGAAAAAAACAGGACCTGCTATTCCAGTTTATAATAAAGCTGGAAAAAAAAGACATTTCAGAAAGGTGTTCACATGAGTCCCACATTTTCTATACCCCTAGCATGCTGCCTTATGCCCCAAGAGTATGCATCTTTATGAACCTCAGCTTTGGGGTTTGCTCTCAGGACCTCCAGAAGTAGGCAGGTTCCTGGCTCCACACTGAAAATCCCAGACCGTTATACGTGTCAGGTTTTCCCACTTTCCATCAAGTCATAGGCTGTCTGTATCTCCTTTCATGTGCCTGCTGGAACAGACTTTATCTCACTTTTACATTTTTATGATGAGGAAACCAGCTAGGAAAGATTTTATATTGAATGTAAGGATTAGAATAAGTATTCCTGAGTGTCTGAAGAATTCTCCTAGGAATAAATATAAGAGCATTAGTGTGTGAACATCGTATCTATTTGGTCCACTTGTTATAGCTACAGTCCTCTCTTCTGTATTCTTGGCTACACTACAGATTAGTAAGGTTCCTGGCAGCTAAATTTTGACTTGATGAATTATTACTGAACTTAAGCAATAGTATAAACAACAAATTTCCCACTTGAATTAAGAAATAGTACTTCATAGGAAAAGGCTGTGTAAAAAAAATCAGCCCCAAAACTCAGTGGCATGCAACAATAAACATCTATTCCAATGCTCATAGATCTGCAAGTCAGCTGGGACTCAACTCATCTAAGCTAGGCTCTGTAGGCAACTTTGCTTCAGATTGAGGATCTGACTGGGCACGACTCTGCTGCAGATTGGGCTCAGGTCTGTTCCATGTGTGTTCATTCTGAGATCCAGGCTGAAAGGGTAGCAGGTACCTGGGGAAACTCTTCTCATGGTGATGTCTAACAGGGCAAGCCCATCTACTTAAGCACATTTCAGTCCTCTGCTAAGGTATGTCTGCTAACATCTCGTTGGCCAAAGCAAGTCTCATGCCAAACCCCCAAAGTCAAAGGATAGGAAAGTATTCTTCACCCACCATGAGGCCATGGCAAAGGTATGGATGTATAATCTCCCTGCAGGAGAGTGAAGAATAGTGAGAAATTCAATCTATCACAGGCTGGATAACTTCTGACCACAGCCACTAATCATAATGGACTTTCTAGAAAAAAGAAAAAACAAGTTTTAAGGCAACTTCTGAAAGTGGAAGGGAGATACCTTGTTGGATATAAAGTGAAAGCTTTCAATTATGATATGCTGAATAAAGGACATTATGAAGGAAATGGAAAGTCATGCTTCCTAATATGGCAGTTGCATTAGGATGCATGTAAAACTGAGTTTGCTATAGGCTGGTTTTATAAGTGATAATTGATTGCAAATTATATTGACAGTTATTGAACATAATTATTCACCACAGGAACCATCCTTAATCAATTAATCAGGGCACAATTCAACTTCACTTCTTGCATGTGGGAACAACCAATTTTTTTTCTTTTTTGCTTTTTTTTCTTTACCTACTTTGTTTGCTGTTGAAACATTTTAACAAATTAATTAGATGCTAATTCTCAGCAATAAATGAAACCCTTAAGGTGCTCAAATTGTAAACTCCACAATAAAACCTGTTTATTCTCAAAGATGTGCCTCAGATTCTGAATAAACACAGATCTCTTCCAGGGGTTGCATTCAAGGAATGGGTCCAAGTTTCTCACTGTCATCAGCCAGGAGAGATATCTCCAAGGACATACTACAGGCCTATCTCTGTTTTATTCAAATTTTAACCAAATACTTAAAAAAATACACTGAAACCAGGCTTTCTGAGTTTTCAACTGACTCAAAGATGGAAAGGATAGATAGCATATTAGACACAGACTTCAACTTCTGAACAGGCAGAATGATACACAGAAGCTTACAAGGTAAAAGTCAATACGGAGAAAACTAATGCCGTGTTTTCAGTAGTGTTGCAAAGTCAAAGCCTCCAAACAGGATGGAGGAGATAAAAAGAGAGCCACTCACATTAAAAAAAAATCTAGCTGTTTCAGTTAACATCAAATAATAGAAATCAGCAGGGAAATGTAACTTCAAAAGCACTGTTGAATACGTGGACTGCATGCATATCAATAGCGCTCAAAATAAGAAATGTAATAGTCTCATTGTCTTCTGACCTGGTCAGACTCCAGGGAGAGTATCAGATTTAGTTACCAGTGTTATTGTTTACAAAGGAAATTAAAATACAGAACTGTATATACAGGGGTCTGAGATTAGGGTAGAGAAGAGTTTCAACACCAGATTATATGAAGAATGATGGAAGAAAAAGAAGATACATTGCATGAGCAAGGGAGAAGTCAGGAGAGACACGAGAGTTGTCTCTAAATAGTTATAGCATTGGTCTGACGGAGAGGGATGAAAATAGATTCTGAGCAGCAATCTCAAAAATCTGAGAAAGTCTTCATTGACAAAACCTTCAGGAAGGCAGCTTTCAGCTCAGTATGAATCTTAGAGGTCTCCTACCCAATCTCTTTGTCTCATGGAAGTGGCCCTCTTTTATAAGCACTCTGTGACCTAAGGCCCATGTCAGCCCCACAAGTCTCAAGATTCTGTACAGGAAGAACAGATGTGTCAAATTTGTTATTACACTGAATTTTTAAAGTTCTTTCCTCTATTGAAAAATCAAGTACATCTTTGCAAAATAAAAATAGAATTTTATTATAGCAGTACAAACATTTTATGCTATTCTTTATAGTTTCAAAACTATGAATATCCAATCAAACTTCATAATTGCTTTCATAAATGCCTAATTAAACTATAAATATTATTAAATATATCCATGTACAATAAGAAATGGAAACATCTGGATGAAAAATGGAAAATTTAGACAAGCAGCTGGATATTTTACCTACACAATGCTAGACACCAAGACATTCAGAAACATCAAATGGCTGATAGAATTTTGGCATTTCATCTGGATATTCAACTCTATCTTCAGCTTTATTTCAAATTATTTCTTAGAGTCTCAGCTTCTCTATTTTTTAATGGGAATATTTTATACACTCCTCCTACTGAATAGCATTATCCAGTCACAGATAAAACACTGTTTCTCTTCCTCTGCCAGCTCCCCCTACTCTGATCCCACCCTCCTTCACTTTACTATTCTACAGGGATACCAGAAATGCAGAAAGAATCAAGACGGGGCTTTGGGGATCCCCCCCCCTTCCTGCAGCCTCCTCTTACAGGCCATGTTGACTGCCAGAAAGTCCAACATGACTCTCCAATCTGGCTTTGGATGTTCTTCAACCCCTCACCACCCTGGCCCCCACTCGTGTTTCCATCTTAAATACCAGTGATTCATTTCCAATTCCATATCCTCTCTGACCTCAGTTTCCAAGGCACCATCTCCTTTGATATGCCTGATGGCCCACGCCTTCACGATGCCTGCAGTCAAAACAATATGATGAAAATACTAATTCCAACTTAATCAGCACTACATTAAATTCAAATATTGCTGTAAGTGGTCGACATGAATTAACTCATTTAATCTTCACAACAATCCTACAAGCAGGTACTGTTAATATGCCCATTTTGCATACATGGAAATTGAGGCAAGGTATTTAATAACTTGCCCAAATTCTCATAGACATAGCACCCCAGACCTCCAATACAAATTCTGGTTTTCTCACTTTGGAGCTTCTCTCTTAGCCACTACACTATACTGCCTGTCCCGTCAGTCTACTCTAATTTGTAAACTTTTTGCCAAAATTAGTGTTCTCAAACTCAAAGAAGATGGTTATAATGGATTATTCCCATGTTTGAAGCAGTATCTGAAACTCTGTCTCTTTCTAGAAGCCTACATATATTTGGTACATGGAAGATGACATTTTTTTCCTAAGAAATTCCAACAACTGCCTTCCAAGGATAAAAATACTTGTCCCTTATTTGTTCTCCTTGCTCTCCGAACAATATAAATGCAGCAGGTAATCTTGTACCATTTAAATATTTTACTTGTTTTATAAAGGTTAATCCACATGAATAAAATATCTCAGTTAGTCAGTCATTCATTTGACAAGTATTTACCAAACTGTTCTAGGCACTGATAAGACAAAAATCTCTACCCTCACGGAGCTGGCATTCTTGTAGGGAAGACATAATAAGCAAGATAAATATATAAATGATACAGTATGTTAAGTGATGACACATGCGAATGAGAATATAAAGTAAAGAAGAAAGAGATGCAATGCCAGAAAGGGAGTGAAACTTTAGATGCCAAATCCAGGGAGAGCATCGCAGAGAACATGACTTTTGAGTGAGACCTGTAGGAGGGAGGGCCTGGCCATGAAGCTGTGGAGGAGAGGAGCATTCAAGGCAGAAGGGACAGCCTGCATTTGGAATGGGTCCGGCATGTTCCACAAACACCAGGAAGTCAGTGTGGGCAGAGAAGAGAAAATGAGGCAGGGGTGGGGAGGGAGATGAAGGCGAGAAGGAGGGAAACAGAAGATAAAGGCATAAAGGCAAGGAAGAAAATAGGGAGGGGGATCTAGAACATGAAGAATCTTTTAGGCCATTATAAAGAGTTTGGCTTTCAAGAGTGGGCTGGGAAGCTACCGGAGGGTTTTGAGTCTAGGAGTGGCAAGATCTGACTTATGCTTAAGCGGGATCCTCCGACCGATGTTGAGAACAGACAGCAGCAGGGCAGGAGGAGAAAAGGGGCCAGGGAGGAGGTTAGCACAATGATTCAGGTGAAAGATGAGGGTAGCTTGGACTAGGTGGTAGCAATAGGAGAGATAAGAATTGATAGAATTCTATTTTGAAAATAGAACTGACAGAATTTGCTGACAGATGCGGGGCATGAAAGAAAAAGTGGAGTCAAGAAAGACAATGAGATTTTTGGTCTGAACAAATAGAAGAGGATTGATTAAAAACTCCTTGGAGAGAGAATCAGCCACATGTATTCACTTAATACATAATGAATATAAATTTTAAAATAGTAAAATGAATTGAAATTCCTCCAGAAACTGTTAAGTATGTGTAAAGAAAAGTAGAATAATATGAAGGTGTGTTATTAAAATATAGGATTCTTCTCCATTTAAATATGACATTGATGGTCCTATGTAACCAGTAAATAAAAAGAAAGGCTTAATTTTTTCCACGGTGATGTTCAGATAGCAGATACTAAACACAGCATTAAATATTTGCCAGAAAATCTGATAGTCAGATTTTGATATTTATTAAAGACTTTCCATATTGAGTTTAATTAAGGATTTGATTATGAATTCTACCTTGAAGGCATGATTACTACTTATCTCTTCACTCTTGGGCCAAAGAGAATTACAGATGCTGAATATCTCTCCATTGCATCCATGAAATAGTCATTAGTTTGAAAAGACATCTCTTTTCTCAGTGCTGAAAATTGCCTAGAGAAATTTAATTCATTCATCTTTTATGGTACTCTTGTAAGGAATACTGGATGTATTTTTAATATCAGAGCCAAGAAAATAAATGAATCATCCTAACTAATTTCCTGATAAATATACAATTGTCTTTTATTACCCTTTTATTATCACATATTAGTCTTTTATTCCTGTTAATACTGTGAAATATGGCAGGGAAATAATGCTGCTTTTTAGAGAGTGTGTATAAAATTCACCACTCACTTTCATTACGTAACTTGGCATCTTCTGTTCCTAGCTTTCCCATTTCCAGTGTGTCAATGGAAAAACCTCACCATGGATGGAGAGACTCACTCTTTAAGTAACCTTATTGTTAGCTAAATATCTTGCTATCGTAAAAAGATGAAGGGTTATGGCAGCCCATTTTAGCTCTTGGAAACTTTTGAAACACACTATTAAATGCATGAAGAGTCACATGGCTATTCAGCAAAGAAGGAACTTCTGGGACATAGCTGGTGTCTCTTCCCTAATGGGATCCAGTCAAAAGGCTAGAATATCATAAACTGGCAACCAATGGCAGGCCCACAATCCCTCAAAAAGTAATGGTTCACTGCCAGAAGATAAAGTATGCATCCCCAACACTCAGATTGCCAACTATTTCTCAGGGTTTGGTTCCCTGGCCTGGGACTCTGCCTTTGATTCCCCAGTCTGGGACTCTGCCTGAGGAGGTGGCATGGTGCGGGGTCCCTTCTCAGTGACCTAGGGCTCTGGTTTTCTTTCTAGCTCCCAGCCCAAAGAAAGCCTTTATTTTCCCCCTTTGTCATGGGAGTATGGGTGAGTGGGGAAGCACAGAGCCTGGCTTCATAAATATCTTTCATATCCATCATTGATACAGTGGTTTGATCTTGAGTTAATTTGGCTTCGATGTGGCCTCCCCAGCTGTAATTTATCTCTATTCCTCCTCCAGCACATCAAGCAACTGTACAACTTCTCACTTGATTCATCCATCACCAGTGTCAAAATATAACATAGAAGTTTTTCTTTCTAGTTAAAATATAAAAATATGAAAGGAAGGCTATTTTCTCTGATCTTTCTCTGACATGATCCTGTCAGAATCTTCAGGTTCTCTCTTCTCTTCTCTATACTTGTCCATGGGTTAAGTGTCATTTATTAGTGATATATCCCCTTTGTTTTAGACAATGTCAGTCATGACTGTAACCATAGGTAACCTGTTTCTCCAGAACTATAGCCTAGTTTTAATCTTCACTCCTTTCTCAGTAATCCTGCTGGGAGCTATCACATATTCAGATAGCTTTTGCAATCTCTACATTGCAGTTGGTTTCTATAACATTCCTTTCAAAAAGACAGCCTCATCATAATACTGAAAATAACTACGTTTTCAGATTGTTCTCTAATTGTCTTACATATAATAATAAATATAATTATAAAAAGAAGAAACTACAGTGTATCCATTTTGGGTATTAAAATTAGTTGAATCAGTTTTCCTGCTAATATTCTTCCATGAGAATCACATTCAGAACTTAGAAACTGCAAATGTTTATTTTTATTGAAGAAAGGTAGCTTGCTAAACATATTTAATATCAGGAATAAATATGGATTTGTGAGAGAGAGAATAGATTTAGTGCCAATCATATATCATTGTTTTAAAGGTAAACTAGAGAGCTTTATCCAAAACAAATTTAAATAAAGTAAAAACCCACCTCTCTCTCTCTCTTTGTAGCTCATAGACAAATATTTAAACATAAATATGCAAACCAAGGGATCCACCTTCATCTGGGTTAAAATGTATACTGAAAAAGTATTGAGAATAAGAGATATCCTATGTTAGTTACCAAATGTTTGGGAGCAACAATTAAAAAGTGTAGATTACAAGAGTTTTAAAGATGAAAAGATCATTCTGGGCTAAGATTATCCACAAATTTTTCAAGAAGGAGGCAGAATTTGAGGTGGGTCTTTAGGACAGGTAGGATTTAGAAAACTGTAGAGGAACTGGGAGGCATTTTTCAATGGGAAGAGTGACGTCATAGTGAGCATACTGAGATGGTTGTAAAAAATAAAAGGCAAATGCATCTAGTTAGAATTGATAGCATAAGCAATCACGAAAGATCATACTACAAGACAGAATGAGAGCAGACCTGGAGGACCTTAGATGGCCAAGAAATGTGAACTTCCAAGGATACTACCCAGAAAGTGAAAAGAAAACCCACAGAATAGAAGAAAATATTTGCAAATCATATATCTGATGAGTCTAATATCAAGAATATATAGAGAACACTAAAAAATCAGTAATAAGGGAAATAGCCCAATTAAATTGGGAAGAAGAAGTATTTGAATAGACATTTCCCCAAATAATAAATGCAAAGGACCAATAAGCACATGAAAAGATGTGCAGTATCATTAGTCATCAGGGAAATGCAAAACAAAGCCACATTGAAACTTTACACCTACTAGGATGGCTATGATGAAAAAGGCAGATAATAACAAGTGTTGGCAAAGATGTGGAGAAATCAGAACCATCACACATTGCTGTAAAATGCAAAATGATATTCCAACCTGGAAAACATTTTGGCAGTCCTCAAAAACTCAAAATAAAAGGGCCTCATAAACTTACATTTATGTTACCAGATGACTCAATAATTCCATACCTAGGTATATGCCCAAGAAAAATAAAAAGAAATGTTCACACAAAGCAACTTGTATACAAATGTTCATGGAAGCATTATTCTTAATAGTCAAAAGGCAGAAACAACCCAAATGTCCACCAAGTGAACAGTAAATAAAGAAAATGTGGTGTATCTACACCATGGAATATTATTTGTCCATAAAAAGGAATGAGGCCGGGCTTGGTGGCTCACGTCTGTAATCCCAGCACTTGGGAGGCCGAGGCAGGTGAATCACCTCATGTCAGGAGTTTGAGACCACCCTGGCCAACATGGTGAAACCGCATCTCTACCAAAAATACAAAAATTAGCTGGGCGTAGTGGCTTATGCCTGTAATCCCAGCTACTCAGGAGGCTGAGGCAGGAGAATTGCTTGAATCCGGGAGGCAAACGTTGCAGTGAGCCAAGATCATGCCACTACACTCTAGCCAGGGCGACAGAGCAAGACTCCATCTCAAAAAAAAAGGAATGAAGTATGGATACATGCTACAACACGTATAAACCTTGCAAACATTATGCTAAGTGAAAGAAGCCAGGCACAAAGGCATTTATTGTAAGATTCCATTTATACATGAAATGTCCAGAATAGGCAAATGCATGGAGACATAAGGTAGATTAGCGGTTCCTAGTGGCTGGGAGGAGGGAGAAATGGGGAGTGACTGTTAGCAGATATGGATTATTATTATTTTTTGATAGGGGGTGATGAAAATGTTCTGGAATTAGGCTGAGCATAGTAGCTCATGCCTGGAATCCCAACATTTTGGGAGGTCAAGGTGGGAGGATCACTTGAGCCTAGGAGTCAAGACCTGTTGTACAACATAGACAGATCCTGTCTCTACCAATCATATATATTTTTTAAATTAGCCAGGTCTGGTGGGGCATGCCTGTAGTCCCAGCTACTCGGGAGGCTGAAGTGGGAGGATCACTTGAGCCCAGGAATTTAAGGTAACAGTGAGCTATGATTGTACCACCGTATTCCAGCCTGGGTGACAGACTGAGACCCTGTTTCAAAAAAAAAAAAAAAAAAAAAAAAAGGGAAAAAGAAATGTTCTGGAATTAGATAGTAATAATGGTTGCACAACTCTGTGAATATACTAAAAACCATGGAATCATACACTTTAAAATAATGAATTTTATGCTATATAAATTATATCTCAGTAAGAAAAAAATACACAATGAAAGAAAGAAATATGAACTATTAATATATCTTTTAGGCCCTACATAGCTACTGAAGATTTTTGGGTAGCAGAGTGGAGTGTTCACCTTTGCATTTTGATGCATCTTTTTTTTTTTCAAACGGGGTCTTGCTCTGTTGCCCAAGCTGAAGTGCAGTGGCATGATCTCAGCTCACTGCAACCTGTCTCCCAGGTTCAAGCAATTCTCCTGCCTCAGCCGCCCAAGTAGCTGGGATTACAGGCATGTGCCACCATGCCCAGCTAATTTTTGTATTCTTAGTAGAGATGGGGTTTCACCACGTTGGCCAGGCTGGTCTCAAACTCCTGACCTCAGGCGATTCACCCACCTCTTCCTCCCAAAGTGCTGGGATTACAAGTGTGAGCCACCGCGCCCGGTCTTAATGCATTTCTTTACCTTAACTTATCCCTTGGCGTGTAATAGCATGTCTCACAATGTGTGCCTAGAATAATTTAATGCCATGAAATGCTCTAGCAAAAAAGCTCTCCCTGGTCAAAAAGCTGGTAAACTGTATATCTCTCAAATATTTCTTATTCATATCAATGCAATAATGGCCCTAAGCAGTCCTGCAATAAAGAAACCTATTTAACTTTGTTCACGAGTATTTTCTCAGACTCACTTGACCATGGAGCATCCGCTTATCTCTCAAGAGCACAGTGTTCCACAGAAATCACACATTGGGAAATGCTGGCCTCTCAACCTGCTTAAGTTCCTCTTATCTAAGATCCCATCACTCCCTCAATGACCTTTGTCTCCTTTCTTCTCTCCAAGCCCCGTTTTTGACCAGCCACATGCTCCTTGCCATCTGGCACCCAGCTTTATTACACTAAAATGTTTCTCTCAAAAGTTATCCAAAATTTCCTTGATACTGATCTAGTGGGTGGATGTTTGTTTGTTTGTGCCCCAAGTAAATAAAACTTTTTATGTGGTGATCATGATGACTATCTTTTTCTTGTAATTTTCTGCTCCTCACCTCTTTGAACACCTTTTTTCCTCCTCCTGATGCCTAAGTGATAGATATCCCCACAAAGTTGTATTCTTCACCTTTTTTCAATTTCTTGAGACAGGGTCTCACTCTGTGACCCGAGATGGAGTGCAGTGGCACGATCTTGGCTCACTGCAGCCTCGACCTCCAAGGCTCCAGCGATGCTCCCACCTCAGCCTCCAGAATAGCTGGGACTACAGGCATGCACCACCAAGCCTGGCTCTTTTGTATTTTTTGTAGAAACGGGGTTTCACCATGTTGCCCAGGCTGGTCTCAAACTCCTGGCCACAAGTGATCTGCCCACCTGGGCCTCCTAAAGTGCTGGGATTACAGGCATGAGCCCCCGCACCCAGCCCTCTGTACCTTTTTTATCTGCTGGAACCCTGGGTGATTTTATCTAACTCATGATTTCTGGAGGTCTTGAAACTCTTTGCCCCAGCGTCTCACCACCGCTCCAGTTGCTCATTTTCTACTGCTGGCTACACCTGCCCACCAGAACATATGAAAAGGCCTTCTCAGCCTCACTGTTCCCACAAAATAAGGCAGTGAAAACTATCTTCCCTACTACTGGAAACCCTGGAGTCAAGAAACATAATCACTAGAATATATTTTCCAATTTAAAATTTCTACTGCATCGCTTTTTACTCAACTAGTTCCTAAAGGAATTTAAACTAGCTCGCACCTTATATACAAGAAGCCCTCAATAGCTATCTGTTGAATGTGAAATATTAATGTGATCTTAATTTGTTTTATAAGAATTTCTCTCTTAAGCATTGCTGCTAGAATTTTAAATATTCAAAAAAAGAAATTAATCATCACAGGCCCCCAACTTACTTATATCTCATGCAACTAGCTCCTTATCTAGACTAAGATAGAAAGTCTCCTTCCCTTTGGTAATTACCATTACCATTACCATTATCACAATGTTCTTTTCCTTCTAGAGGGAAAAGTTCTCTCCCTTTATGGCAATAGACAGGACGTTGGTCAGGATAAGGTCAGAACTTTAGACCCCTGGCGATCCTTATCTCTCCCCAACCATCCCCTTCCTTCCCTTCACCCTGCACATCTCACTTATCTGGCTCCCATTTTAATCCTTCAGGTCATCCTCCTTCAACCTCTCTCTGCCAAAACTTCCTCTCCATCACAAGAGCCACCACCAGTGCCTTTGATCCACAGCACTCCACGTCCTATTGCCCACAGATGGGAGAGGGAGTTCTCCCATTCCACTTGGGGATGGGGAAAATGACCTACCCTGATATTCAATGGCATTCAGAATACATGTTTCTTTATTATACTCTTTAAATATTATTATTTAATAATTATTTAATATTAATATTTTTAATTGGTAGTATATTAATATTGTTTAATAATGTTTAAAATAATAATTGCCTTCTGCATTTCAAATACATTTCACCTACTGGCCAGGAAACTCAATAACCATTTATCACAGTGTTTTCATGGAAAAAAAATAGCTTCTGAGTTTTAAATGTAAATTTACAAATGAAATTAATTGCTCAAAAAATGTTCATATATTGGGAACTGTGTTTACCCTGGCATAGAATTATTATTATCTATATTATTATTATACTTGATTCTAAATTCCTGTCTATGTTTTGTTGCTATTGGTAGCTCAAGAGATTAAATCAATGCAATCCAAGAAAGACCTCCCCAATTAACTTTTAGAGTTGAAATTCAGGAGACTGTGTCTCAGACTCTTTCAGGTAAAGTGAACAAATATTTTGGATAAAACACAAATGAATATTTGATTTTCCAACTAACTCGATTTTGTGAACCTTTGTAGGTAAAGTCAGTCAAGGTTTTAATATTAAAATGATGAGAACTTTTTAGCCACTCTTCAATCTGCTTCGGATTTCTGCCACCACCTTAGGAAGATGTTATACTGCTGACGAC
Source organism: Homo sapiens (assembly GCF_000001405.40). Classification (NCBI taxonomy): domain Eukaryota; kingdom Metazoa; phylum Chordata; class Mammalia; order Primates; family Hominidae; genus Homo; species Homo sapiens. The sequence goes on from NC_000014.9 coordinate 30,432,321, forward strand.
GAGGTGTGACTTTGTCACATCAAAATACATATACACCTATGCTTAAGATGGAAAGGTGATTGTAAGTCTCACAGTTCGAAGGTACAGCAGGATGGGATGGAGCAGAAGGTTTAATAATGAGAAATTACAGTTTTCTGCAATTCTTGAGGATCGGAGGGAGGAAATTATTTGCTTTATGCTGGTGGCAATTTCCCTAAACCCTGTGAGATGACATAACTCAAGCTGTTGTAAATGCAGACATGGTAGCTACCAGCCACAGCTCTTGGTTGGAGCAAGATTCCCTGGGGCATAAAGTATATTGAAAAACCTTTCTAAATAGGATTGATCACTTAATTTGACTGTTTTAGAGAACATCTTATGTAGTCTTCCATTTCTGGCACTTGTGCACAGCCCCTTGGAAGCTTAATCATTTCCACCATAGATGTGTGTACATCTGCACATATATTTTAATTAGATCATCTAATCACAGAGATGATCATAAATATAATGTATTAAAAGTGTTAGACACTAGTTATAGAATATTCCTTACCTTGGCTTTCACAATATAGTACCATAGCCAGTAAGTTCTTCCTCCGAGAAAAAAGTTAAATCTATAGATGCATGCTTGTGTCTGTTTTCCAAAATACATATAGTGACATCAACAATTGCGACCAGGCCTCAAAACAAAACAACCTGCAGCACAAAGAGGACCATTGTGTTTAAACACAGAGGAGCTGATAGGTGTTCAGTTAGCCACACACTTTATTTTGAGGGGTTAACTTTTGCCTCTCACTTATACTTTTTCTTTCATGAATGAGCAATTAATTACTTCACTGCTGTCGCTGTTTCAGCACTTCAATTTACAATAGCCCTTTGTTTTCTTGCAAATGAAAAAAGCTTTGAAGGATTTCAATCTTCAAAAACACAGAACACTTTCTTTCTCTTTATTTCTGAACACATAAAAAAAAGTCTATTCTTATGTATATTTAATAACAGGCTTCAAAAAGAGCCTTATTGTGCACCTTAACATGATCTGATTGATTCTTGCAGCTAAGTCAAAGGAACACATACAAATCCTAGTTCTGGGAAACGTTTTCTATTTAAAAATTCTAAAGTGTAAACTTTATAATAAACTAGGGGAGAAACATAAATATGTTGTATTTCATTTTAGATACAGTTAAGTACAGTTTAAACACAGATGATATAATGTGACTTGTATAATTAAGTGCTTCATCTTAAGTCACAGAAAGTTCAGTGCTGTTACAGTTAACAATTAGAAAGAAAACTTTCTATGTCTTTATTTATGTTTGTATCTTGAAAACAAGGAGATACATGTTTGTATTTACACACACACACACACACACACACATTCTTCACGGGCAAAGGAAAATAAAACACTGAGGCATTGTCTGGTAGAATTAGTGGGCATTGATCATACCTGAGACATAAATCCCTAATATTCATCTTTTATTTCTCAAAAACAGATTGTTGATAGAGCAATAAATTTGGCTAGGATAATACAAATCCAATGATTTAGAATGTTTACAGAATTTAAATCTTCTAGCTGACTCACTAGTCTGATCAATTCAGCATTAACCAATATATACTTCCTGTTTTAGGCCATGAAATTAAAAATATGAGCAATTCAATTAAATGTATAGAATAACTTCCATCCTCAGTGAAGAGGAATTGAACTTAGTGTATGTTAATATCTTAGTCTTGCTATTAAAAGAAAAATTATAGTCCTGAAACAAGTTTGCTGATTGTAAATCACTTCTTTCTCATAATATTGGCGAGAATGCCCATGAGCATAATATCCAAATCAGTTAATAGAGGACTCTAAGTAGTTAAACTCCAGCAAATTGAGAATATACTGTAAGTACGCAGCTGTTCACTTAATCTTACATTTTACAAGTGCAGCATTTTGTGTTTTTTAATGTGAATGTCTTCTTCCTGGTCCACTGAGAACTCAAGGTGTTTTACCATTTATGTCAAAATCAGATACAAATTAAAACAGCAAGGCAAGATGTATGCTGACCTGACAACCCATCACCCCATCAGCTCATGTCTGCAGAAACAGCTTGCACTCTGGTGGTCAAAGTGACCATCAGCAAGGTCCTGAGCTTTGGAGCTGCACTCCATCATTTTTTTTTTTTTTTTTTTTTTTTTTTTTTTTTTGAGACGGAGTCTCGCTCTGTCGCCCAGGCTGGAGTGCAGCAGCGCGATCTCGGCTCACTGTAAGCTCCGCCTCCCGGGTTCACACCATTCTCCTGCCTCAGCCTCCTGAGTAGCTGGGACTACAGGCACCCGCCACCACGACCGGCTAATTTTTTTTTTTTTTTTTTTTTTTTTTTTTTGTATTTTTAGTAGAGACAGGGTTTCACTGTGCTAGCCAGGATATCTCGATCTCCTGACCTCGTGATCCGCCCGCCTAGGCCTCCCAAAGTGCTGGGATTACAGGCGTGAGCCACCTTGCCCGGCCCATCATTCTTTATTCAGTTAAATAGTGGTTCAAAGTCAGAGTCATCCTGCTGAGCTCCTTGGTGGATACTGGGCATCCACAGTTAGGTTAGATTGACGGGAACACAACTCTTTATTTATGGTTACCTCTGTACCACCAGAGATAACCATGGGATTTCAGGGCCTTCAACGAACACAGCTGGAATCCAGTGATCTAGAAGTCCTATGTTTCAGAGAACTGGAAGGATCTGGTGCAACCCTGAAACAAATACTCAGCTTTCCAACCTTGGAGTTCTATCTTAATACAACCACACGGAAACAGCCTCACATAAAATACAATGGACCACTTGAAAAGATATTCTATCTTGGCCTAAATTCCTGGCTGGGACACACTACTCATCTCTAGTATAATTTTTGATATTTGAATATATTACCCCATACATGGCTATGGCATAATGTGTTTAACCAATCTCCCAGTGCTGGCCATTTCTAGTGTTTCCCATTTTTACATTAAAATAGTAGCTCTGCAACAACTATCCACACAGCTGTATTCTTTAGAGGATAAACCTCAGGAGTTAAGAGTATAATCATGAGTGCACGGCAGACTGAAGTTCAAACATTAACTCTGTCACTTTCTAATGGTGTTTTCATGGGCAAACCACTTGTCATCTCAAAGCTTTAGTTCCTTCATCTGTAAAAGGAATATAATTGCTCCTAATTCTTCGGGGTCTTGTGAGACTCCAGTGAGAAAGTACATGTAAAATTATAGTAAATAATTTTCAGTTTTCTCTTAAACACCTAGTCGACTATATTTATTTCCTTAGGATAAATTCATAGAAGTGAAATTACTTTACCCATGTACATTTTTAAAACTCCTGATGCTTGTTGTCTAATTTTCCTCAATATACACAATTCCCAATAGTAATATCCAATTGTATAGTAATTATTTGTGAATTGGCTTGTACCTAGAACTAATCTGAGAAGTACTTAAAAGAAGTTCTAGGTCTTACTTCATCTCTGTCCTCTGCCTACCACAGGGACAGATATATAACAGATGCTCAATCAGTGTTTGTTTAGCAAATATCTATATTTTCCCTTCTAACATAAATAAGCACATCCTTTTTTTTTCTTTTTGTTTTTTTTTTTTGGATATGGAGTTTTGCTCTCATTGCCCATGCTGGAGTGCAATGGTGTAGTCTCAGCTCGCTGCAACCTCCGGCTCCCAGGTTCAAGCAATTCTCCTACCTCAGCCTCCCAAGTAGCTGGGATTACAGGTGCCCACCACTACGCCCAGCTAATTTTTGTATTTTTAGTAGAGATGGGGTTTCACCATGTTGACCAGGCTGGTCTCAAACCCCTGACCTCAGGTGATCTGCCTGCCTTGGCCTCCTAAAGTGCTGGGATTACAGGCATGAGTCACCGCGCCCAGCCAGCACATCCATTTTTCAAACAGCACCGCCTTTTCAGCACCACCTTTTCAGAAATGGGCAAAGGCCCTGCTTCTCATTCATTCTGGAGGCCACTGCTGGTAAACAGAATCAGGTGGGTGACATAGTCAATAGCAGCAGTTCTCACCTAAGGTGCTTATTTTAAAATGCAAATTCCCATGTTCTACTTGCAGAGATTCTGATTGAGAAGGTCTCAATAGGGTCCCAAGTATCTGAACATTTAATTATTAACTTCCAACCACCACCACTCCTGATATAGGTAGTGTATGTATTCAATTTTTATAGGCACTGTCTCTGGAATCTTTGCCTCAAAATACCAGAATTCTGAGTTCTTTCCAGCCCTGTGAATCTATAACACATTTTCTAAAAACATGACTAATCAGAATAAACTCAGAATGCTTGTAATTTATACATAATATTTACCGATTAGTAGAAGGTGCATTGTTGCTAAACTAGATAAGCTTTCTGTTGATATGGGGGGAAAACAGATAAAATAAGGATGAAGAGTTCATCCTGATACCTGTCCACACACAGCCAAATTTCATCCTGGTACTTGCTCATGGTATGATAAGAACTGAGTTGATCTGCTTGATTTTCACAGAAAATAGAAACTGTGCTACCATGAGTCTCATTTTGTTTGATCCAGATTTTCCAAAGACAAGAGCTGGGAGTGGCCTCCATAGAGGCCACCAGCATCGAAGCCCATGAAGGCAGAAATAATCAGCTTCCCTGTCACCTGCTGTCCTTTAAGGGGCATTCCAAAACTAAAAGACTCAGGTGAAGGTTTGAAGAAGGCAGCCCTCAGAAAGTTCTTCAAGGTCAGCAGGAAAAATTCAAGAACCATCTGCTCATTTTGCAATGGAGACCCAGAAGCCAAGCCCAAGAAAGGAGCATGCAGAACTAAAAGACAAATGATGCTAGTAAAGAGAAGCTCTTAAGCTTGACTGCCAGTTCATGTAGTTTTGGTTTGTATAGTTCTGGATATAGTTCTATATCCAGCTTTTCTCAGAATGGTTTCCAATTACCCAACTACCCTGAGTCTCAGATGAGAAAACAGGGATGCTATCGCATCACTTTTGTCTTATATAAAATAGGGTAGAGTTGTTGGGAGTAATATATTAGATGACTTAGCAGAGTGCCTGTTACAAAATATAGGTGGTAAATCATTTTCCTTCTCTTTCCCTCTCTACCCTCACCACATCTTTACCCCCAACCTCTATCTCTGTGCATCTGAATAGGCCTGCTAGCTCACACATTCCTATGACATATTCCTGTGGCACATTCCTATGTCTTTTTAAATAGCAAGCAATAATTTGTTGAAAACATGATTATATACCAGCATATTTGTTACAGAGTATATACTGAAAATATAAATCATGATTCACCTGGGTGTGGTGGCTCACGCCTGTAATCCCAGCACTTTGGGAGGCTGAGGTGGGAGGATTCGTTGAGCCTGAGAGTTTGAGACCAGCCTGGGCAACACAGGGAGACCCCATCTCTACCAAAAATTTAAAAAATTAGCCAGGTATGATTGCACACACCTGTAGTCCCAGCTGCTCTGGAGATTGAGGCAGGAAAATGGCTTGAGCCTGGGAGGTGAAAGCTGCAGTGAGTTATGATCATATCACTGCACTCCAGCCTGGGTGATAGAGAAAGACTCTGTCTCCAAAAAATAAATAAATAATGATTCATAATCTCAATGAATTTATAGTGTAATCCGGGAAAGAAAACTAACACACATGTATAATCAGGGAAAGAAAACTAACACATATGTAACAACTCTGGAGAATACTGAAAATTTTATTAAATTTTATTATTAAGTAATTTGATGTATTAAAATTTAATTCATTAAAAATTATCTGCTGAATCTTCCATAAGTACTTTAGAATTCAGAGAAAGAAGGAATCTATGAGCCCGAATCTCCAGGGAAGGCCTCGAGGAGTGGTCATGGTTTAACCTTAGTTCTGAAATAAAAACATTCACTGATTATTTACTATGTGTTAATTATACTGAATACTTTACAAGAATTATTTTATTCAATCTTCAAAACAACCCAATAGTTATGTATTATTATTCTCATTTACTGACATAGACGGTATTTTTCCCAAGGTCATAGTTGGTAAGCAAAATAAGTGGGACTCCATCCAAGGTCTGGTTGACAGCAAAACCTGTTCTCTAAAAGATGGGAAGGATTTGCATAAAGAGAAAATGCAGTGAGTGTTACAAGACAGCAGAATAGTATCACCAAGTGATTGGAACTGGTGATCAGATCAGGAATGACTGGCATAGTCAGGAAACTATGGGGTGGTGAAGGTGGCTAAAGGTGAGATTTCATAGTGAGAGAGAGGCCCAAGGAGCCCAACTGTTAACCTAGTGCCACAGATGAAGACATCAGGTTTTACAGACTGTCAGCCACAAGAAGAGATTCAATGAGTTCCCTGATCTGGTTAGAGAAATGCAGATGTGAGAGAGATCAGGCTTTGGTGTCTGTCACCAGACAGGTCTCCTGGTTCTGTCCAGGTGATTCAGCTGTGAGACAGGTCCCCATCCTCCCTCTCTGCTCCCCAAGAGAGGAGTAAATGTTGCTCTGTATCAAGACTTCCCAACAAGTTTAGAAGAATCTCTTTAAAATGACCCTTTTTATTTCAGACACTCAACTTGTTTTTGACTATAAAGGCAATTGCTTGAGAGGCTAAACTCCTCCAAATCACAGGGGGCCAGTTATTGCCTGTGACCTCCAGAGGGAATGAGGCTTTCTTCAGATGCGACATCTTAAAACTGGCAAATAAAAATGCCCATTTTAAACAGCAGAGACTTGAGTTAAAAGAAAATTATATTTTGATTCAACTTGCTCAAAAAACACTTTAATGCTTACCCCAGATTTGCTTTGCTTTGCAATCTAAAAACATATAAATGTGAGTAAATATGTATGTATATCTGTGTGTATATTATATTATGATGTATACATGTAAGTATATACTTGACAACATTCAAACAGGCTTTGAGAAACTTTGATTCTCTGTGTAGTGACAGGGTTCGGGATAGGGTACCCCAAAATCTAGCACCTTGGCATTTAGGAAAACAGCAGAAGCAGGACAGTCTCTCTGACCTCCTGTCCGCCCTCCCCTGAAATGTAGCATAGAAACTGGACTCCCCCTCCTCTCTTCTCCCCCAGTGCAAGCCATAAAACCTAGCTGATCTTCTCCTGAAGTAGGTCATGAGACCCCCATTCCAAAGGGGTCCTCCCTATACCAAGAGGAAATAAATGCCTGAAGACACAGAGGCACATAAAAGAATCTGAACAGGCCTTGATAATTCCCCCCAGATTATTATTATTATTAGGTCTTATCCTTCATCCTCCAATCACACTTTTGCATGACTATCCATAAAAATGCACCGGGTTTCCTGTTTCTTTGGGTCTTCGTTTCTGAAGGCGCTTGTACCACATGAAGCTTATATTAAATAAACGTGTATGCTTTTCTCTCATTAACCCATCTTTGGTTATAGAGGCCTCTCAGCCATAAGCCTTGTGGTGGGTGAGGAAAAAGATATTACTTTTATCCCCTACCATAGCTAAGTTTTAAAAGAATATTCTAGAGAGGTCTAATTATGGTTTAACAAATTAGGACAGTATAGGTCAGTTTCAGTTCACTGTTGGCTGGGATTCCAGTGTTTTCATTATGCCCTGGCTTTATTTTTATAGTAATAATCAGGAAATCATTTAACCCAGATATTAGCCAAATGTCTCATCAAAGAAAATATTTTTGCTCAGATAGCTTTGCCTTTATCATTACTCTCTCCTTTTTATGAAAGTACCATTCAGTTTACATTAAAGATGTAAGATATAACAGACAGGAATAAGAAAAGGGGCAACTCTGGGACAGAGAAATGTTGAGATTTGTCCCAAGCATTGTTCAGGCAACACTACTCTGCAAATAAGCCCTTTCAAGACCCCAGTGCACCAGGCATTCTGCACACTTTCACATCCAAATCAATTCTAGTCTATGCCATATACCTACACAATTCAAGTTCTCATCGTCGTATTGGTAAAACAAATAGTCCATGGTATTTGAGACTCAGATATAAAAACCATTCTATATAAAATGATGACAAGTAACATGAAGAATAAGGCAATATTATATTCTTGAATTTGTAGTCATGGAATCACTCTAACTGTCCTCGTATCAAGAGAATGCTGCTGGAAGGAAATGTGGCAGTGTGAGGTAGCAGAAAGTACACTGGCTTTGGCGACAAGTTCCCAGAGTTAGCGTTCCTTCACTCCCCCCACCCGACCCCTGTTCCCTGACACTTGCTGTGTGACCTTGAATAAGTTATTTCATCTCTCTGACTTTTTCCTTGTATGTAAATTGAAGGTATGAAAATATCTATTTATCCTATTCAAGATTTTTGTGAAGATCAAAGGAAACAATCCAGTTAAATGCCTTTTGGAAATTATAAAGCATCAATAAATATCATTGTTGCTGCTTTCACTATGATTTACAAGGCTAAGAATTCTTGTACCCTGACTAGATAGATTTAGATTTGCTTAGAAGGACGTGTTTCCTATAAAATGCATGCTTGGTCTTCCTTCAGACACTAAACCGACGCCATAATACAAGCTCATGCATTTAACTGTCGTTTCCACATAAGGTTTATTTGGGACTCATACCATCAGATCCCCTTGCCTTATGAGATGCTCAAAACACCTTTATCTATCCTAAAAATTAGAATTTCAGAAGCCATTGTGTTGTTCTCCAGGCCTAAGTACACTTTTTTCACTTATCAAAGAAAGATTATACAGCCAGAATAATTCGTATATTGCTGCCTCTTTAAGACATCTATTCATTGCTCCTGGCTTGTATTGAAACCAGATGGTAAAACCAAGACTGGAACATCCTTTGGTGTCCAGAAGGAGGCCAGTCTGGCCAAAGCATTGTCATTCCTGTCAGCAACCAGAGTCAAAAGCATTTTTATAGTTAATCATCAGGAGTGCCTACTGGCTCCAACAGGCATTCATGCAGTATTTGTCAGCGTGAAGGCTCTGTCCACACTACAGATGACACCATGTCGGCGAGAACTGTGTTTCAATATCCTTTAGCAATGAGCTGAGCAAATTTTCATGGCTGATTCCCAAAGCAAACCATAATATAAAATTTAGTGCCGGACTTCTTTTTTTACCAAATTGAGTGGATAATAATACCTTTTATTTCTAAAAACTAACCCCTCACATCAAGTTTGCCCTGGAGCATTCATTAAAACTCAGGAAGTTAAACAACTGCAGCAAATTACCACAGATAACTTTAAAGAAATTAACCCACCTTAAAACGAACTTTTATTTCAAAAGATGTGAAGCTGCAGTTTTAGACTCTGAGGGGCCTAAGTAATTTCATGGATGACAGCCGACTAGTAAAAATCCTGTCTCCACCTACAGTTGCAATAATCATTTGCAGCAAAGAGATGGTGAATACAAAAATAACATAATTGGGACAAATGCACTATGCTTTGGAGTTAAAATAGAGGAGTTTTCGTGGCCACAGAAAAGGAAGGCATTGAATAATAACACTTTAAAACATGTCGAGGGGGTGAACTGATCAGGCCTTGTATGTAGCTGATGGAGGCTATTCATCTTTCAAGTACTATCAAGAAGCAAATCCGGATATCTGGAAAGGAACATCCAAAAATGGCTTTTCCACTTCACAATAGAGGCTTGTCACCATATCAGAGTGACTCAGATGAATATTTCATATGAAAGATTCAGGTAAAGAAATTTGAAGGAGATGCTTGGGGCAGCAGAACTCAATTGCAATTACATACTAAAATATTGCAAGAGGATCTAACACAGATATGATTTCTTTATATGATGGAATTGTACAAGCAAAACAGTGTTTAGGACACAAACCACAGAAATTTCAGGTTGTAACTGATGAATACTTGCAGAAGCTAGAATCCCATAATACTGAAGCTATTCTGCCTTCCATGGTATCTATATAGTGCTTATAATTCATGGTTTTTTCACCAAGCAAAGTAAGATGAGATTTATAATGGCAACCCTAATATTCTCTAGTTCATGGAAGTTAAGATACCTGATGCAATGCAGATTGATTTGTTTTGGGTTGATAACATTTGAAATGTGATGATCAATGTCATTTATCTTCCTCTGTTTAAAAATGTTGCAGAAATTACCTAAGATATGTGGATGCTGATGGGAGCTTGCTGATTTGGTTTGGTCTTCATTGTTTCTGAACGAAGAGTGACTATTTTATCACAAGTAAACCCATGGTTGTCATCTGTAATGCTCTCTATTATTTTTGAGTTTTTACACTGAGAATATGTTATAACAGCCATCTAAAAGGACAGAAGAAATTTAAAATTAGGCATTTTAGTCATAAATCCTGTGAACAGGAATTATTTAATAGCCTCTGCTATTTTGAAAGGGCAGCAATTGAAAAAAAACATTTTAGAAAAAGAAACAATCTAAAAAATTTAGTCAGATTTTTGTTTACAAACTGTTGTGTTATGGCTTGTCCCGTGTGAAGTTTAAGAAAAATAGTACCACACATCTTAAAAAACCAAACACCACAGTAGAGAGCAATAATGTAGAATATAGTACAAAGGTTTATTTCCAAGAGCCCACTGCCTAATTTAAATGTCTTTTGACTGGCCAATCATTTTCACTGGTATGCCAAAATGACTGGAAACAAGCTTCCTCTAACCCCTCACTCTAGTTATTAACTGAGCCAATCAGAAAAAAAAAGACCGATTTTTAATCTACACAGTAAACAGGTTCATACATTTAAAGAAACATGGCTCTCTTAGCTGCCCTTTGTTAGATTAGAGAAAAGAAATCTATTTCATCCTCAAGGAAAAGTTATTTCCTTTGTTTTCTGACATATAAAATGAACTATAAACAGCTTTACCGTAATAAATTAAAATGTCCTAAAAATCATCCCAATACTATAAGAGATTTTTATTCATTAACCATGACTAAAAGACATTCAATGATGAAAGCTATATTAGGCTAAAAAATATTGTTCAGAAAGGAGTTGCAGGATTCTGTCCTTTTTTTACTCCACGTATTATATAAAAGGAGAGCTGAAAATCATCTGGAAATAATTTTTAAGCATTTTAAACAGGGCCCCTGATATTAATTTTCTCCTCACATTTATATTAAGAAGCTAATAAAATATGGATTACATAAAGTCAAAAGATCCATATAAGCCTTCACTTGTTATATAAAGGGCCAGAACCTTATGTAATATGCATTTTCTTACTAATTCTTCAAATTTTAAATGCTTTGTGTGATAACGAGGAATACTGAATAATGGGGTTTAAATGTTTCTAAAAACTGAATATGCACAGAGCGTTTGAGCTACTATTGCCAGTAGTTTGGTGACATCTAGTGGAAATAGCGACTTCAGCCTACCTTCCTGAGTTAACTTTAAATCCTATAGCAAAGGGAAAGTGTTTAGAAGATGGCTAAATCATCAATTCCCTACCTTCTTTGCTAAGTAACAAGAGTGAGCGAATTTAGCTAAGCCTTCTGAAGAAAAATAAAATCCACCCCAATTACTGTGAACAAATCTGTTCTAATTATAAAATACACGGTCTTTGTAAAGAATTTGGAATACGCAAAAACATACAAGAAAATAAAATTATCCATAATCCTTCCACCCGCAAGTAAACACCAGTGATATTGTATGTCTTTTCTTCTAAGCTTCATAATATATTCTTGTTGGTGTTGTTTTTTTTACTAAGTTTGGTTATTATAAATATATAATTTTATATCCTAATTTTTTTAACATTATGTGAGCAGTTTTTGTATTTATCAGGTATGAAAAATAATCTTAGTTATGAGAGGCAGAGAACTATATCATCACTTATTTTTCAAAGTAGGATGCAGCAAGCCAACAATTCTGTGAATCCTGTATGGCAATCCATGAATGATAGAAAAACATGGTTCCAATAAAGTTCTTTTATTAGCACAATACACAAAAAGACCATGTTATTTATAGAAATGTTAAAAATGTGTTTTACATCTACAAAATTTTAAGGACTTACTATATTATCAGACACTAAGGGTATCGTAAATGAGTGAGACCCAGACCTTACCGTAAGACACGAGTAGTCTGATAGGGAAGATTTAAATATTGTTTAAGACAATGGAATTATGATCAGCCTGTGAACTGTAACAAAGGAGGGAGGTATTTAGAGAATAGGTAAATGGAAAATCTTCAAACAGAAGATAATGCCTGTGTAGGACTTGGAAAAGTGAGTAAGAATGAAGGGTGTTTCACATAGAAGAAAGCCTAGACGAAAACAAGAAGCATGGAATGGCCTGGTGTAGGCTGGTATCCCTGGAGAAAAGTCATCACTTCAGAAGATGTGACTAGAAAGGTGAGCAGAAGCAGATGGCTGAAGATCTTTATCATGGAGGTTATGAAAACCCACTAAAACTTCTTTTTTAGTAACATGATTACATTAGCATTTTATAAAATCATGCTGACTGAAGTGTGGAAAATGAACAGCAGAGGAAAAGACCAGCCAGTGGGCTGTTGTAGCAATTCAGGGGGGAGACAGTAAGGCCTGGACTAAGAAAAAGCAATGAATTCAAACAGAAGACCAGAGAGCAGAAGGCTGTTTAAGAGGGGACAATCGCACAATTCAAATATGCTGGATGATGGAGGAGGTACCAAGGATGACCCTAGTTCTGGTATAGGGGATTGATGTCTAGAATAGCATTCAGACAATTATTAGCTAAATGTTTATGATTTTTAGATTATGTGCTGCAATACAGTTTAGGATTGGACAAATCCTAATTTATTTTACCATCATATGATAAATATTAGGGAAAGGGGTGTGAACAACTTATAACACCAGTCCTAGTTACTAAGCATTTTCTTTGGCATAGAGGTCAAAGAAAAAGAAAATCTGGCATGGTCTCACCACCCTGATGAGAAAAAAAAAAAATGCCTCTACTGTAGGCACCGAGTGGTTAACGTCTCTAATTGGCCTTAGCACAGTGCCAAGACTCAGGGGGTAAGAAGAGTGCTAAAGAGGTTGGAGACATAATCAAGGAGATTCAAAAGAAAAACTAATTTCAGCTGTCACTGAGCTTTGTCTATATAGAGTGTCATTAGAAAGAGTAAATGACCTGCTGAACTCTTTGGTATTGAGAACACATTTCTAAAATGTGGAGAAAATCAAAATTACATCACTCAAAGGCTGTCTCTATATGCCTCTGTGCACCTACATACATAAAAAGTGAAGAAGAGAGAGAGCTTGTACAGCATGCAACCTGGAGACCTGAATTCCCTGAGTAATGGTTACTAGTGATCTAATTCACTAAGTCAACAAGAACTATGTATCGTGCCCTTGCCATGTGCCCAGTGCACCTTGCTGCCAGGCAGTGGACATTTTCGGCTACCACTGATGGAGTGCTCACTTTGGGCTAAGTGCTTAACAAACATTATCCAGCTTAATCCTTTCAACGGCCTATGAGTTTGACCTCATGATGCTTAGGGAGGTTAAGCCATTTGTCCAGGGTCACTCAGCCAGTAAGCGGAGAAGCTAGGGTTCAAACTCTGCTTTCTTCTGACTCAGAGCTGTACTTTTAACCATTACACTATCCTGGGTCACTGTTCTTTTGTTTTCTTTTTAAAAATCATTTTTCTTACATTGCGCTGTTATTTACTATTCCACGAACACAAAGAACCATGCATGGCACTAGCTGAATCTTAATATCGATACAGAGTTCCATCCCAACTTCAGACTTGTGGCTCCACAACTGACTAGGCAGCGTGCTCCTATTTTGTTTCAGGGCATGCAGAGCTGGTATGTGAGAGACAGGTGGCAGCCAGTTGCTATGGCAATTGCCTGTCATTAATGATAAAGGGTAATTACTGCAGCAAATTTCTGTTTCGCTTGAAAATGTGACTTGCCCCTTCCCCAAAGGGAGCACAACCCTTTATACCCTCTCTACTCACCACGGCCTATCATCTTGTATAAGCTTTACCTAGACCACTTGGCTTTGCTGCAAGGAGCTAAGTAAAGCCTGACTTCTTAAAGATTCAGGAGAAGAAATATTAGATGAGTCACAGAACAAAAAAGGCTCAGAAGATACACATTTTCCTCCTCTACAGACTGTCTAAACTTGCTTTCCCTTAATTAAGTTTGCAGGAAATAATCCCAAGTATTGCACATTTGTGGACCAAGTTCAATGACTGCTTGAATGGCCATATGTGGTCAATTACTAGATGCTAAGACTGCAAGACCACGTAATTTTTTTTTAGATGATGAATTTTTTTTATACTTTAAGTTCTAGGGTACATGTGCACAACGTGCAGGTTTGCTACATATGTATACATGTGCCATGTTGGTTTGCTGCACCCATTAACTCATCATTTACATTAGGTATATCTCCTAATGCTATCCCTCCCTGCTCCCCGCACCCCACGACAGGCCCCGGTGTGGGATGTTCCCCACCCTGTGTCCAAGTGTTCTCATTGTTCAATTCCCACCTATGAGTGAGAACATGCGAAGACCACATAATATTTTCAAACTGACTTACAGAACTATAAATCTGTGTCTCAGTATGATTTTCAAATCTTTCCAAGCCAGCTAATAACCCTTTTGATGGTAGAAACTGTGCTTTGTATGGCAGGGGCAATATGGAATGAAAAATTTCATTAGTACCTTTTAATTCAGTGTTCTATATGAGTTTAAATAGGAAAACTTCTCTCCATAGTAGGTTACACATTATGGTAGGTAAATATTGTCATAAAATAAATGCAAAGTAAACAGCCAAGAAGCTGGAAAGCAACACAAAATCAAACACCTGTTAGTCTCTCGTTTCTTTCCACCCCTAAACTTGGGGTCCAAGTATGTCTCCTGCCTTAAGTTTCTTTTGAAATGCAACCCATAACTGCTTGGCACACTGATGATGGATCCCCAGGAACTGTTCCTACAAACAGGAGGTCTAGTGATGGCACTAAGTTCTGTCTCATAATCATCTTTTTCTTTTTCAATCTAGCTCCCACTTATATTCAATATCTAGCTCACAGAGAAGTAGACAACCTTTTGATCCAAAATAATGGTGCATTCTCCACAAGACTATGTGCTATTCCTTGGAGACTAATGTGCCAACATATCTAGAATCCTAGCCTCAGAGTTTGGCCTGTTAACTGGAGTTGCATTTTGTTCTGTCAAAACTTTTTTATGTGGCCACAGAGACACTGTAGCAGAGAAAGTTTGGGCAGAAAACAGTCCAAGGGGTGGCTCACCTATATGTGCTGTGCAACAAAGGTGGGAAAGGGGGAGGGTTCACTAGTATTTGTCATCCCCAAAACTGTGATTGTGAGAATCATAGAGATTTCAAGCACCCTGGAGCCTATGGCATAAAGACCAGGCTTTTAACCTGGGAGCAAACATCTGTTTTGATCAAGATAGGATGGCTCTTTTTCATCTTTCAAGCCTGCAACTGACAGAAAGAAGAGTTACATTCAAAAAGCTATATTCAGCTCACCTATTGCATTTCTGTTCCATAGTACAGCAAATTAAAGGCAGGAAGTCTGGAGGAGAAGGAAAATTGGTAGCAGAATGGATGTGAAAGAGGAAATTGGAGTCAATAGGGTTTGAGATCAATCTTAGCCCATATGCACATCCTTGTTCAATAGGGCTATTACTACTCCAAACATTTGATTAGCTAATTTTTATGAAGGACGGGGGTATTTTTACCTGTTTTGTCCCCAAATATATCCCAAACCTTCTGAAGAGTGCCTGGCCTATGATAAACTCCTGATTAATATTTGTTGAATATATGGCAAAACCATTTTACTCTGTTTCCTGCCATTCTAATCCTTAAATCATTTTATCTTCGTTTCAGTTGGAATAACCAGAAAGGCCCATTAATAAGAGGAAGCAAGACCAAATAAAAACAGGCTGAAATGTAAGACATAGCCCTGATTTCCTTACCTGCTTCCAAGATTTAAGACTGAGGCTAGCAATTTCACTCCTGCAATGTGCTTTGTTAATTGAAACAAAAGATACAGGTCTTATTTCACAGGCCTTCCTCTAACAAGGGATGCTCTCTGAGACAAAGGGAGCGGGGCTCAGGAGGCTCCCATCAATTGGGAGGAAAGCTAGTGAAAGACATAGAGCTCTGAAGCACCTGAAGAATCCCTAGACTCTGTAACTACAGACCTCTAAAGAGCCCCCGCCCCACCCCCAGGATTTAGGAGGAACTGGACACAATAGTTACTTCCTCTGAATTTATCCTTTCCCTTTCATCTTCCCATTGACAACAGGCTAGCTTCATCAAAGAGGAAAATCACACGTGGCTGGCCCTGTTTCCCAGTAAACTTCCTCTCCCTCAGCCTTACCCTTATTATAGTGTTCATTCTCAACCAAGGACAAATTTCCCCTACTCCTAGGAGACACTTGGCAATGCCTGGAGATATGTTTGGTTGTGACAGCTGGGGTGGCGGTGGGGAGGAGGAGGGATGCTACTGGCATCTAGTGGATTGAGGACAGGGATGTTACTGAACATCCTATAGTGCACAGGACTATAATAGCCCCCAAACAATGAATTATCTGACCCAAAATGTTCCTAGTGATGAGGTTGACAGACCCTATTCTCCATTACCAGGTACTGTGTGTCAGATGCTAATGCCAAATACTTTCCACATGCTTAATCTCATTTAATCCTCACAGGATGATTGAGGCCTCATAAGAAGTTGTGAAGTGAATTTTATTATTATCTTCATTTTACAGATGAAGAAAATAGAGGCTTACAGAGTTTAAGTAATTTGTCCCAAAGTCACACAGCCCATGATGGGGAGCCTGTCACTATACCCAGAACAACCTGGCTCTGAAGCCACACATTACTGCCCCTCTAACTTTTTTAAATGTATTTGTAGAGACAAGGTCTTGCTATGTTGCCCACGCTGGTCTTGAACTCCTGGCCTGGCCTCAAGCAATCCTCCTGCTTCTACTTCCCAAAGCCTCCCACATCGGCTCACAGGTGGGAGCCACTGCACTTGGCCTAGTTCACATTTTAAAAGTAATAGCCCTTGTAATAACAATGGGTGCATAGCCCTTGCTTTATGCCAGGGACTGTTATAAGTGCTTCCCTTCATATGTATTAACACACTAAATCCTCCAATCATATGAGGCAGGTATTAATGTTACCCACATTATACAGATGAGGAAACTGAGGTTTAGAGAGGTGAGGTCACACAGCAGCAAAGTGCAGACCTGGGATCTGGATGCAAGTCTGACTCCAGTTTCTGTAATCCTTCTTAGCCACTATTCTATTTTGCCTAGCACACCTACAAAGCTGGGGAAATGGCCAGATAAGCCTCTCAGTGGAATGTGACCCATCCTCCTTCACACCTGTACCTCATATATGTTAGTGGGAGCTAGTCTTCGCTCCCTTTGCTATTCTCTGTAGAGCTGGCTGCCAAGACCTCGGTAGATCATGATACTGAAAGTATGGAGATCAGAAATAAACTCCTCTAGCTTAACTAGCCCCTGAAGGCAAACCAGCATCACCCTCACTTACTGCTTTGAAATTCTCTTTCATTGTTTGCATAAAATTTCCTTTTATTAAGTGTAAGATTTGAAAAGGTTTTCAAATAATTACTACAGTTAGTCTAAATGTAGAAAAGCTAAAAGGAAAACTGTTTGCAATTAGGATTTGCATAATTTCTTTAAAACTGCCTAAGTCATCTACATTTGCAGCTAAAAGCAGGGCAGTATATTGGATGAAACAAAATGGTGAAAGCCATTTGCCTGACCTTTGACATTTCTTTTAAAAATACCTCAACTTGTTATAGGAACCCAAGTAATTAAACATTTAAGCCCTTTTTTGGAGAATTTTTATTAATTAAAAAAATTTCTTACATCTCATGTGAACTTTACAAAAGGACGAAGGTTAATTTGTGGGTTTTCAGACATGAGTCAGTATATCTTGTGAATCATTTTTCCTCATAGAGGGCCCTCATAATTTCTCAAATTCCATCAGAAAAATACTTAATTTCTCTCACTTAAAAAAACACAGGTTTTATGGGTACCTATATATAACTGTAAATTTACATAAATATATACATCGCCTACTGCCAATTAGTACGCATTTATGAACAGTGCTCAATAACCCTGTTGATAAGTGAAAGTACATCAGTGATGAGATGTCTCTGGGAAACCAATGGGAATCTCAGCAAGTATTTAACTTAAGAGTAGGTGGAGGAGACTCATTACTGGCCTGGCTTGTTGCCTTGTTCTGTTTGAAACCTCGATTAAAGAAATAACAAACATGGAATGCTAATTAAACTGTTTGACCAATTTCAATAAACAAGCAGTCTAATTTGGGGAGTGCAGAGAGGGGATAAAACACTATGGCTCTGCTATTCGTTTTCTTACACCAGTTCTTTGATTCCTGCTACAAGAGTTCATGTCCCCAAAGGCCTCCAGATCAGCAGGGTAGCTGATTCTAGGGTAAAGAGAGAGAGAAAATGTGTCAACTTGGTGAAGCTCACCACAAGCTACAGCTTGCAGGACTCCCTGAGATCACAGCCCATGATTGCAGCCTGTCCTGCTCACGGACTGTCACCTAGTACAGCATGTTATAAGCAGTGAAGAATGTGTTTAAGTATAAATAGCTTTGCCCGGCTTGAGCAAGCAAAACTGTTCCTTTAGTTCAGTGCACACACAGCTTGGAGGCCAGTGTCCTGGGCATACCAGTTGTATCTCCACATAAAATGAATGTCGGCAATGCCCTAGTATATAATATTGTCTATTAGACAGTGCATAAAGGCCTGCACTGTGTGTACATACCGTAGCCACACAGAAAACATTACCAAATGAGCCTGCTTTTAGCCTACTGCCTCATACGGTGGTAATGAAGGAGAACTGCCTTTTGATTTGCAACTATTTGCTGTTCTGTAGGAAAAACAGAGCTTAGACCATCTTGTTCCATTTGTTGTTGCCATGCTTAATCTTCTGATTCATGAGAAATTATTACACCCAGCACCTATGGGGAATTTAATTGTTTGGCTCCTACTCCTCTGGCAAATGTAATTGTGGAGGAGGATGTATAGATTAACATTTTTTAAAAGCTTCAGCCAAGAAAAAATAAATAAAAGGAGGTGGAGTTTTTTGTAAAACCTCATACTGAATAACATCCAGGGTTGAAATAATGCCAGAACTGAGCTTAAGAGAAAACATCAATACCTAAACGGGAGGTCAAACCAAGGCCACGCGGCCCAGAAGTTTGATCCCATCACCATTAACTTGGACATCAGCACACCCCATCTATCTCATGGATATTTGTAGATAACTGGAATACATTTTCCAAGTGTGGATAAAAATATAAGATGAAGTGGTTTTGTGCATTTCTTAAGTCTGTTTTCATCGCTTTTTAATGCTAAAGCTCCAGTGTAGGGGCCAAGGGAAAATTGCCCCTTTGCCCTCTGAAGCATCGCTGAAAAATCAACTCAAAAAGACAAATTAGGCAGGGCGCGGTGGCTCACGCCTGTAATCCTAGCACTTTGGGAGGCCGAGGCAGGCGGACCACAAGGTCAGGAGATCGAGACCATCCTGCCTAACACAGTGAAACCCCATCTCTACTAAAAATACAAAAAATTAGCCAAGCATGGTGCCACGTACCTGTAGTTCCCGCTACTCAGGAGGCTGAGGCGAGAGAATCGCTTGAACCCAGGACGCGAAGGTTGCAGTGAGCCCAGATCATGCCACTGCACTCCAGCCTGGGTGACAGAGCGAGACTCCATCTCAGAAGAAAAGACAAATTAATAGGAAAAAAAGGCATACAGATTTATTTAATGTGTATACACAGGAAACTTCAGAATGAAGACCCAAAGATACAGGGGAAATCATCCATTTTTACAGTTAAATTCAACAAAATATAGACAGCCATGTAGAAATATGACTGGACAAAAGGGGTATGATCTAAAGCTAATAGGCTGAGAGGGAAAACACAGCAAAGCCTGTGTGTTCGGATTCGTCCTGGCCTCTCTGAGCAGCATTCCTTCCTTCTGGGTGTGGGGCAGGACCCTCTCTAGAGCGAGGGTCTTATCACCTACAGTCAAAGGAGGTAGGTCAGATAATTTATTTATGGCCAGTTTTTACACAGAAAGGCAGAGGAAAAGTTAGAGTAATATTTTCAGGTTTTATGACTGGCTTTGGGAAAAAGGGGTTCTGGTTTCCATGCCTGCATTGGGGAAGAGGGATTCTAGTTTCTATAGCTAGCCTTAGGGAAGAATAGGACTGAGAGACAGGCAGGCAGGAGCAGAAGGTCCAAGAAAAACTTCTGCTTCTGAAATTGCTTCTGAGACCCTTAGTTTGGGGTATTGTTTTCTGAGCCCCACCAGCAGGAAAGACCTGATACTTCATATTGTGTCAATAAACTTTTGGGTGCTGCTAAGTTATGCAGACAGATGGATGAGTGCTACAGCAGACATCTTAAGCCCCACCCATGTTCCTGGGATGCTTGCATTTTAGCAGCAGGTTTACAGCTGCCAGGGTCAGTACCTCTGTACCTGGCAACTTTCTGGAGCTGTGGCAGACCCTGTTGCCTATAGTAACAGGACAATGACTCTCTCAGGAGTCAGTGAATAACTGCCCCAGCTCCCTCACCCATTAGGAAAGATCATTTGCACATTTGACTTTTATCCTTTCCCAGAGTGTCACCACAGGATTTAGCTCCAGTTGCCCATGGCGGTAGCTGGCTTATTACCACCATTTTTATTGGCTCCCTTTCCTTCCTTTAATCACCTCCCTATTCCTCTACAGATACTCCCTGCATCTGGAATCTTTGTCTCAGGATCTACTTCTGGGAGACCCCAAATAAAGATAGGTATTATCCCTCAAAGACCGCACAATCTGATGAGGAAGATGAGATTATAAAAGGACAGGAAAGGAGATGAAATAGCTACATCAATTGTATGGTAAATGTAATTATGTGGGTCAGAGACACCACACCCCAAGAAATGTGGTGTTTTCTTTGTTTATTATCTCTCTCCCTAGGCAAGCCCATATAATTTGTTTATTCAACAAATATTCATTGCATGCCTACTACCTGCAAGGCAATAGCAACAAACCAAAAAGTCCCAACTTACATGGCATATATATGTATAAACTCCCAGGTCATGTGGTAGTAAGTGTTGCAAAGAAAAATAAAGCAGGTGTATTTGCCTGGTTGGGCCACCATAATAAGATAACACAGACTGCGTGGTTTAAGAAACAGAGTTTTTTGTTTTTTGTTTTTTTTGTTTTGTTTTGTTTTGTTTTGTTTTTCTCACAGTTCTAGAAGCTAGAAGTCCAAGATCAAGGTGCCACCAGAGTTGGTTTCTGGTGAGGCCTCTCTTCCTGGCTTGTAGGTGACTGCCTGCTCACTGTGTCATTGCATGACCTCTTCTCTGTAAAGAGAGAGACCTCTCTGGTGTCTATTCTTCTTCTAATCACACTAATCCTATTGAAGTAGCCCCCCACCTTTGTGACCTCATTCAACCTTTATTACTTCCTTCTAGGCCCTATCTCTAAATACAGTCACACTGTGGGTTAGGGTTTCCTTATATGAATTTGGGGATGACACAATTCAGTTCATAAGACAAGGTAAAGGCAAAAGTAACCATAGAAATTAAGCTTATAATCTTCAAACCAATGAGGAATTTAGCTCTAACATTTATTCAGTATCTGCTTGGAACGCATGTGGCTGGGCAGTAGTTGACTACTGTCTTTGGTCTGAATTTTAATAGGATAAAATTTTTAATCATGACTCCAAAGGGATTTTATGAATGAAAATGCCTTCCATTCCATTTCTATCTCTATGGTTTGCCTTTCTCATGTTGCTATGATCTGCATGATAAAGTTACTTGTATATAAAGTCTTCAGTTGATAGTAGAAGCAGCTAATTTTAAATCTTTAAATGAATGTTCCTAAGCAGAAGGAATGAGTAAAACCATGGTGTGGAAACCCTAAACCAATCCATAGGAGAGCAGAGGGGTCTTTGAAGCTGCTATGCCAAGTATTGATGGGCTTCAGAGAACTTTTAGAAGAAGAAAAAGTTTAATTGTTAAGCTGTTTTCAAGGCCTGCCTGCTTTCTCCAGAATATGCTGGGCTCTCCTTCAAACATGCACAACATGACCAAATCAGGGAGCTGTATATAGATCACACACACTTCCCTCCTGCTCCCCACAAAAAAGACAGTCCATGCCTTCAGTATAATTATAGGGTACAAGTAATTAAGGTTTTGTTAACTACCAGCTCTTTTTGCAAAACCTATCAAATATCAGAGACAGTATAATGCTGTAATTGCATCTATGAACCTGTGTAACATTTGGACAAAGAGTTCTAAAGGTCAAGGTATATAATACACATCTAATATATTTCTCTGATGAACCTAAAATGTTTAGTATGATGTGAAATGAAGCTAAGCACAGAACATGTGTTTCTATATGAGATGTTCTTTTCTTTAGCTATTATCAAATACTATTTTCAAAGAATTTTTATCATGTACTTGCAATTTTACTTATTGAAATTACAGAAGGATTTCATTGAACATATACTTGGCTTAACCTTTAGGCAATAATGAATGGTATAAAAATCTCTGCTATGTTTTGCTATTGATATGGATCAAGACTCAGTTGATACTAATCAAACACAGGTTGCTTGGTCATATCAAGAAATGACCTCTTTAATGTTAGAGGGTCCCAAGGCTCAATAACTACATCTACAGGTTTTCATCCAGTCTTGGCTTTAAATCCCAGCTGTGATTCAATGACTGTCAAATTTACATCTTCAACACAGCCTTCAATCCTGAACTTAGGACTCATGTATCCAATTGTCTGCTTGATATCCCCACTTGAACATCTATTAGTTATCTCAAGGTCAACGGCTTCAAAACTGAGCTTCCTGATTTTATTCCATCAAATCTGTCCTACCCATAGCATTCCCCATTCCAGTCAATGGTAGTTCCAACCTCCCAGTGGCTCAAACCAAAAATCTGTGAGTTTTTACTCCTTTTTTCACATACCACATCAAATCCACTAGCAAATCATATTGGTTTTACCTTCACAACATATGCAAAATCCAACCTTTTCTTCCCTTCTCTACTGTTACTACCCTGGTCCAAGTCACGAAAATCCCATTCTTGAATTATTTCAATAGGCTTTCCTGTTTCCAGTTTTGACTGCCCTTTCTATTTTCACCACAACAGCCAAAGGAATCCTTTCAAATATGTCATATTATATCACTCATCTGCTTCTCATCTCACTCTGAATAAAATACAAAATTCCGTTATGGTCTTCAAGACTCTGCATGATAAGACCTTGAACCTCCTCTCTGCCTCACTCCATTCCGGTCATATTGGTCTCTTTGCTGTTCTTTTATCAGGCCTGGCAAGTTCCTTCATTAGGGCATTGGCCCTGCTGTGACTTTTGCCAAAAATTCTCTCACCTTAGATCCCTATGTGGCTGACTCCCTCATCTCCTACAAGCCTTTGCTCAAGAGTCACTGTCTCAGTGAGGCCTACCCTAACCACCCTGCTTGAAATTGCAACTCACAACACCTCTTCCTACATTCCTGCTGTTCTTTACTCCTCTGTTTTCTCTTTTATCACCTCCTACCCATTATACACTTTATTATTACATTTATTGTTTATTGTCCAGCTCACCCAGGCAGACTGCAAGGTCCATGAAGACAGAGAGCTTTCTCTGTTTTGTTCACTGCTGTATCCTAAGAACCTAGAACAGTGCTCAACACGCAGTAAATATCTGTTAAATTAATGCAATGCCTTCTTAGAGATTTCTTTGTCCAAGAAATATCACTAGGGTTTCATTATAAGAAAAACAAATCATCAAAGAGAAGGAACCACCTATGGTCACCACAAAATAATAATAATACATAATAAGAAGAAATCCAATCAAATAAAGTTTTAAATTTGAAAATGCTAACAATTTTATTTAATGATATGCTTGCTAGAAAAAATAATTTCTGAAACTTGGAAACTGGAAAAAGAAATGGGTATTATTTCAGTGCAAGGTTGTGCTTAATGTTATTGCCTGGATTATTTTCCAGTTCTGTAGGGGCAAAGGTTAAGGTATAGTGTTTTGTTTAATAAATGTACAAATCATTTCCGTCCAGTAGAACAAATGACCACAAAGACTTACAGTGCTGTTGGACATTAACTAATTCTGTATCCAACCCAGAAATCCATTAAATTTCTTATAGGCACCTATCTTCTCAAAGCTCTTTGGACTAAAATAACATCTTACTGGTTCCCTCATTACTTATGAGATAAATAAAATCTTTGACATCTGTTTATTCTACATATTCATAAGAGTCATGATTTACCCTCTTTGAAAATTATATTTTAACATATTCAATGAGCAGTTAATATTTTTAGTACTTGGGAACTATAGTGAAATATCTCAATATTTTAAAAATGAAAGAAGATTCTCAGAACATAAAACTCGACTATGTCGTGTTCATTAACACAAAGATTCAATGTGCTAAAGTCATCATTCTTTGTAAGTTAGTTCATAAATTTATTAGAATCCTAACAAAGCCCCAATCAAGTTTTTTATTTTTGTTTGTTTGATTTTTGAAACAATTCTAAAGTGTATTTGGAAAAAATAAAGAATAATAGTCAGGAAACCAATGAAAGAGAAGAGCTGAGGGAAGATTAGTCATACCAAATATTAAAACATATTTAAAAGCCTCAAATTAGAAGATATGATACCAACACATGAACAGATATGCCAATGGGACTAATAGAAATAGATCCAGATACATAAGGGAATTTAGCATAAGTTAAAATATAGCAAAAATGGCACCTCAACACTGTGGGTAAAAGATGGCCCATTGAATGAATGGAGCTGGAGTAAATTCTTGGGGAAAAATTATGCTGGATTCTTACCTTACGCTTTAAACCAAATAGATTCAAGATTTCACTGTAAAAGATTAAATCATATATATATATATAATGTATGTATTAGTCCATTCTCACGCTGCTATGAAGAAATACCTGAGACTGGATAATTTATAAAGGCAAGAGGTTCAATTGACTCACAGTTCTGCAGGGCTGGGGAGGCCTCACGGAACTTACAATCATGGCAGAAGTGGAGGCAAACACATCCTTCTTCACATGGCAGCACAAGAGAAAAGTGCTGAGCAAAAGGGAAAAAGGCCCCTTATAAAACCATCAGAGCTCGTGAGAACTCACTCACTATCACGAGAAAAGCGTGAGGGCAACCACTCCCATGATTCAATTACCTCCCACCGGTTCCCTCCCACAACACTTGGGGATTATGGAAACTACAATTCAAGATGAGATTTGGGTGGAGACAAAATCAAATCATATCAATATACTAGAAGAAAACCTAGGAGAATCCCTTTATGTCCTTGGAATAGCAAAGGCTTTGATAAGTATGACTCAAAATCCAGAAGCTCCTCCCCAAAATACTTGGCAAATTTAAGTACATGAAATGTTTTTAAAGTATATGCGTACTCTGTGTGTGTGTGTGTGTGTGTGTGTGTGTGTGTGTGTGTGTGTATTCCTCCCACATGTCAAATACCACGCACAGGTAGAAAGACAAGCAAGAAACTTGGAAGTTTCACCTCATTATCATAGATAAATGGGTAATCTCCCTCATATTTTTTAAACTCCCGTAAATCAATAAGAAAAAAATAACTCAATAGAAAAATAAGCCCAGTATAAGAACAGCCTGTTCACAGAAAAGAAAAATAAAATGCCTCAAATATCTATATTCAAATCAACTCTTTATAAAAAGATAAATGCAAAACAAAACTATGCTGAATATCACTTTTCACTTATTATATTGGCAAAAATCCAGACATTTGATAACAGTCAATTGGCTATGTGAACAAAAGGCACTTTTATACATCAGGAATATAACTAGGTATAACCCCTTTGTATAGGTTTCATGTTCTATGGAGAGTAATTTGACAACACCTGTCACAATTACCTGTATGTATCCTTTGACCCAGCAGTTCTTTTCTGGAATCTATCAATCTATCCTACAGATATATTTACATATATGCAAAATAGTGTCTGGAAAAGTTTTGAAACAACAGCATTTTTAGAATAGAAACAACTTAAATGCTCATCAGTAAAGACTGTTCAAAAAAATAAAGATCATGGTATAGCCAAACAATAGAACACTAGTGAACTGTAAAAGAATGAGGAAGTTTTGCAAGTATTAATATAGAAAGGTCTCTGAGATTTGGATGAAAAAGGCAAGTGGAATGTTCCCAATTTTGTGAAAAAAGAAGAAAAACAGAGAATTTCCTTACATTTGTTTTTTATATACAAAAAGATACTTTGTATTTTTAGTAGAGACGGGGTTTCACCGTGTTAGCCAGGATGGTCTCGATCTCCTGACCTCGTGATCTGCCCACCTCAGCCTCCCAAAGTGCTGGAATTACAGGCGTGAGCCACTGCAACCAGCCCAAAAAGATACTTTAAAGGGATTCATGAGAAACTATTAACAATGCATAATGGCCATGAACTGTGTCATTCAGATATGCTACTACAGGGAGCATCACTGGCTTATGGCCCCAGCCACCATCCCTCTGGATCTCTACCACTATATTTGTGCCAAGGCCAACGTCCCACAGGCTGCTCCTACACAATGACTAAGTAGGAGCACTAAGATTAGGGCACTAAGACAAACCCATCCCAGCAAACCAGGAAGCTTCTCTTATAAGAGACTCCCCATCATTATTAGCCCAGCTGACCTTTCTTGGAACTAGGCTGCAGTCTGACACTTCTATCCAATCCTATTTCCTTCTCTCTCCTTCCACAGGTTACAGACATACACATCTAATCCCATTTTGGTGGCTGCACCTCAGTGGGCCACAGGGGTGAGAGATGAGGCAGCTTTGAGAATGGCATTATTATTTTTGAACCACATATTATATAGTCAAAAATTTAATTTAAAATACTCTCTAGGGCCGGGCACGGGCTCACTCCTGTAATCCCAGCACTCTGGGAGGCCGAGGCAGGTGGATCACTTGAGGTCAGGAGTTCAAGACCAGCCTGGCCAACATGGTGAAACCCCTGTCTGTATTAAAATTCAAAAATTAGCCAGGTGTGGTGATGGGCTCCTGTAATCCCAGCTACTCGGGTCGCTGAGGCAGAAGAATTGCTTGAACTCGGGAGGCAGAGGTTGCAGTGAGCCAATATCATGCCACTGCACTCCACCCTGGGCAACAGAGTGAGACTCTGCCTCAAAAAATAAAATAAATAAAATACTCTCTAGCAGTGTTTTTCAAAGTGTTATCTATCCCAGGGTCTCCTGCAGCTAAGTCCTCTCCTGGGAGTCACTCCTGATCCACTAAAAAAGTATAACTCTTGGGGGTCCAGGAATCTTCATTTAAAGGTCCTAAGATAATACTGAAATACATAGTTAAAGGACCAGAGGGTTAAACTATAAGATGAGCATGAACTGGACCAAAATATAAACGTGTAAAGTGAACTGAAGGAACGAAATGGCCATTACACTTACATGTTGATTAAATTATGCAGCTCATCCTAAACAAAGAATATGTGGGATGGGTGAAAGCAAAACAAAGCAAAACTAGAAAGAAGGATCAAGCAGCCAAACATAACTTTTCCAAGCTTCTTCTAGGACAGAGGGAGCAATACTCAAAGGACCTCCAGTATTCTGGTTCCATTTATAAAACCAATTCTTCCCTAAGAAGGATAGCTCAGGCTATCTTCCTGCTTCCATTAAATATTAAATAAAACCTCATCCCATTTATTTGATTACCTGTCTCCAAGCGACTTTGTAATAATAATTTAGGTTTCCCACACAGTTCTGCCTATAGGAAGAGATTGATAGTTTCTAAAGAAAAAATACTCTATGATATCAGATAAGAGCATGAAAAACACTGTATTTTACACATAATTGAATTCATTCAAATTATGCTATTCTTTTAACTCACTATCCATTTCTAGAAATGCTTATATTTATTTCACTTTCATTCTCCTTTAATTGTCTGACCCATTATGTTCCAATCAAAACTAAATTCTAGGAAGTACTTGTGTACAGCCTTATTGTGAATCTTGTTTTGCCAAAATAGTGAATAGAAAACCAAGTCTTGTTAATTATAAATGCTGAGATCTCTATTTCTATTAAAGAATGCAAGACTATGAAGTTCACTGAGTTGTTAGAATTATTGCTTTAAAGTGGACATTATCTTTAATTATTTGGTATCATTGTGATGGGATGACAGAAAAAAATATAGGCACTCTTTTAAGACTATTTCTTTGATATAGTCGTGTGCCACATAACAAAGTTTCATCCAATCACAGATTACATATACCCTGATGGTCCCATAAGATTATAATGCTATATTTTTACTGTACATTTTCTATGCTTAGATAGACAAATATTTATCATTATGTTACAATGGCCTACAGTATTAAGTAGAGTAATATGCAAGCCTAGGAGCAATAGGCTATCCCATATAGTCTAGGTATGTAGTAGGCTATTATCATCTATGTTTGTGTGTGTGCATGCTATGATGTTCCCACAGTGACAAAACTGCCTAACGATGCATTTCTTGGAATGTGTCCTCATTGTTAAGTGAAAGTTTTCTATATGGTCTACATTCTGTGGGCTGACCTTAGTTAGTTATTGCATCTGCTTGCGAGTTTACAATTAATGGTCAATTTTTTTTAGTTGACTTTCCAGAATAACTAGCAAAGGCTAGCCACTCAGTTTTAACTTACTTTATTCTACAACTTAAAACATTGGTGTTGCCATACCTTGCACTTTGGCTCTACAAAAATGATAATATTTAATGTTTTCTTGAGCCTTTACTCCAAATCTTCAGAGGCTAAATGACCTGATTCCCTCTACAGGCAAGTGAAGATAAAAATGATGTGCTTTATTTTATAATTGATTCTAGATGGAAAGAGAAGAGAGAGAAAGAACTCAATATACTTTAAGTATGCTTTTCATTCTGAATATTTGCAAATGAAATCCGTGATGTAGAATGGAATTCCTATGAAAGCTCTGTTCTCATTATGTCTTTGGTTTGCCTGCTAGCTTCAGCTGTGTTACTTTTATTGCCGTTTTCAGCAAAAACTCAGAAGAGAAAGGATAGAAACTCAAACAGAATGACTAAATTGTAATACAAAGATAATGAACGCCAATGCAACAGGACAGCAAATTAGAAGCCTGGGAAGCTGTTAGCCATAAAAAAAAAAAAGAAGAAGAAGAAGAAAAGAAAAAGAGTTTTATTTCCACACTTTTGAGGCGTCCTTTGGAAACCAGAAAAACTTAACAATACAGTTAACCCAGTTACTGTCAGAGTGGTTCTACTTTCAAAAGAAAGCCAGGCTAACATTTTAAACAGCAATTACATTTCATGAAAAGGGAAGAAGAGGGAGTGAGAGGAACATCAAAACCCCAAAAAACATGATGATGACAAAACAATCAGAAAACAACTTAAGATCTCTATTCATCTCAGCTTTCTGAAATGAGCATTTCTAGTTCTTGGCACTCTATCAGTCTTGCAAGGACCTGGAGGGTGGTGGGGCAGGGTGGGTAGCACCAGTGGCTGCCAAAGGGATTCATATGTGAAACAGAAATTCTTGCTTCCCAAGATGAAGTAAAACAAGGGTCGTCCACCCAGTGAGGAACCAATGAAGTGAGTAAAGGCTCTTTTGTAGCCTTCTCAAGTGACTCCCCAGGAGTCTTAGAGAGAATGGCTCACCTTGAGCTTATCTAGGAGAGTTTTTCTAGAATAAGTTTTAATCTTCCAAGACACTAAATTAAGATCAAGATTCTTCTGAGTTTGTGGAAGTCATGATATGCCGGGGATTGATTACAAGTGGAGCATCTCAAAACAATAACAAGTAAATCAAACTCTGGGATAGGCTTTCAAAGCTGCAAAATCCAAATCAGTTTCCCCTGAATATTCCAAGTGATTTTTTGAGTTTCCAAAGAATTTTCCTCAAGAAAAAAAGCCTCAAAATCCTTAAGATGATCTTCACACATACTTCTGCCAAGATTTTAAATCTGATCAAATACATTTAATGAAGAAAATTACTTTTTATAGCAATTATCTTATTATCATAAAGGTGTTTTGAGAAAATTATTTATGAAACCTCTTTTTTTTTGTTTTAACCCGGCAAGCTAAACATCTTCCATTTATTTTTAAATGAAGTGAAAATTAGCCAGGTGTGTTAGATAAGCTTTCTATACACAGGTCTAAATATTGACAAAGGCAGATTTGTCACTGGAAAAATCATCAGTCTAGCAATTATCACGTTAGCATGTGAAGTGGAAAAAGATGTGAAACTTCCAAATGTGTCAATACAGATTATTTCATTTCCACTAGCTATCAGCTATACTGTGAACACCAGTTCTTTAATGTACACTGAGCAAGCAGTTCGGCTAAAGAAATTTCTCCTCTGTGCCTGAAAAAACTAAAATCACAAGGTAGAAGGTCTGGTGTGGAATCACATATGTTTCTAACTATTGTTTCAAATGACCTAAAAGAGGGGGATGGGGTACACATGATGACAAAAGTACTTTTCTGTATTGTTTGATTGTATAAGAACTGTATTTGGACTCCTCTTTCATTGGGTTATGTGAGTGTTTCTCTCAGTTCTCATCAGTCCCAACCCCACAGGCCTTTCAGGAACACCTGTAAAGTCCTATCACATTACTATACTGTGGCACGGGGAAAATACAGATTATCTCAGTAATAATTATCTTGTTGCACACTTTAGACTTCTATGGACTGCACTTGAAGGTGAGAGAGATTGCCACTAATTTTTGGTGTTAAGAAAGAAACAGGTGTACGTAAGAGTAAATTCAGGCAACATGAACATTCCTTTTTGTCATTAGAGGATTGAGTAACAAAGTAAGATAATGCCGTCCATGCTAGAACATTCCTAAATATATCCCTTGATGGATATATGCTCTCCCAAAATATGGCACCTTGGCATTTGAGGAAACAGCTGAAGCAAAAGTCTCTCTGAGGCCAAGGCAGGAGGATCACCTGAGGTTGGGAGCCCGAGACCAGCCTGGCCAACATGGTGAAACTCTGTCTCTACTAAAAATTAAAAAATTAGCTGGGCATGGTGGTGGGCATCTGTAGTCCCAGTTACTTGGGAGCCTGAGGCACAAGGATCGCTTGAACCTGGGAGGCAGAGGTTGCAGGAGCTGAGATCACGCCACTGCACTCCAGTCTGGGCAGCAGAGCCAGACTCCATCTCAAAGAAAAAAAAAAAGTCTCTCTGATTTTCCCCTACCCTTGTCTGACATACACCACAAATGCTCTGATCTTCCTCTAAAATATGTCATAAGGCCAGATGTGGTGGCTCACACCTGTAATTCCAACACTTCAGGAAGTTGAGGCAAGAAAATTGCTTGAGCTTTGGAGATTGGGACCAGCCTGAGCAACATAATGACACCCCATCTCCATTTTTAAAAATCAAAAAATTTAAAAGTGGGTCATAAGACTCTCGTATGCCCTATACACAGAAGAAAGGAATATCACACAGGGAGGGACACAGAGAAGAATTTGAGCAAACAGATTCTTGCTAAGTTCCCCCCAGTTTATTACCATTGGATTATACCCCCTTTGGTCTAATCATATTTCCCCACAACTTCTTTACCAAACTTGGCATAAAAATACACAATTTTCTCTCTTTCTTTGGGCCTCCATTTCTAAAGATTCCATGTCACCTATAACTTATATTAAATAAATTTGTTATGCTTTTCTCTCGTTAATCTATCTTTTGTTATAAGGGTCTCAGTTATGAACCTAGCAATGCGTGAAAAAAAGAAATGTTTCTCCTTTACATTCTCATGGACACATTTTTGTCCCTTTTGCCTTCCCCCTTTTCTATTTTTCTATCCACATCTCTCTTCTTCCTGTGCCTCAGTGTTGTTTCCATTTACTAAGCCACCACTCCTTTTCTTGCTTGGTGTTCATTGATCCTCATCTTGCTGCTAATCACAATTCCTTCCTGGTTTCACCAAACTCCCAGACACTAGCTTTTCAAATCTCTAAAAACATGGAGGTCATTCTCTCTGTCCAAGAGTGGCATGTTGAAACTCCCCAGTGAGTTTTCCTATATTTTTTTAAATATTGTTTTCTGAATTCCCATTTAGTTTTGTAAGGGCTGAAAGGTGTGATATCTTTCCTCACCCGTTATAATCATCACAGCCAACACTCCTATAACAAAAACCAGGATAACAAGAAAAAAACATATTTCTTTAATCAAACTTTTACATGACATAGGAGGCTTCAGAAATGAAAACCTAAAAATCCAGGGAAAATAATTTGTTTTTATACTTAGGTTCAATGAAGAATAGACAGCTGTGTAGAAATGTGATTAGACAAAAGGGTATGATCTAATGGTAACAGACTGAGGGAGGAGATCCAGCAAAGCCTGCTTGTTCAGATTCTTCTTGGCCTCTCTGTGCAACATTCTTCCTCCCAGATTTGGGCCAGGATCCTTATGGAATGAGGGCCTTCAAGAGAGAATGGAAAAGGGAAAGAGTAGCCTTTCTAGGATTGATGGCTTGCTTTGGGGGAGAAGGATTCTAGTTTCTATGACCCACATTAGGGAAATGGAATTCTGGTCTCTATGACTCGCTTCAGGGGAGAAGGAGGGGCAGGAGGCAGGAGGGCAGAAGAAGGGCAAAGAGAGGCTATGCTTCTGGGGCTGTTTCTGAGGCCTTCCAGTCTCCTTTAGCTCAAAGTACTCAGTTCAAAGTATCATTTTCTGATACAGTTTCAACTTAGTATTTGGTTGCCCTAGTGGTCTTCACTTTGTAACAATTTACTTACTCCTTAAGCTTTTATAATCTTTTCTCTGCCTTTCTACTTTGCAGAAATTTCTCTCTTAAAGGTCACCAATTGCTTCCTCATCACAGAATCTAATGACACTGGAGGCCACTCATCTTTTTCTGCAAGATTGGACCCTCTTGGCTCTTTGTTGAACCTTTCTCTACCTTTTTGCACTGAAACACTGTACTCTCCTGACCACTCCTGTTTCCTACTTATCCCACTTTGAGAAGGTAAGAATCTCCACAGTTCTGTTTTTGGCTCAGGCCTTTCAGTCTCACTGTATTTCCATATAGTGGGTGGAAATGAGTGATGATGGCTTGATGGCTCCAAAACTTCCATTTCTGATCCCAACCTCTCATAGATAAGAAGTCCCAAGTGTTTGCTGAGAATCTCCACCTAAGTATCTTTCTTGCATCTCAAATCCAGTAGGCATTACTGCATAAATAAATGCATTATCAATCTACCTCTTCAAGTAACCTTCCACAACTACCTCTATTAACATGACCACCAATCATATAAGTCTGATTCATGTCATCATGAACTCCCAACTTCATTCTCCATATCCTATAAGTTCCTGAGACATGGACTCTTCCACTCTGGTATCTTTCTATCCTATTGCCACCATTCTAGTTCAAGTGTTTCTTTTCTTTGCCTGGACCAGTGGTCAGCAAAATGAACCAACAGCATCAGAATTACCTGGAAACTTGTAAGAAATACAAATCCTCAAACCCCACCTCATACCCACTTAGTCTGAAACTCTGGGGATGAGACCAGCAGTCTGTGTTTTAACTGGACTCCGATAACTCTGATATGCACTAAAATTTGAGAACATAAAGTATTGCAGATGACTTTTATTTGGCCTTCCTGTCTCCAGTCTCTTCTTTCCCATGCCACTCTAAGAATTACCTTTCTAAAGAGTAACTCTGATCATGCCACTTCCTTGATAGAAACATTTGACCCTTTATTGTCAAATAAAAGCCAAACTCCTCATTATGACATCTGAATGTAAAAAACTCAACAAGTTAGAAATAGAAAGGAACTTCCTTAGCAAAAAAAAAAGACATCTATGAGAAACCTACAAACATCACACTTAATGGTAAAAACTGAATGCTTTTCCCCCCAAGATCAGGAAATAGATGAGATAGCTACTCTTCCCACTCCTATGCAACATGATACAGTAGGTTCTAGCCAGTGCAGTCAGGCAAGAAAAAGCAAGTAAATAATATAGATTCGATTTTAAAAAGAAAGAAAAAAACACAGATTGAAAAGAAAGAAGTAAAACTGTTTTTATGCACAAATTATATGATCCTAAAGGATCTTTTTTTTTTTTTTTATTTTACATTCCAAGATACATGTGCAGGTTTGTTACATAGGTAAATGTGTGCCATGGTGGTTTGCTGTACCTCTCAACCCATCACCTAGGTATTAAGCTTGGTAAGCATATTTTTCCTGATGCTCTGCCTCTCCCCGCCCCCCACCCCCAACAGGCCCCAATGTGTGTTGTTCCCCTCCCTGTGTCCATGTGTTCTCATTTGTCAGCCCCCACTTACAAGTGAGAACATGCAGTGTTTGGTTTTCTGTTCCTGCGTTAGTTTGCTGAGGATAATGGCTTCCAGCTCTATCCATGTCCCTGCAAAGGACATGATCTCATTCCTTTTTATGGCTGCATAGTATTCCATGGTGTATATATACCACATTTTCTCTATCCACTTTATCATTGATGAGCATTTGGGTCGATTTCATGTCTTTGAACTTGTGAATAGTGCTGCAATGAACATACACATACATGTATATTTATAACAGAATGATTTATATTCCTTTGAGTTATACCCAGTAATGGGATTGCTGGGTCAAATGGCATTTCTGGTTCTAGCTCTTTGAGGAATCACCACACTGTCTTCCACAATGGTTGAACTAATTTACGTTCCCACCAATAGTGTAAAAGCGTTCCTATTTCTCTACAGCCTCACCAGCATCTGTTGTTTCTTGACTTTTTAATAATTATCATTCTGACTGGTGTGAGATGGTATCTCATTGTGGTTTTGATCCGCATTTCTCTAATGATCAGTTACGCTGAGCTTTTTTCATATGTTTGTTGGCCACATAAATGTCTACTAAAACTAATAAATAAATTTAAAAGGCCACAGGATATGAGATCAATATGCAAAAATCAACTATTTTAGTTCTATGTAATAGCAACAAACACCAAAAGTAAAATTAAGAAATGATTTCATTCCCAATAAAATCAATAAAAATAAAATATTTAGTAATAAGTTTAACAAAAGAAGTGGAAAACTTATACTCTGAAAATTGTAAAACAGACTGAAAGAAATTAAAGATCTAAATAAATAAAGTTACATTCCATGTTCATAAACTGGAAGCTTCAATATTGTTAATATAGTAACATATCCCAAATTGTTCTGTGGATTCAATGCAATCCCAGTCAAGATCCCAGCAGTCATTTTTGTAGAAATTGACAAGCTGATCCTAAAATTCATATAAAAATTCAAAGAACCCAAAGTAGCCAAAATAATTTTTAAAAAGAACAAATTTAGAGAACGTATACTACTCAACTTCAAAACTTAATATAAAACTACAATAATGACAACAGTGTGATAGGTATAAAGGCAAATATATAAATCAGTGGAAAAGAATTCAGAGTCAGAAATAAATCCTGACATTTATGGTCAATTGAGTCGTTATGGGTACTATGATTTTTTTCAAAAAATGTTACTAGGGCAAATAGATGCCACATGCAACAAAACGAATTTAGACCCTTACCTTACACCTTACACAAAAATTTCCTTGAAACACATCAAATACCTAATTGGAAGAGCAAAAGTTATAAAACTTCTAAAAGAAACCATAGGAGAAACTCCTGGATATAAGCAGAAAATTCTTAGATATGACACTAAAAGCATGATCCAGAAAAGAAAAAAAAAAATGACAAATTGGGCTTCAGCAAAATTAAAACATTTTACTTTCAAAAGTTACCAATAAGAAAAATAAAAAGACAAATTACAGACTAGGAGAAAGTATATGCCAATCATGTGCCTGAAAAAAATGGATAATAGGCAAATGACAACATTCTCAATGTTATTAGTCATTAGGGAAATACAAATTAAAATCACAGCAAAATGGCATACCCACACATTAAAATGACCAATCAAAAAGAGTGACAATACTAGATATTGATGATAATATGAAGAAATTGGAACCCTCACACATTGCTGGAAAGAATGTGAAATGTTACAGCCGTTTGAAAAACAGTTTGGCAGTTTTTAAAAAGTTAAACCTAGAGTTACCAGATGACCTAGCAATGCCACTCCTAGGCATATACCCAAAAGAAATGAAAACATACATTGACACAAAACTTGTACAGAAATGTCCATAGCATTATTTATAATAGCCAAAAATTGGAAGCAATACAAATGTCCGTTGACATGAATGGAAAAAACCAACGGGATAAGCATATCCATACAATGAAATGCTATTGCGCAATGAAAAGGAATGAGCTTTTGATACACACTACAACTTGGTTGAACCCCTAAAACAGTATGCTAAGTGAAAGAAGTCAAAAATAAAAAACTGCAAATTGTACAGTTCCATTTATATGAAATTTCCAGGAAAGGCAAATTTATAGAGACTGGGAGCAGATAAATGGCTGCCTGGAGCCGGGTGGGGGGTGGGTACTGACTGCAAATGAGCATAAGAAAACTTCTTGGGGTGAGAAAAATGTTCTAAAATTGAATCACAGTGAAATTTACCCAAAACTCTATAAAGTTGCTAAAAAATCATTGAATTGTACACTTACAATGGGTGAATTTCATGGTATGTAAATTATGTCTCAATGGAGCTATTTTTAAAGAATTATTTTAAAACTCTTAAAAAAACACACATAAAATCACTTACATAAATTATGTACCATAAGTTCTGTTCTATTTGTTCTGCAGCAGTGTAAAAACCACATATTTCGCTAAGGTTGAAAATAAGTATGAAGAGAATTAAGAACATTTTGTTATGTTAACCCATGACGGCACTTTAGTTAATGTCGTTGTTACTCAGTTGCTTTTCTGTTTAATGGCTTATGCCAGCTAGTTTATTCATATCATACCTGTGGTGGTTAATTTTAAGTGTCAACTTGACTGGGCTAACAGATGCCCAGATGGCTGGTAAAACATTATTTCTGGTGAGTCTGTGAAGGTGTTTCCAGAAGAGGTGAGCAATTGAATCAGCAAACTAAACAAAGATTGTCCTCATCAATGTAGGTGAGCATCAGCTAACCCAGGAAGGGCCTGAACAGAACAAAAAGGCAGAGGAAGACTGAATTTGCTCTCTCTTCTTGAGCTGGGACACCCACCTTCTCCTGCCCTCAGACATTGGCGCTCCTGGTTCTCAGGCCTTCAGATGCAGACTGAGACTTACACCATTGATTCTTCTGGTTCTTAGGCCTTTGCGCTGGAGTTACAATGACACCACCAGTTTTCTGGTTCTCCAGCTTCCAGACAACAGATTGTAGACTTAGCCTCCATAATTGTGTGAGCCGGTCCCTCATAGTAAATCTCTTCCTATATATCCATATATGTCTTATTGGTTCTGACTAATACGATACATAAGCTGTATTTCATCACTTGGTAAAAGTTTTCTTACTCTCAATATTTTAGCCATGGTTAGTTATGGTTTCTTTATTACTAACTGTGATTATTTGGAAAGAATATTTAAAAGAAAGTCTTTTTCTCTCTGTGAAAATCTCCCCAGAACAATGTCCCATAACTTCTGTGCATTTCTGTCATGCTATTTGTTCTCTTTCTTCTGCCCTACTACCTCCTCTTCTCTCACCTGGTTCAGAATTTCTGAGACAAATAGAAGAAATCAGTAATATCCTCAAGTTAGGGAAACAACTATGCTTCAGCATGGTTTCTCCCCACTGTGCCATACTGCCTGTATGAAGACCAGAGAACAAATGCAGTAAAATTCTAATAAGACTCAATAAATAAAATCTGAAAATATAATCATGTAAAATGCACATGCATTATTGTGAAATAAATAAATAGACCAGGAGTGGCTACTGCCTACCGAGCCAAACAGAAATTCCTATGAATCTGGCTATGCATTCCAAGCCCACTTGGTTCTAGCAGCATTTTGTCATAAAATTGTTGTGGTTTTCTACTCTACCTTAATTTTAAGTGGAGATAATTTGGAGCCCTGTAGCTAGCTAGAATGACAAAAGAGTGGCAGTGATTCCAGGAACCCCCGATTGGTTGGTATACACTTTATCAACCTGATCTAAAGAGATTATGTAGAAAGAATACTGAGAATGTAGGGGTCTGTTTTTGCCTCCAATTCCCAAGAGCTGCCTGGATATCTCCACCCAATATTGTTCCTTCTCACACCTTACATTCTTCCTCCATGCTCAAAAGACAAGAATTTAGCCCACCCAATTTGTGAATGAGGGGTATAAGGAGAATGGGAGTCAACTGCCTATTGTGTTACATCTGAATGCACATTATCATTGTGAGTGTAATTGTAGAGTTTTACTAGATCTAGCAATCAAAAGAAAATTTTGAATCCAGTACAGAAAAGTTATAAAATATCTAATTCAAAGTTAAACAAAAAGTATTCTTCTAGTGCTGGTCATTGTGGTTGACTTAGCAAGATGATATGTCTAAGTTAATCATGGTAACCCATTTCTCGTTTCAATTACTGGTTTAAAATTGGCACGTGACTCAGTACAGCCATTAAATATGAGAGAAGTCAAGTGGGAGCTTCTGGAAAAGCCCTTTTTCCTTTAAAAATAAAATAGTTTCAAGGAAGAGACAGTAGCTCACATTCCCCTGGATGTTATTGGGTCTGGATAGGAAACTTGGAACTATTGCAGCTATATATACTATATATCTTGTAAATATGAAGCCAATGACAAAGATTCTCTCCTTGACCAAACTTTAGTCAGGCTCCTTTGAACCCTCTACTAGGTACAACCTTGGGCTTCTCTGTCCTTGGAGAGTCCAGTTTTAGTAGGAGTCCTGAGAAGTCAGTTTAGCCAGAATCCTCCCCCAACCCCCAATATCTGATCATCCTCAATATCCAACCAAATTATTCATCACCCAACTTCCCTCAGGTAATATCTGAACACCCTGGCCTGCCTTCAGCAACAATCCTATTAGGCCGGTTTAGCAAAGAATTGGCCTCTTCTCTAAATAATTTTCCACCCGCCCCAGCCCTGTTCCTTAGCTATGAATCCCCCTCTTTCCTTGTTGAATTCAGAATTGAGCCCATTTCTATTCTGAGGTCTCTTTCCCCTATTACAATAATTTCTGAGTGAAATCTGCCTTTACTTCTTTAACTACTTAACTGTCCACCTCTGGTTTTCTTTGACATCAGCCGCTGTAAGAAACCATGTTTGAGGACAGCAAAGCAGGAAGAAAAATGGACCTGGGTCCTCAATGATCTTTGTGAGCTGCTGATCATACAATGAGTCAAAGTTTATTTGTTTGTTTGTTTGGTGGTTTTTGTTTTGTTTTGTTTTGTTTTTATAACTTGCTGCAGAAAGTATCTTAACACAATGCTTTTCTGTGATTGTTGAACCCGGGCATTCCATCCTAGACTAAAAGCATTTTCATAGCTTTGATCACATAGAAGAAATATCATTTCAAAAGAAGATGGTAAAAGGGAAGAGGAATAGTAAGTGGTGGGTTCAGGAATGAAGGATGACTCTTATACTTAATCATATAGTATCCTCTTTTCCCCACATTTTGAGAACCATATCAGTACATCTCTGAAATCAAGAAAAACAAGACAAAGAAATAATATACTTGCCCATAGCCTTAGGGGTCCCAGGTCCTGGGTAAAGGCATATGCAATTTCACATTACCTAGACAACCACACCCAGTGATCTCTGTGGGAAACTAACACTGATCTTGGCCTTGCAGGGTGCCCAAGAAACTCCCCTTCCACCCATTAGAACAGCACAGAGCCTTTGAAGAATATGTTAAATGCCTTGTCTTTGTAGAACATTTTTAACTTGCTACAGTACTTTCAAATCCATTAGCTAATTGCAATCTTCAAAACAGTGTGCTAAGGTAGACATTACCCCCATTTGACAAATGACAAGTGCAGAGTGCATGGAGAAGGTGAAAACATTTGCTTAAAATAACCCAACTAACTACACTATGAATAGTCCATAGCCTAAGATTACTTGCTTAGAAAAGCAAATATACTTGGATCCTGTTATAAATATGCTCTGCTCAAGATTTTCCAAGATCCAGAAGGGCCACAGTGTATCTGAGTATATGGGTATATACTGAATACATGCTTACCTACCTTTAATCTCTGCTGTGGCCAGTTTCTATTTCAGCCTTATAATTTTCTGCATTTCCTTCCTCTATTGCTTTTCATCCACACTTTATTTAGGAAATGTTCAACAGAGAAGCCAGAAAGGTACCTCCTTGGAAAGGTAAGGAGAAGCAATGAACGACAGAGATCAGCTACAACTGGGAAAGGTGCAGCTTTTGCATTGATCAAACCAAAAAAAAGTGGTAAAGACTAATGCAGTTCAATTTTTAAATAGAGTTCAAAATAAAACCAAACCCTTAACATCACACATTTACAAAGGAGTCAGTTGTAAACATACCAAAACAACTAATGACAGAAAAGGGAAATTGGTCTCTGCTTTCTTTCTTTTTTTTTTTTTTCTGAGACGGAGTCTCACACTGTCGCCCAGGCTAGAGTACAGTGGCACAATCTCGGCTCACTGCAAGCTCCGCCTCCTGGGTTCCTGCCATTCTCCTGCCTCAGCCTCCCGTGTAGCTAGGACTACAGGCGCCCACCACCACGCCCAGCTAATTTTTTGTATTTTTAGTAGAGACGGGGTTTCACCATGTTAGCCAGGATGGTCTCGAGCTCCTGACCTCGTGATCTGCCTGCCTCGGCCTCCCAAAGTCCTGGGATTACAGGCATGAGCCACCGCGCCTCTAGAAAGTTTTAAAATAACAATCAAAGGACTAAATAACCAGTTTCAAAATATTTGTTGTTAAATTTAATCCTGTTAAAGATAAGATTCAAACTGTTAATTTCAAGTGCTAGAAAAACAAATCAGAAGTGATGGCCACTACTATAAACTATTCTTTCTTTGATTACCAGTGTAGGAACATATTATTTTACAATACTTTGGTTTTTTATTAGAACTTCACTGCGCCAAAAATAAAAAAATAAAATTTGCACTATAAGTTTTCCCGTTTTGTGTGATATAAGGCACAATCAATCTGTTCATTCTCCAGACTTACTGAAGACACGTATTTCTATATTTAAAATTACCCTAACAAGGTTTTATTACAATGACTCCTATAAGAAATATTCCTTTTCATATTCAATTATATGAAGATTTGTTACCTGGCTTGCCTTGACCTTTTCATTAGATATTATATATATAATTTATTAGAAAGAGAGATTGACCAGGGAATTACCTTCGGAAATGAGGAGGTAGGGAAAGAAGCAGCAAAAATTCTCAGCCAGACTTTGAACAGGAAGCTTTAGTAAGAGACCTAGAGAAGAAAGATTTAAAAAACTAGATGATACACGGAGAGTACAAGTTACTAGAAAATTGACTAAGCAATTTCTGATACAATAGTTTTCTACATTTATAAGCACTCTAAAAGTTTTATTTACATGTATGTACTGTGGGAAATAAAAAAGCAAAATGCATAATCACCGCCATTTAGTAACTTTATAAAGAACTTTCTTGAACATATTTCAGTAGCTTAGAATTTGTCTGTCATAATATTAAATATGGTAGAATAGATGAACTTAAATCTCATAATTGTATAATTTTTATCTTTAAGAAGTATATTTGAAGTTTCTAATGATAAAAAAAAGAATTTGAGGCAAAGAGAGACAATGCACATAACATATAGCCAAAGAAAAAAGAACTCCTTTAAAAACTTACAGTGAATATCTTTTAAAAATAAAAGAAGGTTGACACAGAGATCCAGGAGCCAAGATGGCCGAATAGGAACAGCTCCGGTCTACAGCTCCCAGCGTGAGCCACGCAGAAGACGGGTGATTTCTGCATTTCCATCTGAGGTACCGGGTTCATCTCACTAGGGAGTGCCACACAGTGGGCGCAGGTCAGTGGGTGCGTGCACCGTGCGCGAGCCGAAGCAGGGCGAGGCATTGCCTCACTCCGGAAGCGCAAGGGGTCAGGGAGTTCCCTTTCCTAGTCAAAGAAAGGGGTGACGGACGGCACCTGGAAAATCGGCTCGCTCCCACCCGAATACTGCGCTTTTCCGACGGGCTT
The DNA here is from genome assembly GCF_000001405.40 of Homo sapiens. Taxonomy (NCBI): domain Eukaryota; kingdom Metazoa; phylum Chordata; class Mammalia; order Primates; family Hominidae; genus Homo; species Homo sapiens. The sequence goes on from NC_000014.9 coordinate 30,474,352, forward strand.
AAAAAACGGCGCACCGCGAGATTATATCCCGCACCTGGCTCAGAGGGTCCTACGCCCACGGAATCTCGCTGATTGCTAGCACAGCAGTCTGAGATCAAACTGCAAGGCGGCAGCGAGGCTGGGGGAGGGGCGCCCACCATTGCCCAGGCTTGCTTAGGTAAACAAAGCAGCCAGGAAGCTCGAACTGGGTGGAGCCCACCACAGCTCAAGGAGGCCTGCCTGCCTCTGTAGGCTCCACCTCTGGGGGCAGGGCACAGACAAACAAAAAGACAGCAGTAACCTCTGCCGACTTAAATGTCCCTGTCTGACAGCTTTGAAGAGAGCAGTGGTTCTCCCAGCACACAGCTGGAGATCTGAGAACGGGCAGACTGCCTCCTCAAGTGGGTCCCTGACCCCTGACCACCGAGCAGCCTAACTGGGAGGCACCCCCAAGCAGGGGCACACTGACACCTCACACAGCAGGGTACTCCAACAGACCTGCAGCTGAGGGTCCTGTCTGTTAGAAGGAAAACTAACAAACAGAAAGGACATCCACACCAAAAACCCATCTGTACATCACCATCATCAAAGACCAAAAGTAGATAAAACCACAAAGATGGGGAAAAAACAGAACAGAAAAACTGGAAACTCTAAAAAGCAGAGTGCCTCTCCTCCTCCAAAGGAATGCAGTTCCTCACCAGCAACGGAACAAAGCTGGACGGAGAATGACTTTGACGAGCTGAGAGAAGAAGGCTTCAGACGATCAAATTACTCTGAGCTATGGGAGGACATTCAAACCAAAGGCAAAGAAGTTGAAAACTTTGAAAAAAATTTAGAAGAATGTATAACTAGAATAACCAATACAGAGAAGTGCTTAAAGGAGCTGATGGAGCTGAAGACCAAGGCTCGAGAACTACGTGAAGAATGTAGAAGCCTCAGGAGCCGATGCGATCAACTGGAAGAAAGGGTATCAGCAATGGAAGATGAAATGAAGCAAGAAGGGAAGTTTAGAGAAAAAAGAATAAAAAGAAACGAGCAAAGCCTCCAAGAAATATGGGACTATGTGAAAAGACCAAATCTACATCTGATTGGTGTACCTGAAAGTGATGGGGAGAATGGAACCAAGTTGGAAAACACTCTGCAGGATATTATCCAGGAGAACTTCCCCAATCTAGCAAGGCAGGCCAACGTTCAGATTCAGGAAATACAGAGAACGCCACAAAGATACTCCTCGAGAAGAGCAACTCCAAGACACATAATTGTCAGATTCACCAAAGTTGAAATGAAGGAAAAAATGTTAAGGGCAGCCAGAGAGAAAGGTCGGGTCACCCTCAAAGGGAAGCCCATCAGACTAACAGCGGATCTCTCGGCAGAAACCCTACAAGCCAGAAGAGAGTGGGGGCCAATATTCAACATTCTTTAAGAAAAGAATTTTCAACCCAGAATTTCATATCCAGCCAAACTAAGCTTCATCAGTGAAGGAGAAATAAAATGCTTTACAGACTAGCAAATGCTGAGAGATTTTGTCACCACCAGACCTGCCCTAAAAGAGCTCCTGAAGGAAGCACTAAACATGGAAAGAAACAACCGGTACCAGCCGCTGCAAAATCATGCCAAAATGTAAAGACCATCGAGACTAGGAAGAAACTGCATCAACTAACGAGCAAAATCACCAGCTAACATCATAATGACAGGATCAAATTCACACATAACAATATTAACTTTAAATGTAAATGGACTAAATGCTCCAATTAAAAGACACAGACTGGCAAATTGGATAAAGAGTCAAGACCCATCAGTGTGCTGTATTCAGGAAACCCATCTCACGTGCAAAGACACACATAGGCTCAAAATAAAAGGATGGAGGAAGATCTACCAAGCAAATGGAAAACACAAAAAGGCAGGGGTTGCAATCCTAGTCTCTGATAAAACAGACTTTAAACCAACAAAGATCAAAAGAGACAAAGAAGGCCATTACATAATGGTAAAGGGATCAATTCAACAAGAAGAGCTAACTATCCTAAATATATATGCACCCAATACAGGAGCACCCAGATTCATAAAGCAAGTCCTGAGTGACCTATAAAGAGACTTAGACTCCCACACATTGATAATGGGAGACTTTAACACACCACTGTCAACATTAGACAGATCAACGAGACAGAAAGTCAACAAGGATACCCAGGAATTGAACTCAGCTCTGCACCAAGCAGACCTAATAGACATCTACAGAACTCTTCACCCCAAATCAACAGAATATACATTTTTTTCAGCACCACACCACACCTATTCCAAAATTGACCACATACTTGGAAGTAAAGCTCTCCTCAGCAAATGTAAAAGAACAGAAATTATAACGAACTATCTGTCAGACCACAGTGCAATCAAACTAGAACTCAGGATTAAGAATCTCACTCAAAACCACTCAACTACATGGAAACTGAACAACCTGCTCCTGAATGACTACTGGGTACATAATGAAATGAAGGCAGAAATAAAGATGTTCTTTGAAACCAATGAGAACAAAGACACAACATACCAGAATCTCTGGGAAACATTCAAAGCAGTGTGTAGAGGGAAATTTATAGCACTAAATGCCCACAAGAGAAAGCAGGAAAGATCCAAAATTGACACCCTAACATCACAATTAAAAGAACTAGAAAAGCAAGAGCAAACACATTCAAAAGCTGGCAGAAGGCAAGAAATAACTAAAATCAGAGCAGAACTGAAGGAAATAGAGACACAAAAAAACCCTTCAAAAAATTAATGAATCCAGGAGCTGGTTTTTTGAAAGGATCAACAAAATTGATAGACCGCTAGCAAGACTAATAAAGAAAAAAAGAGAGAAGAATCAAATAGATGCAATAAAAAATGATAAAGGGGATATCACTACCGATCCCACAGAAATACAAACTACCATCAGAGAATACTATAAACACCTCTACGCAAATAAACTAGAAAATTTAGAAGAAATGGATAAATTCCTCGACACATACACTCTCCCAAGACTAAACCAGGAAGAAGTTGAATCTCTGAATAGACCAATAACAGGATCTGAAATTGTGGCAATAATCAATAGCTTACCAACCAAAAAGAGTCCAGGACCAGATGGATTCACAGCCGAATTCTACCAGAGGTACAAGGAGGAACTGGTACCATTCCTTCTGAAACTATTCCAATCAATAGAAAAAGAGGGAATCCTCCCTAACTCATTTTATGAGGCCAGCATCATCCTGATACCAAAGCCAGGCAGAGACACAACCAAAAAAGAGAATTTTAGACCAATATCCTTGATGAACATTGATGCAAAAATCCTCAATAAAATACTGGCAAAACGAATCCAGCAGCACATCAAAAAGCTTATCCACCATGATCAAGTGGGCTTCATCCCTGGGATGCAAGGCTGGTTCAATATATGCAAATCAATAAATGTAATCCAGCATATAAACAGAGCCAAAGACAAAAACCACATGATTATCTCAATAGATGCAGAAAAGGCCTTTGACAAAATTCAACAACCCTTCATGCTAAAAACTCTCAATAAATTAGGTATTGATGGGACGTATTTCAAAATAATAAGAGCTATCTATGACAACCCCACAGCCAATATCATACTGAATGGACAAAAACTGGAAGCATTCCCTTTGAAAACTGGCACAAGACAGGGATGTCCTCTCTCACCACTCCTATTCAACACAGTGTTGGAAGTTCTGGCCAGGGCAATCAGGCAGGAGAAGGAAATAAAGGGTATTCAATTAGGAAAAGAGGAAGTCAAATTGTCCCTCTTTGCAGATGACATGATTGTATATCTAGAAAACCCCATCATCTCAGCCCAAAATCTCCTCAAGCTGATAAGCAACTTCAGCAAAGTCTCAGGATACAAAATCAATGTACAAAAATCACAAGCATTCTTATACACCAACAACAGACAAACAGAGAGCCAAATCATGAGTGAACTCCCATTCACAATTGCTTCAAAGAGAATAAAATACCTAGGAATCCAACTTACAAGGGATGTGAAGGACCTCTTCAAGGAGAACTACAAACCACTGCTCAAGGAAATAAAAGAGGATACAAACAAATGGAAGAACATTCCATGCTCATGGGTAGGAAGAATCAATATCGTGAAAATGGTCATACTGCCCAAGGTAATTTATAGGTTCAATGCCATCCCCATCAAGCTACCAATGACTTTCTTCACAGAATTGGAAAAAACTACTTTAAAGTTCATATGGAACCAAAAAAGAGCCTGCATCGCCAAGTCAATCCTAAGCCAAAAGAACAAAGCTGGAGGCATCACACTACCTGACTTCAAACTATACGACAAGGCTACAGTAACCAAAACAGCACGGTACTGGTACCAAAACAGAGATATAGATCAATGGAACAGAACAGAGCCCTCAGAAATAACGCCACATATCTACAACTATCTGATCTTTGACAAACCTGAGAAAAACAAGCAATGGGGAAAGGATTCCCTATTTAATAAATGGTGCTGGGAAAACTGGCTGGCCATATGTAGAAAGCTGAAACTGGATCCCTTCCTTACACCTTATACAAAAATCAATTCAAGATGGATTAAAGACTTAAATGTTAGACCTAAAACCATAAAAACCCTAGAAGAAAACCTAGGCATTACCATTCAGGACATAGGCATGGGCAAGGACTTCATGTCTAAAACACCAAAAGCAATGGCAACAAAAGCCAAAATTGACAAATGGGATCTAATTAAACTAAAGAGCTTCTGCACAGCAAAAGAAACTACCATCAGAGTGAACAGGTAACCTACAAAATGGGAGAAAATTTTCGCAACCTACTCATCTGACAAAGGGCTAATATCCAGAATCTACAATGAACTCCAACAAATTTACAAGAAAAAAACAAACAGCCCATCAAAAAGTGAGCGAAGGACATGAACAGACACTTCTCAAAAGAAGACATTTATGCAGCCAAAAAACACATGAAAAAATGTTCATCATCACTGGCCATCAGAGAAATGCAAATCAAAACCACAATGAGATATCATCTCACACCAGTTAGAATGGCAATCATTAAAAAGTCAGGAAACAACAGGTGCTGGAGAGGATGTGGAGAAATAGGGACACTTTTACACTGTTGGTGGGACTGTAAACTAGTTCAACCAGTGTGGAAGTCAGTGTGGTGATTCCTCAGGGATCTAGAACTAGAAATACCATTTGACCCAGCCATCCCTTTACTGGGTATATACCCAAAGGACTATAAATCATGCTACTATAAAGACACATGTACACGTATGTTTATTGCGGCATTATTCACAATAGCAAAGACTTGGAACCAACCCAAATGTCCAGCAATGATAGACTGGATTAAGAAAATGTGGCACATATACACCATGGAATACTATGCAGCCATAAAAAATGATGAGTTCATGTCCTTTGTAGGGACATGGATGAAATTGGAAATCATCATTCTCAGTAAACTATCGCAAGAACAAAAAACCAAACACTGCATATTCTCACTCATAGGTGGGAATTGAACAATGAGATCACCTGGACACAGGAAGGGGAACATCACACTCTGGGGACTGTTGTGGGGTGGGGGGAGGGGGGAGGGATAGCATTGGGAGATATACCTAATGCTAGATGATGAGTTAGTGGGTGCAGCGCACCAGCATGGCACATGTATACATACGTAACTAACCTGCACAATGTGCACATGTACCCTAAAACTTAAAGTATAATAATAAAAATAAATAAATAAAAAATAAATAAAAAAAAGAAGTCAACACAGAGAATTTAAAAAAAAAATAAAAGAAGGTTGTATATTCATGAAAAAAGAATAGAAGAATAGAAGGGTATGAAAAGAGGGAAGTCAGAGAATATTCAGAGAAGGATTTCTTGGGAATTAAGCCAAATTTTTAATTTTTAATTGTAGGGTAGGAAAATCAGTTTGGGTAAATCTTCAATAAAGTATTACAGGGGGAACAAAGAAAACCAAGGGGAGGAAATTCTCAAAAATATAACACAAGACATGTTCTCAGAACTGAAAAACATAAATATCTAGAGAAGAGGACCCCCATAATGAATGAAGAAGAGCCACACTAAGGTATCGTCATGAAATTGCAGAACACCAGGGTAAAGAGAATGCTCTTCAGAAGCATATGAATACTAGAAAATAGTGCAGCAAGGCCTTCAAAATTCTGAGGGAAAATTATTTTTAACTTATAATTGTATACTTATTCAAACTATCAGCCAAATGTAAGATTAAATCCATTCAAATATGCAAGAATTTACAAATATTTTGGTCTCTCATATGCTGTTTTCTAGGAAGCTACTGGAGGATGTACTTCAGCAACATGAGGGAGAAAGAGCAAGACATGGATTTCAAAAAGCAGGAACTTCAACACATGAGGACAATGAAGGGAAATCCAGATTGACAGCTATGTAGCAGCCGGGAAAGCAACTAGTCCAACTGGAAGCAAGAGGAAGAACAATGGCTTCAGGAGGAATGTCTCAGGGTAAGAGTTTAAAATGTCGTAGTGCTTAAAATTGTGTTTGACTATTTAAAAAAAAAAATGATACTATATGACCAAAAAATATAGTGAAAAGTACATAGAAATTAGAAAATTTTAAAAGAGACAAGTATTAACTCCAGGGAAAACAAAAAGTTGCATGAGAAAGGAATCTACTTGCTTCTTACAGTCAAAAATATTTTACAAGATCATGATTTCACAAATTTGATTATTGAATTAAACACTAATATATATATATTTTTTCAGAATATGAGAGAGAAGAGGGCAGAGGAGAGCATAAAATATTTAAAACCCCTATTACTGAAATCACTGTTGCATAATTATAACTGAGAAAATTATTACAGTGAAAGAGACCTAACCTAACCAACTTTATCTTGCTTCTAACCTCTAAGCTGCCCTTGTTCATTCCTGGGCATAGGCCGAACTAATTTGGGGAGGAACTTAGCTTATAGTTTAACTTTGAAACAAAAACGATTAACAACCCTTTCCCAAAACAAACTCCCTTCCTACCTGGGGACTAGACTGTCTTTGCAGAACTAACAAATGAGCCACAAGATTAGAAATTATGGTTTAGAAGTCATGCAGCTGAAGGCTGCAAGACTCTGACATCCCAAAATGTTCCTGGGGGATAACATCACTATTGTAAAACCTAAGAACAGTGCTTGAGATATTTTGCAGCCCCTGCACTTGATGGATCAGCTGGCACCACCCAGATCAATAAACTGGCTCATCTGGTCTTATGGTCCCCACCCAGGAACCGGCTCAATACGAGAGGACAGCTTTGACTCCCTGTGATTTCATCTCTGATCAAACCAAGCACCACTCCCAACTCACTGGCCCCTACCCACAAAATTATCCTCAAAAACCCCCATCCCGAGTTTTCAGGAAGACTGATTTGAGTAATAATAAAACTCCAGTCTCCCATACTGCCAGCTTGCGTAAATTAAACTCTTTCTGTATTGCAATTCCCCTGTCAGTCTAGGCGGCAGGCAAGGAAAACCCATTGTGTGGTTACATTACCATTATGATAAAATGGTAAATGTCAAAATTTGATAAATTAAGGTTGGCAGGAGGTGAGAAAGGGTCAGAAACTGATCATTTTATTATAAAACTTTGAGTTCACTTTGGGGGCATTGATGGGTTAATGTATCACCTGGATAAAAATATAACTTAATTTTCTAAAAAGTGACAAAACTGTGAAAATACTACAGTGTGGTGATACAATGGGAGGCAAGAAATGTAGCTTCTCATTCCAGTCCTTCTAACTCCAAAAGATTGTGGCCGTGTCTCTCTACTTCCATGTCTTTATATGAGGTCATGGCTCTAAAAACTTCTCTCAACTTTACACTTTCAAGCTCAAATCTACCCATCTTCTGTGTGGCTATTTCTTGAGATCTCCCTTAACAATGATCCATTAACTAATCATAAAAATACTAAATGAACAGCATCCTCTCCAGGATCTTAAATAGCTAGAAATAAACACATTCTTCTCTGACCCAGAGACATTACATGCAAGAAATAAAGCATTACCAGGTAGTGAAAGGAATGCAGGGCTCTGACAAGATCTTAATTGACTCACTAAGTTATGGAGATTTTAGGCAACAATTTACTCTGTTCTTAAATTTTAAAAGTAGTTGCCATAGCAACTCCTAGACACAGCATATGGTATGTCTGGTACCTCCAAGATAACAGAGCAGATTCTTGATGAATTTCCCTTACAATATGTTGTGAACTTTTGTACTTTTTAGTGTTTCAGTGGGCAATGTTATATGGTGCTAGTATTCACTGATATTATCTATATATTTTAACGCTTATTTTGAAGGATTTACACTTGCAACACACAAAACTTAAATGCTTCTCACATCTCTTAATTTTTTTCTTCATAAAATATTACTACATACTAGTAGAAAAATTAGCAAATGAACAGTAATCTTTAAAGAATAAATATAAATAAGGATGAAATCATATGGAAAATGTCTAGCTCATTTATAGGGAAAGAAAGAAAAATTAAAACTAGATACTATTTCTCCTCTAATCAAACTCCTCTAATAAAATGTTGAAGAGTGGGAGGAATTTAAATTGGTACCGCCATTCCAGTAGTTAATTTGGGACTATAAGTTCAAAGCCTTTAAGACGTCTTGCCATTTGACCTAGTAATTTTGTTACTACAGGTTTTTATCCTAAAGGCATTTATAAAAAAAAAAACAAGGATTTATATGCAAATTTTTATGAAGAATTGTATATAATAGTTAAAAACTACAAATAATCTTAATCTACAGTAAGAGGAAATTTAAAATTAAAAGTTACATAAGCAGTCTCCTCTTATTGGGCATTCAGATTTGATGCAGTTTTTCTATTACAAATTTTACTACTATAAATTAGTATACATTTTATTACAAATTATAGCATTATTATAATTACAGCATATATGCATGTGCTATATGTATGTACTATATATACATATATTAAATTTAAAAACACATTTTTAAAGAATGTTGACAAAATAAACAATTATACTATATTTATAATATACTGCATTTATGCAATCATGGAAAAAGCATGGAAAGGTATATCTCCCCATGAAAAATAAAGTGGCTGTGGTGAACACCAGAAACTGACCTTCGACGAGTCAGGCCCTTGTATAATCCCCTACCCTTGAGTGAAGACAGAACTGATGACTTGCTTCTAACCAATAGAATATGGCAAGGTGATGGATGCAGACTGGAGAGAGAGATTATTATACTGGCTTGAAAATTCAAGCTGTCATGTGGCAAGGAACTGTGGCCTTCCCTGCCAGTGGTCAGTAAGAAAACAGAGCCCTCAGTCACACAGCTGCAGAGAAGTGAATTCTGCCAACAACCTGAATGAGTTTGGAAGCATATTTTTTCCTAGACAAGCCTCCAGATAATAACACAACACAGTCAACACGTTGACTGCAGCCTGGTGCGATCTAGAAGCACAGAATTATTCAGTTATAGTGTCCCAGGAATTCTGACCTGCAGAAACTGTGAAATAATCAACGTGTGCTGTTGTTTTAAGCTGCTAAGTTTGTGTTGATTTATCACACAGCCTAGAAAATGAATACAGTGACTGTCTCTAGAAAGTAGTAATTTGTACAAATTTTCCTTTCTTATTTGTACTTTTCTAAATTTTCTAAAATGTTATAATAAGAATTTCTTTGCTTTTAAAATCAAAAGATGTTATTTTCAACAAATCATCTGGAAGCAAAAAATAAGTATGCTCTGCAATTTTTTAACTGATTTTGAATGTGGCAAAAGAATATTTTTTAAAAGTGTACAATGAAAATATAGCACTAAGATTACCCCAGATTTCTATTTTTTTAAATGATCTTAACAGAAGATTTTATTTAAATCATGTTAACATAGACTGTTTCTGAAATTTTAAGCTTTCTATATTTAATAATGCCTGCTGGGAGGAAAAAAAAAGAAATCATACTTGTAAATTTTTCTTTCCAATTTTGACCATGACTTAAAATGGAAAAAGTTATGTTGATTGTGGCTAAATGTTCTCGTTTTTAGAGGCCATTATGCACTTTAAATTCTCTGTTGGCATTTTAATTTCATTTTACAAAATAAATCCCAACTGACAACAGAATAAAGCAAATTCTAAGTCAACTAAGCGAAAAAGTGTCACCGCAAACAGAAAGAACTTTGCAAACTGATGCAACATTTCATATGGCTCCTGAACCTAAATTTCCAAAGTTTCAACAGGAAATAAAATGTGTGTATGTTGGGGGGAAGTATTGACAACTGAAACCATCTCCACAACTTACTGTCTACAACATGATGTTACTATTCAACTGTCTGCATTAACATAAATTTACTATTGTAGGAAGTTCTTGCCAAGAAAGATTAAAATTGCAATAACCATTTCTTGTTTCAGGAACTTCCCAAAATTTCATTTATCTGACCACTAGACTACTCAACTTACCGTTATTAGAGTAAATACCCATTTCTCAAGATAATCGATAGCTTAAGCTCCTCAAATGACAGTTTACTCTTTAAGATTTGATTTGAAACCCTCACATTCGAAACTATCATATCATGAATCTGCCTAATCTTAAGCATTATAAGATGAATTTTAACTCAAATTCTCAAAACTTCATAAATATGCTACTGTTACTCTTCCTTCTCAGAGATGTCACTAAGATTGTCAAGGTAGTGATCTCTCATACTGCGGTAAACAATAAGCTTGGCTTTGTTTTATCAGCAGGGTATTTTGATGGTATTTTCAGGAAGCTAGCATTCAGCAGTCTTGGAGTTTCCCCCAGTGTATGACCAAGACCTGCTCCCTGCAGTGGCTCTCCACAAAGAACAGAGTGTTCCTCAAAGGCCACTTGAAACTCTTCCTCAGATATCTCCATGACAATAGTAGTGAGGTAAGTCTACTTTAGGTTTGAGCTTCAATTCATTTTATTTTATTTTTTAACCTCCCCACATGATGAGTTTATTTTGACTCCTAAAATACAAAATTCTTTTTTAGGAATTATTTTATTATCTGATAAGATTTACAAAACTTTTATCCTTAGTGAAAACCTGACAATTACTAACAATATTACTATTTAATTCTATCTGCCCTTATTTTTTATCCTTGTTGTGCATCTGTGAGAGGAAGTTCATTGGGAAGAGAACTTCCCAATGATAGGCCGGTGATAAGACCATTGAGCCATTCTGGAAATCGAGATTTTCAAAAGGTTTCTCCTCAGACTGGTGTCTTTTGGGCAAACTCTGTCCTGGGTCAATTATCAAAACATCATGAGACCTTTCCTCTGTCCTGAGTTGTCCCTGAGATTCTGGCTCTGAGAGACATTTCCTCTGTAAATCTTTTCATCCACTGGGAACTACAAATAAGTTGAGTTTGCAGCTGGAGATGGCACAACCATTAGGCTAGAGATCCAATTCACAAAGTGCATGAGCAGACTGTTCCCAGACCCCCATAGCTTAGTCTCTGTCTAAATCTATGTCCCTACCTACCCTGAGCTGGACTCCTCCTTCTCATGTGTATTTATGCCACATCTCAAATTCTTCTGCTTATCTTTCCAAGTAACATAATTTCACAATATAGAATTTATAGTAGCCATGTTGGTGAGCTTAGATATAAACAAAATTATTCATTTGAAGGGTATCATAGAACAAAAAAAAAAAAACAGTACCAGTGGTCTGCATGGTTTTATTGACATGAGGAAGTATGCCAAAGAAATTCAGATGGCAAAATTGCTTTATTAGAGATTCTTTGGCCAAGAGAAAATAAAAACTTGAAAAAATTAAAACTAGCTCTCTTCAAGATACCCCAAATCTTGATTTGAAGTGAATAACCTTTACTATTCTTATCCATCTTATGCTTCTACATTTCCTTCTGTTCCTATAACTCCTCCTGATCTGCCTCCCTTGCTTTCTAGCCACCCAGTAGCACCCAAAGCTAAATTAACTCTTAAAATTAAACATCCTGCAGAACAGAAAAACCCCTAATGGTTGAATATAAGTTCTGGTATCATTTAAGTGTAGCATCACTGTTAAAGAATTCCCAGAGTCTAGATAAGATAGGGAGTGATATGGTTTGGCTCTGTGTCCCCACCCAGATCTCTTCTCGAATTGTAATCCCCAGGTGTGGAGGGAGGGACAAGGTGGGAGGCAATTGGATCATTGGGATGGTTTCCTCCATGCTGTTCTTGGGTTAGTGAGTGAGTTCTCATGAGAGCTGATGGTTTTAAAAGTGTTTGGTAGTTCCCACTTTGCTCTTCTCTTTTGCCTGCCACCACGTAAGATGTACCTTGCTTCCCTTTTGCCTTCTGCCATGATCGTATGTTTCCTGAGGCCTCCCCAGCCATGCAGAACTGTGAGTCAATTAAACCTCTTTTGTTTATAAATTACCCTGTCTCAGGCAGTATCTTTACAGCAGTGTGAAAATGAACTAATACAGATAGAAATTTATAGAAGAATTTAGTATGATTTTAGGAACATAAACTCCAGAGCTCCCAAATCTATAGCAGTTGGTTCACATTTTATGAGAACCTTATATGCAAAAAAACTTATGCAAACAATAAAATGGGAAGACCCTAAGAGTAACTTAAGGACCCTAAATTTCATAGGTAACCCAGTTGTTGATAAAAGCAGTAGATGTTGGAGAAAGTTTTTTTGGAGACTCACCCAAAAGCATTTCGTGTGAAAATACATTTGACTCAAGCCTCCAGTTCCTGAAAGGGTACTGTGCAAAAGTATCCAGCAACTGTGCTATTCAGCAACTTTGGTATACCCTTGTGTAGCAGCAATGAATAAATGGAATTTGAAATAAAAACACAATACTATTTACATTAACATTCCCCCAAAATGAAACAATTAGGTATAAACCTAAAAAAAATGTACAGATCTATATGAGGAAAACTATAAAACTCTGATGAACAAAATCAAAGAACTAAATAAATTGAGAGATAGTCCATGTTCATGGGTAGGAAAACTCAATATTGTCAAGATGTTAGTTCTTCCCAACTTGATCTATAGATTCAAGGCAATCCCAATCAAAATCCCAGCAATTTACGTTGTGGATATAGACACACAGTGATATATAATAGAGAGCCCAGAAATAGACCCACATAAATATAGTCTACTGAGTTTTGACAAAGGAGCAGTAGCAACAAAATAGAGAAAAGACAATTTTCTCAACAAATGATGCTGAAAAAACTGGACAGCCACATGCAAAAAAAATGAATGTTTAGAACAGCTAGATGACCTTGGGTATAGTGATGACTTTTTAGATACAACACCAAAGGCAAGATTCATGAAAGAAAGCATTGATACGTTAATTCATTAAAATTAAAAACTTCTATTCTGCAAAAGACAAGGTCAAGAGAGTGAAAAGACAAGCCACAAGCTAGGAGAAAATATTTGCAAGAGACACATATGATAAAGAATTGTTATCTAAAATGTAAAAAATAACTCTTAAAACTCAACAATAAGAAAATAAATGACCCAATTTTAAAATCAACCAAATACCCAAACAGACATATCACCAAAAAAGATGTATAGGTATCAAGCCAGACACAGTGGCTCACGCCTGTAATCCTAACACTTTGGGAGGCTGAGGGAGGCAGATCACGACATCAAGAGATCGAGACCATCCTGGCCAACATGGTGAAACCCCGTTTCTACTAAAAACACAAAAAAATTAGCTGGGCATTGTGGTGCGTGCCTGTAATCCCAGCTACTCGGGAGGCTGAGGCAGGAGAACAGCTTGAACCAGGGAGTCGGAGGTTGCAGTGAGCTGATATCGCACCACTGCACTCCAGCCTGGGAGACAGAGTGAGACTCCATCTCAAAAAAAAAAAAAAAAGGAAAAAAAAAAGACGTATAGATGTCAAATAAGCATATGAAAAGAGGCTCCACATCATATTTCATTAGGGAAGTGCAAATTAAAGCAACAATGAGATACCACTACACACCTATTAGAATGGCCAATATCTAGGAAACTGACACCACCAAATGCTAGTGGGGATATGGAGCAACAGGAATGCTCATCCATTGCCGGTAGGAATGCAAAATGGTACAGCCTACTTTGGAAGACAGTTTGGCAGTTTCTTATAAAACTAAACATACTCTTACCATACCATGCAGCAATTGCACTCCTTGATATCTGCCCAGAGGAGTTGAAAACTTATGTTCATACAAAACTTACACATGGATCTTTATGGCAGATATATTCATAACTGTCAAAACTTGGAAGCAACCAAGATGTCTTTCAAGTAGATAAATGGGTAAACAAACTGTGGTACATTCAGAAGATAAAATACTATTCAACAATAAAAATAAATGAGGTATCAAACTACAAAAGATATGCAGGAAGCTTCTTACAAAAGACATGCATATTACTAAGTGAAAGAGGTCAATCTGAAAAGACTACATACTGCATGATTCCAATTATACGACATTCTGGAAAAGGCAAAACTATGGCAACAGTAAAACGATCAGTTGCTGCCAGGGCTGGGGCGAAGGGATGAGTAGGTGAAGCACAGAGTCTTTTTAGGGCAGTGAAAATAGTCTGTATGATACTTTAATGATGACTATATGTCACTATACATTTGTCCAAACCCATAGAATGTGAACTCTAAGGTAAAATATGGACTTCGAATGATTATGATGTGACAATGTAGGTTCATCAATTGCAACAAATGTACTCTTTGGTGATGGACGTTGATAATGGGGGAGGCTATGCATATGTGCAGGCAGGAGTATATGGAAAATTGCTGTACTTCCTCTCAATTTTACTGTGAACCTAAAACTGCTCTTTAAAAATAAAATTTAAAAATAAATATGTTGGACTCTAATTCAACCCTGTAAACAAAAAAAACGATGAATCCATTGAAGAGTTCAAAGATAACTCTCAGGATGATCCCCTGGTGGCACCAGAAGTTCTAAAACTAAACTTTATAAAATTTTTATGTTAAATTGCCCAGCATGATTAGGACAAAATTGCCTGCTATACTCAATTAACAGTAGTGGGAAAAATATCAATAAAATTCTGAGTATGCCAGTGATGCATAAGTTATTTGTCACTATCACAATCCTGGTATAGTTCTAAAAAAATAGAACATGCAAGAGCCCAAACCCCTATTCTCTACGGACATCTCCAAATGATTTTCATACAACTTCCTGAAATGGGTTTTGAATATCTTCTGGTCATTCTTTACATATTAGGGATGGATTGAAATAATCCTTACCAGAGAGTTGTGGCTCTTAGGGTAGCAAAAAATTACTTGATTTTGTGTTCCCAACTTGGGGGAATGCTAACATTTATCTCAAGTGACAGGACAGCCTATTTTACTAGGACTCATATTAAATAATTTTGCAAAGCTCTGTTGCTTACTTATAAACTTCACAGTCCATATTACTCCCAATCTTTTAGAAAAGCAGAAAGAATAAATGGAATTCTGCAGTTCAAATTAGGATAGTTCTTAAGACATTTGAGCTTTCATGACCTAAAGTATTTTTATTGGCTTTAATGACAATGAAATCAACTCCTTGAATTCACTGACTCTCTCCTTACAAATTATTGATATATTGTCCCATGAATCTAAAAATATCATCTCTAACGCTATACACTATTGCAAGCAGGCATAACTAAATACTGAAAGAGATTTATGCAATATACTCAATCTCATCATCAACATTTGTGAGCAGCCCTTCTTCAACATTTTCCTAGACAATCCTTGCATAACATAAAACTTAGAGACCTAATTCCTAGAAGAAACATGAGAGAAAGACAGCCCTTAAACTCCAAAGTAAAGACTCCATCATGTTCTAACATAGCAGTAAAACTTCAAAGGACTGATTCTTAGATTCACGTGTCTCAATGAAAAAGGGAATAATCATCCATGAATCACTAAAAGACTCTCCCAACCAGCAATCTCAAGCTAAAGATTCTCAGAAACCCTACAAAAGTAGACAGTCTTCAGGAGATGGCTTTGCCCAAAATCTTTGAACCAAATAAATGTCTACCTGTTATGTCAATAGCCTCCACCCAAAAGCCATTGAACAAGACCAGCGACTGCCCACTTCAATACACATTCTTTGGCTCTATTTTCCTAGTAATTTCTTCTTTTGCTGGTCTTAAGTCTATCTTTATGTTACCTATGAAGCTTTATTCAATGTCGTTTTTTACATTTCTAGTTACTCAGTTCCAATTTATGTATGAACTGGCTAAGCCAAAACCACTCTGACTATTGGATTTGTAGACATTTTCCTTTGGAAGCCACCCAGCTTCCCTTGGTACCAGTTCTTTGTAATAAAGCATTGGTTTAGTGGGTAATTGAACTCAACTAATAATTAAGGAACTTTAGATAGCAAATACCACAACAGGCCAGAAACACAGAAATCTAAAATGCCCTGTTACATTGTATTAGGAAAGGGAGGTTCCTGTCTCCACCAAATACTTGAGGACCTATTGTGATAGCTAGATTTTATCACTAAATTGCACAGATGTAAAATGTTAAAGAAAACTAGGAAACTAAAGCTGTGTATTTGGAAGTAATCTCACTTTTAAAGTAATCTCACTTTTACTCTCAAGTAAGACACACTACAGACTGCACCACAAATTATTTTGCTTTAGATAGGCCTAATGTTTTTGATACACATATTTATTGCATGGCACCAGACCATTCTTGACAAGTGGCCCCAAAATGTTACAATATTATTTAAAGCACCATATGGGTGTTTAGGGCAAAAAACATATTAACTGTGGCCCCCAACAACTGGTATTGGATTTGCTGCATGAAAGTCAATTGACCACTAGTTGCAAATTGGACAGTGCCTAGTTACTTCAATAAACTAATGCCTGACTTCGGGATAGTTCCAGGATCATTTCGAGCCATCAGATTCCCCCTCTCAGGAAAAAGGGATTACAGTCATACTCTATATTCTAGGGAATTGGTTCCAGAAACCCCATGGACACCAAAATCCTCAAATGCTCAAGTGCCTCACATTAAAATTCATACTATTTTTATATGACCTATACACATCCTCTTATATACTTTAAATCATCTCTAGGTTACTTACGATACCTAATACAATGGAAATGCTAAGCAAATAGTTGTTTTTACTTATTGTTTTTAAATTTTATATTATTTTTTATTGTGTTATTTTTATTGTTTTTTTTTTCCAAATATTTTTGATCCACAATTGGTCGTATCCACTGATGTGAAACCTGCAGATACGGAGTGCCAACTATATAAGGTAATTTAAGATTACAGGCATGAGCCATTTTTTTTTTTTTTTGAGACAGAGTCTTGCTCTGTTGCCCAGGCTGGAATGCAGGGGTGTGGTCAACAAGAGGCCCATAGTTCCCAGGGCTTTCCACCATAGGTCTCAACACACTTCTCTCCCCAAACACTGCTGAAACATCACAGAATGACCTTTGGTCCTTCCACAGACAAGGTAGCTCATTCTCCCTCAAAAGAACATGAGTTCAAGGCCAGGCGCAGTGGCTCACACCTGTAATCCCAGCACTTTGGGAGGCTGAGGTGGGCAGATCACTTGAGGTCAGGAGTTCAAGACCAGCCTGGCCAACATCATGAAACCCCCATCTCTACTAAAAATACAAAAAATAGCCCAGCATCATGGTGCATGCCTGTAATTCCAGCTTCTCTGGAGGCTGAGGCAGGAGAATTGCTGGAATCCGGGAGGCAGAGGTTGCAGTGAGCCGAGATCACACCACTGCATTCCAGCCTGGGCAACAGAACAAGACTGTCTCAAAAAGAAATAAAAGAAAAAAAAAGTGGCTCACACCTGTAATCCCAGCACTTTGGGAGGCCAAGGCAGGTGGATCACCTGAGGTCAGGAGTTTGAGACCAGCCTGGCCAGCATGGTGAAACCCTGTCTCTACTAAAAATACAAAAATTAGCCGGGTGTGGTGGCATGCATCTGTAGCCCCAGCTACTCGGGAGGCTGAGGCAGGAGAATTGCTTGAACCCGGCAGAGGTTGCAGTGACCCAAGATCATGCCACTGCACTCCAGCCTGGGTGACAGAGCATGACTCCAACTCAAAAAAAAAAAAAAAGAACATGAACTCAAAGGCCAGATTATCTAGACACCTAAGGAGATCACCTATTATAATAAAAGTCAACAACATGAATGACACACACCAACTGAAGTGAAAATATTGAAGTAGACATGACAAGAATATAAAATAAACAGAATAAATAATACTTAAACAGACAAGGTGACAAATGATATAAAATAGGAACAAGAAGTTTTTTTTTAAAGAGTGGGGCCAATCTCACAAAAGAATACATTAGAGGTTTACAAAAATATCTGACCATCTTTAGCTACTTAAAAATCAGTGGCAGGGGCCAGACACAGTGGTTCACACCTGTAATCCCAGTGCTTTGGGAGGCTGAGGCAGGAGGATCACTTGAAGCCAGGAGTTCAAGACCAGCCTTGGTAACATAGTGAGAACTTGTCTCTACAAAAAACTAAAAAAGAAAAAAAAAAACATTAGCTGGGTATGGTGGCATGCCCGTGTAGACCTAGCTACCTGTGGGGCTGAGGCAGTGGGGATAACTTGAGCCAAAGAGTTCAAGGTTGCAAAGAGCTATGATCACACCACTTCACTCGAGCCTGGGCAACAGAGCAAGATCCTATCTCTAAAAAATCAGTGATATATTGAGGGAGGGATATAACATATTTAAGCATGTTATTTTACTCTTAATCTAGTTATATTCTGGTGGTGTAGATAATCTAGTTGAGAATTAATTTTTTAAAAAACAACTGGAATTGTGGGTCACAGCTAGGACTAGAGATTCTATTTAAATTTTTTGTGTTTCCTATTCCCTGTATATCTTAAAAAAAAAAAAAAGCAAGCAAGCAAAAAGCCTTGCTGGCATGTATCTGAAAAAAAAAACAGAGATATTCCAGAATCAAAAATGTTGTTTTCTGTGTTTTTCTATATTGAAAGCATATTGCTTTAATAATAAAAGAAAACTATTTCCAGAAAATATTCAGGGTTTCTTCTCCTCCCTTGGAAATGAAAGAGACTATTTAGTTGTAACAGTCCATTGATCACAGATTTTTAGCTAAACCTGCTGCTACTAAAAATCAATGCTAAGTGAGCAATAGGTAATATTTCCCCACGCCTGTATTTGATTTCGACAGTTACGTTCATCCATACCAAATTCATACATTGCAATGCACCAGTGTAAGGAAGACTTTGCTTTTTGGCCTTATTTTTGAATTGAACTCACTATGCTCCACTCTGCATAAATGATCTATAGCAAACTGCACAACACCTTTATACATAACTTCCTTTAAAATGCAATTTGAAATGACTGCAATTGTTATAAATGGAAAATGCCAATAGGATTGCCCAAAGAAAATCTAGTGAGATACATAACAAATAAACCAAGAGTATTTATATATTAGAAAAACTGTAGCTCTAATGACTCTGAAATATGGTACACATAAAAACAATTTCTGTTTACAATTCTTCTTTTTAAAGCTTCTGATTCCCATACAAACAATTTGGAAGGTAATAAGCAAAGCAAGATTGAACTCTTAATCTTCCATTTCCCCACTCTCTGTCTGGACCTCTTTTAGGATTCCCTACTTTGTTGACTGACATCAACATCCTTTCAAGCCCACAAGTCATTTGTGATACCTCTCAACCCCCATATCCAATCCACTACCAAGTCCTGTGAATTCATCTGCTGGATATCTCTCAAATCTGTCCATCACTCTCTGTCTCCACCACCATCATTCTGGAGTAAGCCATTATCATGCTGGCCTGGACTACTGCAGTAAACTAACTTGTCTCCTGGAATCCACTGATTCATTCTTCAAGCCATTCTCCAAACTATAGCCAGACAGGACTTTCTTGATTCAAATGTGATATGATCTATATCCCCATACTTTGCTATCAAAAAAAATGAAAATATTTAAGCTAAACACATTAAGAGGTAAATATTTCTTGCCAAGCAAGGAAACATCTGCAAGTGAAAAATTCACAGGTAGTTCATTGAGCAGGGGAAACTCAGAAATGTGTGTGTCAGAAAGGGAGAGTTATGGTGTTTGTGTTAATTAAGCATTGAAAACTAGCACTCTGCATTGGCTAAAGATTGTTCTTTACATAGTTGGTTAAAACAAGTGAGTTCCGTTGTTCATTGGTCATGAAAGAGTCTTCAGTTAGATTCAATAAGGATCTGATATCCTACGGGCCCCCTGGTCACTCAAATTCATGATCCTTTATTAGCTTGACCTGGTGGAATTATCTGTGATGAAACACAGCGGTCAGTTTTAATATTTCTCGTGCAAGTACTACTGTTTGGAAAAAAATTTTCACTTACATTTAAGTGAAATTCCCACTCCCAGTATTGCAGGCTTCCCATTATTCTGCGATCTGATTATTTTTACTTCTCCAGCCCAGTCATGGTCCTCCTTAATTCCTGCCCACACTGACCTTGTCTCAACACTCTTCCTTGAATATTTAGTACTCCTTCCTACTACATGAGTACATACTGTTCCCACCATCCCACTGTTAAGTTGGCATCCCTTCAGCTTAGTTAAATTGGCATTAAGAACTCAACTGTCATATCTTTTTCCCCATCCCTCCAGTGCAGGTAAGACTCTTTCATTACACACCTGCCAATAAAACTTGTGTCTATCCAGGAGGACATTTATCTCAATTTATTTGATTAGTAGGCTTAGTTAATTAATATCTGTCTCCTCCTCTTGACTAAAAGCTACCTGACAACATGGACCGTATTTCCCTTTGCTCACCATTGTATCTTCGGGAACCTCCTAATGTGCCAAATAGAATAGTGCTCAAGGCCGGGCACAGTGGCTCACATCTGTAATCCCAGCACTTTGGGAGGCCGAGGCGGGTGGATTACCTGACGTCAGGAGTTCAAGAACAGCCTGGCCACCATGGTGAAACCCCATCTCTACAAAAATACAAAAATTAGCCAGGCATGATGGCAGGTGCCTAAAATCCCAGCTACTCAGGAGGCTGAGGCAAGGAGAATCACTTGAACCTGGAAGGCGGAGGTTGCAGTGAGCTGAGATTGTGTCACTGCACTCCATCCAGCCTGGGCAACAGAGAGAGACTCTGTCCCAAAAAAAAAAAAAAAAAAAAAGAATAGTGCTCAAAAAATATTTCTTGAACGAATGGTTGAATGAATAGCCTATGTTTACTGATGGGAGTTTGTGACTATAAAATATTTTTTAAAAAGGGAAATTTTATGAAAGTCTTAGTTTGCTCTGTTTTTCATAAAATTTAATTACAAAGGTATGAAGACATGATCTGTAGGTTTGGTAATATAGAAGAAGCAATGGTGAGAAGAAAAAAAAGACACAGAATCTTCCGTTATTTCCTGAAAGCTGTCATTAACTTGAGATTTTGAGAAGTCATTCTTGGACTATCCCATCAGCTATATTACCTGATGCCATCATTTTAAGTCCTCAGGCTCAGGTTATACTTAAATCCATAGTACCCACATAAATTCTTGGTTTCATTACTTTTTGCTGGTTGATTTCACAACTTTAATATTAATTAAATATAGCCATTTTTGTCCATGTGCCTTTTGTTTCTAATAGCTTTAGCTTTTCTTTTTAACATGGTAAGCCTGTTCTCCAAAAAGTTTTATGTAAATATATTTTTATTGATTTAGCAATTATCTGATGCAAATGGACTTAGAAAAAGGATGCCTGAAGAAACGTAAGGCACTAATAGCACTAAAACAATTGTAAAATAATTGAAGCTCCAAATACTGTCTGAGTTTATGGAGTATTTCTTTACAATAAGAATTATGAAATTATAGGAGGAAATTAGATTATGTACTTTATTAAGCTATTATCTTCCAGTACTTAAAATCATTATAGTCAGGCACTTTTTAGAAATTGCATTACTATTATACATGACAGATTAAACACAAGTTTATTTCTACTCCCTCCTGAATGACAGTGAAGAAAGCCTGCAAAGACAAACAGAACAGAACACATCACTAGATACGAATTTGGAAGCTGAAAAGCATATATAGATGGATGATGGTACTGATCTGGCAGGCCAGAGAAAGCATAAACTTGAGTCTGGAGAATGAAGCCAATAGGAGTCAAGCCGGTTCATATGCTCTCAAGCCTGGGAATTAGAAGCACCTTGGAATGGTAGAGGGCAAGGCTATAGACTGAAGAATTTGTTGAAAGAACCTGTAAATAGCAATGAGAGTCCCAGACCCCCTCTTCCAACCAGCAAGTGAGTTCACTTTTCCCACCCTGGCAGAAATTATTCCCTGGCAAGATTAAATCTAAAGAACTCTGGTCTTGGGTCATCAGATACAGCTAAGGGCAGAGGTGCTATAATTAAAACAAAAAATGACTAAAAATCCACATATTGGATGGTAAAGCCCAGAGCTCTCTTCTCTCATATGACTCCCAAAACACTGGCAGCCAAGTTTATATCTTCCCTCAAGAGAAGAAATTGGAAGACCAGCCCAAAAGAAAAATCTATAGTTGCTGGAATTTAAGACACCCTCACAAAAAGGCCAATGCACCCCCTACAATCCTACACCAGTCAGTAAACACCAACTTCAAAAGTTAGATCATCATATCAGCATTTTAGTGCATCATTCTTAAATGTAGAAAACCAAGGAGCATTTGTCAAAATTCTATCATTCTCTCAAGGCCCTCTCAAATGTCACCTTCTCCAAGAGGTTTTTCATGAGTCATCAATTTAGTGTGGCATTAACTATAATCTATCTTGTTGTGTAGTCATTGTAAATATCTTAACATCTGTTAGGCGGGTGGCTCTCTCCTTGACAGCAGGAACATGTTTATATATAACCAGTTACCTTCTGAACAATCACTTGGCTATCATACTTTCCTCAAACATGTCCCAAACTGAACTCATTATCCTGCCTTCCAAACCTGTGTTCTCTGTCTCACCAAATGGCACATCTATCTACCTGGTTGCTCTTGTCAGAAATCTAGCACCTCCTCTATTTCTTCATATACATTCTTTCAACAAGTTCTGCTCATTCTACTTTCTATATGTATCTCAAATACATCTCAGCTCCATTCCCTTGCTGAAAACCCATCAATGGCTTCCCATCCCATTTGAAATAAAATCTGAACTCCTTAAAAAGGCTGATGATGCCTTACACAATCCAACTTCTGCCTTCCTCTCCAGCTTCAAAGCCTCCACACTCTCTCTAGAAATGGAAACTTTGTAAGACTTCTTCCCTCTACTTGGAATATTTTCTTCCTACTCCTCCTCTAACTCCTACTTACTCCATAGGCCTCAGACAAGACTGCCCCACTTTCATCCCCAAAATATATCAGGTATCTATATTATCTTTCTGCTTGGCACTCTGTAGCACCTATGCTTTCCCTTCATAGCATGTATATTCATTTATTAAATGAATACAGTTATTCATTTAATATCTGCCTCATCTATGACCCCACAAACTCTGTGAAAGCAGGATGATGGCAATTTTACTTACTACTATATCCACAGCACAGGACATAGTCTGTAATAGGCATTGAAATATTTGTTGAATAAAGAAGCGAATGACCATGTTTAATTTGCTTGAAAGACCAATGCCTGGTGAGTGCAGGAATTGAAAAAAAAAAATCAGACAGAAGAGACATTATCAAAATGGAATCTTTAATATGTGGAAAACAAAGGAATGAATGAAAGATGGATCTCACGTCTGCTGTGACTGGGAAATGGACAGGGCCACTAAAATAAGTGGAAGAGTTAGAAAGACATGCTGTTTTGATAAGGAGATGATGAATTTGGATTTGGATAAGTTGAGTTATAGAAGCCAATTCCATTTAGGTTAAAAATGCAAGCATGTAATTGGGGATATAGGTCTATACCTCCGAAAAGAGGCTGAGATGAGAGATAAAGCTATTTTGGAGTCATCTTAGTAGTGCCAAATATTTCATCAGCAGCGACTTTCAAGTAAACATATACAGTTAGTGAATCCTGGACTTCCTTTTATAAGATTTCTCACACTTAAAATGACTTATTCAATGCCTGTCTCCTCCCACTCAACTGTAAGTTTCATGAGGACGGTATTGCTCTATCCTTAGGAAGGAAGCCACTACAGTGTAGGAAGTCTGGGAACAGGGTGGTATGGAAAGCCAAGTCTTAGGCTGTTAAGTGAAGAATTACTCCTTTTCTCCACTAGCAGTATTAGCAGCCATGCCAAAGAAATTCCCATTGTATGGTGAGTCACCATTGTTCCCCCAGTGGAATGAACAAATGATTTTAAATCACTCAATTGTCTAGTAGCATAGTTGTAATTAAAATGTGTGTTTCTCAGTTCAATATCCTCTCCCTGGTGTACAGCTATTATACAATGCACACTTCTACTAAATATCTACCTCAATTTACCCCACTGCGAAAAGAGATTATCCCACTATCTCAGGTACTTTTAAGATACAATTTGTTATTTAAAACCCCAGAGAAGTCTAGACTTGGAAAGCGTATACCCAGAGACCCGCTGATATCTTCTCGCTCTACTCTTATACACAGAGATTTGTATCTTGCCAAGTTGGTTAAAATTGATTCTCAAGCTCAAGTTATGGCTATTTGATTATGTTATATAGATGCAACTCAAAGTACTTCATCAGAAGTTTTGAACATCAGGGGCAACAGACAATCCCTATGATTAATCCATCTTCTATCTACAGATAATATGGTAACAATGTGACTTATTTTAAAATAATTTTATTTGATAAAAATATACCAGCACTCTCTCTCTTTGTTAATGTTTTTGCCCCTTGACTTCGATTAAATTCAACAAAACGTGCTTGAAGCATAAAGGCATTTAACAAATATTTCCTAAAATGAACTGAGAAGTACCGTTACAACATTCCCCATTTCTAGAAGATAAAGTAATATGGAACCTACCTTCAAGCAAAAATCCAAGATTCCTACCATTAACATTAATCCAGTCCTGATCTACTTCTCAGTCTGTTTTACTTTTTGTGAACTGTGCTATATTATGAAACCTAAAATCAGTGTTGAGAAAACTAAATTATATGCCTACATTTATACAAATTATATAATTGTTCACATGGTGGATTATTACAGAATATTACCAATTCATTAGTTACAATAAACTTCTTTTCCAAAGAGTTATATAAGAATATAAGACACACATGGAATTGCTTCATTTTCAGCTTTTCCCCCACAGTACAAATCATTTTTCTCTGTATAAGATGTCACTATCTCTCCAGCAGGTTAATCCCAGGAGGTTTAGCAACTGCAATTACTACATTTAAATATTCCACATATCTGTCAAGACTTCAAAGAATTCTGTGGTGTCAGTTTAAATATAAATATATATAATTCTAGTTAATCATCACTTAAGGCAGTTTTGAAAACCACATTACTTACTGCTGCAAATTTCAATGTTATATTGTGTATGTTGTATAGTTTTCTATATTGCAACTCTTTCTATTAATTTATTGGTTAAGAAAATGTCCATACTGATTCTGCCAAGCATAAGTAGTCTCTTTATATAGAAAATACGTAGTTTCTCACTAAGGTAAACTTGTCAAGATCATTTTGTCTAATCATGGAAGAGAAAAGAACACCAGAAAAAAAATCACTTTATGCTTTACATAGGGCTCAAAGTCAGGTTTGAAATCTCATATAAATACAGTATTTCAAGAAAATGCTAGCAAAACATATTACAAGCTTTTCATTTGTTTCCTCTGCTTCTAAAGGAAACCTTTATATTTACCAGTGACTACACTAATGGTCAATAGCTTTCATTCTTCTGTTGCTTTTTAATGTAAGTGTAGATTTTGTGCATTTTGTAAATTCATCTTATAAACAGCTTCTGTGACCCTCAATGAAAATCAAGCATTTTGACGGTGTAGTAACTACAGCTACATAATTTTGCACCAGGATGGGTCATAGGGTTGCTATATTTACCTTTAAGTTAGATTTGTTCATGTGTCTGTATTTATTTATCCTACTTGAATAGCCCTTACAGTGAAGATAAAAGTGTAATTATTATTACAACAATGAAACCTTCAGGGTGCCAGAACCTAATATCCTAGTGCCCAGCAACCATAACTAACACCAGTGAATAGCACTTCAAGGCTTTTAATCTCCATGACAACCTACCTTGCATTCTTCAATAAAATACCACTTTGCATGCATACAAACATATTCTTTATACACAGCCTACTTGTTAATAAATATCACCTGCACCGAACACCAAAAAAAAAAAACCCAAAGCCTTCTTTTTAAATAACTCTAAGTTCTCCCTATAAAACTAATTAATTGAACTCAGAAGGTACTTAATTTATATCTTTACATCCATAGCACACCTACACAACACGCCACCAAAAGACTTTCTGAAAGAGATATTGAAACTGATACCTTCTTCAATTTGAAATGCTATTCTACCCCTAAAGCCTTCGTGGGTATTGTATCAAAAACACTTTGCTGTCATGAGTAGGTCATTTCATTTTAGACCTAGGCATTGCTGATGTTCTGCCATGGGGTGAACTACACTGCTACAGGCTTAAGACTTTGTTTATTCCCTCAACTGTTGAAGACAAGTCTCTCATTTTTAGGGTAAGACTCATAGGTTTGTTGATTGTTCTGGCTCTTGCCTTCTTCTTTGGGACCCAGCTTTTGTTCATTTTGCTCCTTATTAATTCTTA
Organism: Homo sapiens; assembly: GCF_000001405.40. Lineage (NCBI taxonomy): Eukaryota > Metazoa > Chordata > Mammalia > Primates > Hominidae > Homo > Homo sapiens. Next base: position 30,501,028 of record NC_000014.9, read on the forward strand.
CAATCAAGAACAGATCAGAAAGAACTGGGAGAGAAAGCCTGAAACTTTTAGGGGGTGGTTTTTCCCACACACTTTACTTAAAGTTACCAGGGTAGAAGAAAAGGAGTGAAGTAGAAGTAGTATCTAAAGCGAGATTTGAGAGTCTCTGTTGATCTGGTTTATTCATATACCATTTTTCAAAAGGAACGAAACTGGCTTATTGCATAGAACCTTATCATCTTTTAAAATTGTCCATCTCAGGTGGCTTCTGTATAGATCAGGAAGCCATCAGAAGGAGTTCTTGTACATTCAAGAATCTCACAATGCAGGCCATTGAAGAATCTGATCAAGACAGATAACAATTCACTTTTTAGATGATATTTTGCTTTCTTTTGAAAATTATTTATCCTTTTGTGTCTCTGGTTCCTTTTTAAAATGGTTTCTTTACTCTGTTGCCTACTTAAGAGACTAAGGTTCTATTAATTACTATACTGATCACATAAAACTCAATAGAATTTGAAAAGAATATTTTGAATATAACAACCTATCTAAAGAAAACAGCTAAAAGGCCTCTTTCATAAATATGTCAAAAAATAAATTCATATTGTCTAAACTAGCATTTTCTTCCAGATAACAGTTTAGGTGTACAGAAGTGGAATTCTTCTCATTACGCCAATAATGTCCTCAATGCTATAGTCTCACCTTCCTAAAACTAAAATAATGTGGAAGCAAAGCCTAGCCATGACTCCTCCTGTCTAGATAATTTCAAATTAGTTGTACTCATCACACCCATAAGCCACTATTTTGTTTTACCTGCACAGGATGACAAGTCTATTTCGCTGTCTCCTTTTTCATAGTTTCATAGTGGCAGTGTTTTCAGGACTCCGAGGTTCATTCTATTCATTACATCAAACAACCGGTACAAAATCAAAAAAGCAATTATGCAAACACTGTAACGAATTCTAACAAACATTTTATTAAAATAATTCATTGTTCTCTTTGAATTTTACAAAACAACCAATTTAAGTAATTTTTCTTTTTATTGTATGATATAACTGGATTGTTTTTCCTCAATTGACTGGCTATTTTGTCATGTAAAAATAGTTTTCAGTGTATTAATTATCACATGACTACAGCAGACAACAAGGCAAGGGCCTATTTTAGGGTTCTGAGAGCTTAGGCAACCAGGCATACTTTATAAAATCACATGGATCTAATGTTGTTGGGATTTGGGTCAGTCTAACAATGATGGTTTTTCTGTTTATGTGACAGCCCTTCCAACTATGCTTTGACCACTTTGAGGTCAACACTGAGAGCCAACACTGTGTGTCTTCCCAATATTCTCTAATTTCCAAAGCAGTGGCCACCATATTTTTTTAAAATGCATCACAAATGTCTGTTTAATTGAGCCCAGTTGAACCCCAACTAAAATCACTTTTGAGCACAATATTCCAATTAGTTTCTAGCACATTTCTTGCTTGGTATTGGTTAGAAGTCTTTTGCATTTAAAAAATTTAAAACTGGCCCACTTAAGCAATTTCCAATTGCTTTGATTTGGGCATTAAAACAGAATATCAACGTTTCTATTTTTGTGTCTTTAAATATTGCTGTGAATAGTAATAATGCATCCTCAGCAGTAGCCTCATTCCCTGACACTATCATGGTGAGAAAAGCACTATAGTAAGACCCAGTAACTCTGATTGAAAATAACACTTCCCCCACTATTTTTAGGTGAATGTAATTCTTACAAGAAATTTAAAAGAAATTATGAAAATACCATGTAATTTTCCTTCTGCCTTCAGGAAAAATAAAACCAACCCCCCACCCCCAACCCCTGCCTCAAAAAAATTCTGGTCTCTGAAAAGTCACCAAAGAAGAAGACTTTATGTGACTAACTTTGTCACACATTCCAGTGATTCACAGCACTTATATGTAACCCAAATTTCAAATGCAGCTAAAACATAAACTTATCATTTCTTGGTTAGCCCTCGGTAAGGCTAGTAAGATGTCTTCCTATGTAAGGAATAAAATAATTCTCAGGCCCTTTGTGGCCTTGTTTACTGCAAGCCAAAGAATTGAGAGCTGCAATTGTTCTTCCCATCCCAGAATTCGCTTCCGACCAGCCAGCAATTTAATGTTTTCATTTTCCACAAGCTGTTCACCAAGCTCTCAAAGGCTGGGTTTTGCCAAAATTAGTGAGGTATGAAGGCAGCCATGCCCCACCTTCTGTATTTATGTGTTTATAGTTGCTGTTTATAGAATCAACTGACTACTCTTTCAGGTTATGTAGAGATGCTGCTTGCCTGTAGATTGCTGGTAAGCAGATTCTCTAAAATCAAAACCCTGAATTTTAGTGTTGCCAGTTTCCATGGTGCAAATGTTCCCATCTTTGCTGATGTCATAATACCAACATGAGGTCACTGAACAGGAAGTTAGGAAAAGATGCACATCCTCTGCTCTCCTGAACCAATAAGAGCCAGTTCCAAGACACCATAACTGATTGCTATATTTTAGGATTTTTTTCTGATTATAAAGGTAATTGGCATAGAAAATTGGAAATAATTAAAAGTAAAATGAAGTAGAAAACAATACCTAGAATTCTAAAAGCTAGAAATGCCAATGATGTAATTGTTAATGTGGGACACGGTACTACTGCCTACCACAAATAACCCTTATGTGGAATTCTAATAAATCTGGATTTCAGTGTATCTTTCTAGAAACCATAGAAATTTCAATATATGCTCAAACTGAAGCCATTCCTAATGGGAATATCAGAAAAAGAAGAACTTGGAATTCAGAAGGAAAAGTAAAGAAACTGGTTAAGAATTAATAAAGGCTTTAGCAGTGAACTTTTAAGATAGCTAAAGCTGGAAGAAAATAAACTCCGAAGTTCAAACTGTGTTCCTGTATTTGTTAGCTCTCAAGGGAATTGAGGGTGAAGAAGGAGCTAAAGGCAGGAGCTTTGGCAAGATATCATCAAGCCAAATATCAGATAATCTCATATGTTTAACTAAGCTGAGTTAATTAAATAATGATTGCCCAAGATTTTTCCACCTCGAACATCCAAATAACGACAGATGTCTGACACCAAAAACACAACCCTAGAAGTTGGAGTCAACAGTTCAGTTCCAAGTCCTATCACAAAAGTATTAAGCACGGAAATTATCTGCAATATAGCAAAACAAATTTAAAATGATTTTGTAAAAGAATGTAGAAGGAAGGAGACCTTGAAGCATGAGAATGGTAATAAAAATATTATTGCAAATTCAAGATATATAAAGTGATGTGGGTATCTCCTTATTTATGGTGCTATGCTTATTTTTTTAAATAAACTTCAAAAGCATTTACAAAGTATTCTAAAGAGTTATCATTAATTATGATTCACTATCCATAGCTCCAAACTGTTGAGGTTTTCAAAAACTTAAAATTTTTATAGATGAGTATTTCTTTTACGTATTTCCCTCAAAATATACTCTTTCTTTGCACTATGATTTTATTGGTGAGACAATTCATTAATTGTGTGGTATTTCTCTAGATTTTACATAGCCTAATTCAGCCCATCTTTTAAAACAAACATTCTTATTGAAGTAAAACATGGATAAAGTACACAAATCTTAAGTGTCCAGTTCAATTAGTAACAAAGTAAGCACACTGATGTAAACAGTACCCACAGCAAGAAATAAGAACATTATTCAGCACTTTGAAGGTCCCCTTGTATACTTATCCAGCACCTACTGCCCAATCTTCCCTAAAGAAAACCACCATCCTGACAACAAACACCATAGATTAGTTTTGCTTTTTTGAACTTAATATAAATGAAATTATTCAATTGCATTTTTTTATATGTGACTGGGTTTTCATTCAGTATTATTTGTGAGGAGCATCCTTATTGTTGTGCATAGTTATTTATTCATTTTCATTGCTGCATAATGTTTCATTCAACACTATTTCTGACACTTTTAATCTATTATACATTTCGTGCTTATTGTTTGCCTGGTATATACTTTTTACATCCTTTTCTTGCAACTTATTTGGTCCTTTTTAGAAAAAGCAAAAAAATGTATCTCTTGCAGACAGCATACAATTGGGTCTTATTTATTTTAAACAGTCTGACAATCTCTGCTTCTTACAGTATTCAGCATAATAATGATATTCAATGGTATACCTAAATCGAACTATATTTGGTATAATCATATCTTTGGATTTAGATCTACCTCATTTTGCTATGTTTTCCATTTTTCTCATCTATTCTTGTGATTTATGGGTTTTTTTTTTTTCAGTTTGTTTGTTTGTTTTTTGTTTTATTTTTGAGAAAGGGTCTCAGTCTGTCGCTCAGGCTGGAGTGCAGTGGTGTGATCTTGGCCAACCACAGCCTCTGCTTCCTGGGCCCAAGCAATTCTCCCACCTTAGCCTTCCAAGTAGCTGGGAGTTGTGCGTCCCCACACCTGGCTAATTTTTGCATATTTTTGTAGAGATGGGATTTCACCATGTTACCCAAGCTGGTCTCAAACTCCTGGGCTCAAGCAATCCTCCTGCCTCCGCCTCCCAAAGTGCTGGGATTAACAGGCGTGAGTCACCATTCCTGGACTATTCTTGTCATTTCTATTCCTCTGTTCCTCCTATTCTGACCTCTTTGGGGTTAAATATTTTTAATAATTTTATTTTAATTATTCTATTAGCTTTTTAGCTATACCTCTACTCCTAGTGGTTGATCTAGAGATATGCATCTTTAACTTGTCACAGTACATTTAGAGTCAATATTATACCATTTCATTTAAAATATGAGAATCTTGCAACCAAATAGCTCTGTTAACCCTCTCATTCCTTGTGCTATTGTTGTTATTAAAGACCCCAATACAGAAAACAGTACTATAATTTTTGCTTTTAATAATGTCTTTTAAAGAAATTAAGAGAGCCAGGCACAGTGGTGCATGCCTGTAGTCCCAGCTACTTGCAGGCTGAGGTAGGAGAATTGCTTGAACCCAGGAGTTCAAGTCCAGTCTGGGCAACACAGCAAGATCCTGTCTCTATTTAAATGTTTTCTGGAAGAGATAGATTAAGAGAAAATAGAAAAATATATGTAGCCTTTTATATTTACTCAAATATTTATCATTTTTAATGCTCTTTATCTGTTCCTGTATATACAAGTTACAATTGTGTCATTTCTCTTCCATCTAAAGAATTTCCTTTAGTATTTCTATATTACAGTCTTGTGGCAACAAATTCTCTTGGTTTTTGTTTATCTTCAAAGGTCTTTGTTTCATCTTCATTTTTGATGGATAGTTTTTCTTGTTTTAGAATTCTTGACTGACTTTTTTTCTTCTTTCAGTGGTCTAAAAATGTTCCATTGTCAACCGGTCTCAGTGATTTCAGAGGAGTAGGCAGTGGAAGCAGAATGCTTACTGTTATTTCCTTGTTTGTAATATATTGTCTTTCTCTGGCTGCTTTCAAGATTTTCTCTTTCAGATTTATGATTTTGACTATGATGTGCCTAGGTGTGGTGTTCCTTATAATAATTCTCTTTGGAGTTTGTTGTTTCTTGGATCTGTAAGTTTATTTTTTATAAATTTTCAACCATTATGTTTCAGGATGTTTTATCCTTCCCTATTCTATCCCCTCACCTTTGGGAGATCAGTTTACACATATATGAGACCCCTTGATATTGTCCCGTTTGCCTCTGAGACACTATTCATTTTCCTTCATTCTTTTCTTCTTTTTGTCTACTCTTCAGATTAATAACTTGTATTGATCCACCCTCAAGTTTACTGACTGTTGTTTTCTGCCATCTCTAATCTACTTTTAATCTCACCCATTTAATTTTTAAATTTAATTAATGTATTTTTCATTTCTATAATTTTTTGGCTCTTTTTTTAGTTTCTTGTTCTCTGCCAAAATTTTCAGTTAATTTGTTATTTTTCCTTTAAGTTTTTTTAATGCATTTATAATAGCAGCTTTTAAATATTTACGTTTTAATTGTAGCATCTGAATCATCTGGTGACTAGATCTTAATAATTGCATTTTCTCCTATAGATCACATTTTCCCACAAGTTTGCATACCTAGTTTTTTATCGTATTCTAGACATTACAAAAGCTATATTATAGAGACTCTGGAATTTATATTCTTCTTAAGAGCGCTGATTTTTGTCCTAGCAGGTAGTTAACTTGGCTAATCTCACAATCTGAACTCTATTTCTCTAGTAGTGGGCAGCAGCTAAAATTTCTGCCCAATTCTTTCATATTCCAGCTGCTGATTTTCACCAGGACACTGGAGTCTCTTGGGCATATATAGTAGTCAAGTGGGGGTTTGGGTGGAATTTATACACAAATTTTGAAGTTCCCTCCTTCCGCAGCTTCCTCCTTTCCAGGAATTTCCTCCTCAATCCTTCCAGCTTCTCTGCCAATCTAGAACTCACTTCCTCTTTTACCTCAAGCCAGTAAAACTGCAACTTTCTGTTACCCAGAGCCCATGAAGTTTGGTACTATGGGGCCTCAGAAAACAACACTCCAAAATGAAGGCCACAGAAGCAGACTCACAGGCAAAGGTTTTTCTTTGACCCCTCCTACCCTTGTATCTCTCAGTCCCGTTCTTCCCGGAGGCCAGCCACAGAAACTAGAAACCGTATTCCCCAAGACAGTCATAGAAACCAGAAGAACCCCTTCACCCCAAAGCCAACCATAACACCTAAAATATTCTGTGTAAGAACTAGCCATAAAGAAATTAATCTGACCTACGTTGTTTGCCTGTAGGTCATAAGACCCCCTATTCCAAAGAGGGTCCTGCCCCACACCCAAAAGGAAGGAATACTGCTCGGAGAGGCCAAGAATCCAGACAGACAGGCCATGCTGGGCTTCCCCACTCAGTCTATTACTATTATATTTTTGTCCAACCATATTTCTACATGGCTGTTTATAATTTATTGAACCTAAGCATTGAAATGGACAGTTTCCTCTATATCTTTGGGTCTTCATTCTGAAGGCTCCTGTGTATACTCATTAAATACATTTGTATGCCTTTTCTCCAATTAATCTGCCTTTGCCAAGTTGATTTTTCAGTGAACTTTCAGAGGACCAAGCTCTTGGTCCCTACAGGATGTACCCTCAGGCAAAAAGGTGCATACTCACAAATCTCACTGTTGCAATTCCTGTCTTTCAAAGGTAGACTCTCTCTGGTATCTGAGTGTTTTGTTGGTCTCCAGTACTTTCAAATGGGTGGTTAGGGTGTGGAGAGAGGTGTAAATATATCATATATAATAGTTATCTGTGCGAAGGTTATTCTGGTTAAATAACTCTGCCATTTCTGAAAGTCTGAGTAAATACATATTTTCACTTTCTGCTTTTTTCACTTAACATTATATCATCTGGCTTTTTGTGTGTTATTTACTGTGTGATGTTGCTTTATGTGCTCTGATTAGCTGTATTCATTACATCTGTTGTTCATCTGGATTCAGAGCCTTTAATTCTACCTTCACATTTCCTATGTGAAGTCCTAACATTGTTTTGTACTGTCAGTTCAGTCTGTAAAACCTGGCAAAGCAGTTAGAAAATGAAACACCAGTCATTTTACGTCATGAAGCCAAATTGAGTATTTTAATCAATTCAACTTTTAATAATATGATTTGATCCACATAATAGTATATTTCTAATTTACAGTCAACAAAACCATTTCCTTGCTTTTCTCATAGTAAAAAATATTTCATTTCTCTGATTTTAAAAAGTTGATTTTTGTTCTTCCATTATATAACTTTATGGGGAAGTGTTGTTTTTCTCTTTTATTTTTCTCAGCAAATTTTAGCATAAGAGTAATTTGTAGCATTTTGGAGTTATCATGGCAAAAAGTTTACTTTTCTACAGATCACATGAAAGTTTATTTAAGAAAGACTCAGCTAAAGTTTCTTTATTCATTTATTCAGCAGATGTTTCATAAGGGTTTATTGCATGCGAGACAGTATGGGAGGTACAAGGGATATTAGAATAAATAAGACACCATTCAGAGCCTCCAAAGGCTTATAATCTCTAAGGAAAAACAGAGAAGTCATTTAAAATAACAATAAATTTAAATAAGTACTATCAGTGATAAGGATAAGAAGAAGAAATGAAAAAATTCACAGGAAGGAAGTGTTTCCTTCTGCTTGGAGAGATCTAGAGAGTCTACTTAAGTGTCAACAGTTGTGCATAATCTTGAAAAATGACTGTTTGCCAGAAGCAAGAACTTGAGGAAAAATACCACACATCTGGTACACTGCAAGTACTTTGTCATAATAGGATATACTAAGCAAGCAGAGAAATGGCAGAATATGAGACTAGAAAAGCAGGCAGGGGACAAATGAATAACAGCCCTGTGAATTATATTTGGTATAGAAGTATCTGAATTTTATTCTGTGGATGATGAGAAGTTATTGCAAGATTTTAAGTAGGATTAACATAACGAGATTTGAGTCTTTGAAATATTACTCTGACTGCAGAGTGGAGAATGGATTACATCAAAGGCTGATACAGACGGGATTTGGCCCATAAGCCATATTGTTTGCCAACACCTGGAATAGATGATTCCTCCCAAAGCAACGAGATTAGCTAGAAACCTATTGCAATAGTCCAAGTGAGTTATAATGAGAGTTTGAATCAGAGCAGTGAAAATGAATGTGCAGAGGAGGAGAAAATTCTAGAAACATTAAGAAAGACTTGGTGACCAATTGGATTTTGTGGCTACTTGGGGAAGAAATTTAGGAGGACCTTCTTGAACAATACTCCACAAGCATAGGCAACAAAGGAAAAATGGACAAATGGGATCACATCAGGTTGAAAAGCTTTTGTGCAGCAAAGGATACAATCCACAAAGTGAAGAGATAACCCACAGAATGGGAGAAAATATTTGCAAACTCTTCATCTGACAAGGGATTAATAACCGGAATGTATAAGGAGCTCAAACAACTCTATAGGAAAAAGTCTAATAATCTGATCAAAAAATGGCCAAAAAATTGAATAGATATTTCTCCAAAGAAGACATACAAATGGCAAGCAGGCATACGAAAAGGTGCTCAAGATCATTGATCATCAGAGAAATGCAAATCAAAACTACAATGAGATATCATCTCACCCCAGATAAAATGGCTTATGTCCAAAAGATAGGCAATAACAAATGCTGGCGAAGATGTGGAGAAAAGGGAACACCAAACACTGTTGCAGGGAATGTAAATTAATACAGCCACTACAGAGAACAGTTTGGAGATTCCTCAAGAAACTAAAAATTGAGCTATCATATGATCCAGCAATCCCACTGCTGGGTATACACCCAAAAGAAAGGAAATCAATATATCGAAGAAATATCTGCACTCCTATGTTTGTTGCAGCAATGTTTACAATAGCTAGGGTTTGGAAGCAACCTAAGTGTTCATCAACAGATGAATAGATAAAGAAAATACAATACATATACACAATGGAGCACAATTCAGTCATAAAAAAGAATGAGATCCAGACATTTGCAGCAATATGATGGAACTGGAGATCATGATATTAAGTGAAATAAGCCAGGCACAGGAAGACAAACATTGCATGTTCTCACTTATTTGTAGAATCTAAAAATCAAAATGATTGAACTCATGGACATAGAGAGTAGAAGGGTGGTTATTAGAGGCTGGGAAGGGTAGTGGAGGCCTCAGGGGCAGTTAATGGGTTCCAAAAAAAACTAGAAAGAATGAATAAAACCTATTATTTGATAGTGCAATAGGGTGACTATAGTTAATAATAACTTAGTTGTACATTTTAAAATAAGTTAAAGAGTGTAATACGATTGTTTGCAACTCAAAGAATAAATGCTTGAAGGTCATGGATACCCCATTCCCCAAGATGTGCTTATTTCAGGTTGCATACCTGTATCAAAACATCTTATATACCCCATAAATATATACACATAGTATGTATCCATAAACATTTTAAAAAATAAAAACAAAATAAAATAATAAAAATATTTTAAAGAAATTTAAGAGGACGCCAGGTTTGGGTGACTTGAACAATCAGGTTATGATCAATAAGAATGAAAAAAAAAAAAGAGGATCAAGAGATCAGTGATCCAAAAACCTGACCAGGTCACAAATTACAGGTTTGTTAATTGTATTATTACAATACATTAAATATTTTAATCACTATATAATGAACATATTTTCAATAGAAAATTGTATTTGTCCACTTAATCCAAAGAATATGTTTGTTATAGAAAACTGAATTTGCTCACGTAAACTGCAATGAACTAACTCACAAGTCTCATTTAGTTTCCCCTGAGGAACAGAAAATTTCAGATTCCCTTGGTTTAGCTTTTTCCTTGAGGATTTTTGAAATAAAGGCTACTTCTAGCTGCTTCAAACCTGCTACACCCAGTGTAAAAGCACTTTCTTCCACATCCTGGAAGCCCCATTTAAATACAATGCTGAGCCGATGGACCATAAATGCAACCCAATGTGGTAATTCCTAAATTCCTATTTAACACACTTGATCTCCAACATTTTAGTATGAATAACAATTAGATCCTGTGAGACGGGGTGTTTATAGTATAAAAACAGGATGAAACTCAGAAAGAAATAAAGCCCCAGAAAATCATCAGTCTATGTAGCTTAGTTATAGTAGCTGTACTTCATTAAATTCAGGTTCATTTTAGTTCATATACGTTAGTATTCTGCAAAGTTTATTGCCATCTTCTCTAGGCATTCATTTTCTCAGATAGGATAGTTTTGCTTTTTTTCTTTCCAAATCTTACATTAGTCCCTGTCTCTATAATTACTATTCTCTAGATTTATAATTGTTCCACTATGTCTTTCTTGAGTTGCAACAACCAGCTATGCACACAACCTTCCAGGTGTGGATTCACTATACTTCTATTAAAAGGTAGGATTTTATTTCCCCTGTTTTCTATTCTATGCCAGTTATGTGAAGCATTTTTATTGTTTTGGGGGCTCCAAGACAAATTAGATTCTCAAGGAAACTCTATTATTATTAATGTCATCAGCTAATGTCTTAGTCTGTTTTAGCTGCTACAACAAAATCAGAGGCTGGGTGGCTTATATACAACAGAAACTTATTTCCTGCAGTTCTGGAGGCTGGGAAGTCCAAAATCAAGGTGCTGGCAGATTCAGTGTCTCTGAAATGGGCCCATTTCCTGGTTCATAAGTGGTGCCTTCTCACTCATCCTCACAAGGTGGAAAGAGCAAGGCAGCTCTCTGGAGTCTCCTTTATAAGAGCACTAATCCCATTCTTGGGTGAAGAGCACTCATGATTTATTCACCTCCCAAAGGCTCCACTTCCTAATACTATCGCCTTTGGGTTAGGATTTCAACATACGATTTGGGGAGGGGGAGGAAATATGAACATTCAGACCATAGCAGCATACTAAAATTTTTCCTGTCTATATCCTGTTTCAAGTTATTATAAAAAATATAAAAGCAGTCTGCTCCCATATACAAAGGACCAAGCAATAAGACCAAAGCAGCTAAAAACATAAAACTTAAACTAAAAAGAAACTCAGGAACCACTACCCTTATACTTCCCAACCAATTAGTTTCAAATTTGAATTTGTGACCCTAATTATGTATATAAAAGAGACAAAATTGGAAACTAAACATTGTTTTGGCTTGCCAGGTGCCAAGTGAATAATGTTCAAAAAAGGTTTGCCTTGCCTTTTATTAACTACACCTAGGGGAAAAAAACAAAAACAAAAACAAAAACAAACTGTGCACTGATTACTAAGAGCTAGTATGAGTTCTTTGAGAAAGTATGCTGCTAGGAAGTGACTGAATAAGAATTACATGAAACTAATCTGATTTTTAATTTTCTCACCCTGCCCCACCCCCAGCTATATAATTACTGGCCTGGAAAAGTCAAAAAGGTGCTGTAAACTGAGTGTATCTATTTTCGGCCACAGACAAAGAAGATTGAATTAACCACACTCCTCCATTCCTAGCATAAGCCTTGTGTCTTGTTTATTGTTGTTTTATTTATTTTCTCTCATCCCCATACCTCTCTCCCAATCTCCTCAACCCCATAGCACCTATTTTAATTATTTGAATATATATCTTTTGTGTCTGTGTTCTTTCCAAATGGATATTTGTTTGCACATAATTATGCACACACATGCACACACACATATATAAAACTCTGTAACTTTCATTACACAGTATGTCTGTAAGATTCATCCATGTTGCCATGCAGATAGCATACACCTAATATATTACTTTTAGCTGCTGTTAAAGCAGCATCAGATATTTCCCTAAGATATTTGGCAAAATATCTCATGTTATCTTTAAGAATAAGATGGATAGACTGAAACTGTGGCAGCAGAGTACAGGGAAATTCAAAGTTGGAAAACAATATTAAAAGTGTGTTGCTTTGACAGATATCCCAATTATGCAAACTATATGAATGTATTGAATTATTACTTGCATCTCAAAAATATGTATGTCTATTATGTATCAATAAAAAAAGTAAGTGTGTGACTTAATGTAACAATGTCAACCTCTCTAAAGGAAGTTACCAAACCTGTCCTTCGGCCACATTTCAATACTCAATAGCTACACATCATTAATGGTCACCATATTATACAGCATAGATGTAACATTTCCATCATCATGGAAAATCCTACTGAAACACTGTTCTGGAGCTATGCCCAAATTTCCTCATCCACATTGTTACCAGCTAGTCAGGAAAGGAGTTATTGGTAATTCTGGAAGAAATAACTAATAAGATGAATTTAAATGTCAAGATTCAGAAAGATCACAATAGGTGATAATGTTAGCCATACACTGAAAAGCTTAAATTTAATAACAGTAACTATAAACCCCTGCACTTAGATTCAAAGTTCAAAACACAGTTGCTCAAGTATAACATTCAAGGAAAAACCTACCCTGTTAGAAGTTCAAATTTAAAAATCCTAGCGGGTAGAAATGGGGTGGTGCTGTTAGATAATCATAAGCTTACTCTGGGCCAACAGTGTGCCAAAGTGGCTAAATGTAATTCAAACATAGCCTACTAAATGGGAGGACAGTGTGAAATAGTGCCTATGTAGGTCCATCTCTATGCAGAGAATCATGTTCATCTCTGACTGTAATGCTTTGAGAAAGAGCTATCCAAGTGTATTAGTCCATTTTCACGCTACCTGAGACTGGGAAATTTACAAAAGAAAGAGGTTTAAGGGGACTTACAGTTCCACGTGGCTGGGGAGGCTTCACAATCATGGTGGAAGGCAAGGAGGAGCAAGTCACATCTTACATGGATGAGAGCAGGAAAAAGAGAGAGTTGTACAAGGGAACTCCTCTTTTTAAAACCATCAGATCTCGTGAGACTTATTCATTATCATGAGAACAGCAGGGGAAAGATTTGCCTCCATGATTTAATTACCTCACACTTGGTCCCTCCCACAACAGGTAGGAATTCAAGATGAGATTTGGGTGGGGACACAGCCAAACTATATCACCAAGATTATGCCCAGAGATGGGAAATCATGAGGGTAAAGCATGTCATACCAAGTGGAGGTGAGGTCTTTAAATATTTTAAGATCTGTTTAATTAAAATAGAGTGTTGTTACAAATAACAATACTGAGTACAGCCAGGCATGGTGGCTCATGCCTGTAATCCCAGTACTTTGGGAGGCCAAGGTGGGCAGATCACTTGAGGCCAGGACTTCAAAATCAGCCTGGCTAACATGGTGAAATCCTGTCTCTACCAAAAAATACAAAAATTAGCCAGGCGTAGTGCTGCACACCTGTAGTCCAAGTTACTCAGGAGGCTGAGGCATGAGAATCTCTTGAACCCGGGAGGCAGAGGTTGCAGTAAGCTGAGATCATGCCACTGCACTCCAGCCTGGGTGACAGGATGAGACTCTGATTCAAAAAACCAAACAAAGAAACAAAAACAAAAAACAATACTAAGTCCAGGGATTTGAAGTTACAGGAAAGTGGATTTCAGACTCAACAAGGAAGATATTTTTCTAACAAGTAGAACTGCCCCAAAATGAAATGGGTGTCTTATATAGAAAAAAGCCTATAGTCTTTGCACCTGTTCATGCAAACGTTGAATACATTATTTTTCAGAACATTGTTCTTAAGAATAATTATTGTATGGAATGAAGATTGAGACAATCTCTAAACTTTTCCAAGAGATTATAATATAAACATGTATCTATCTAAACCCCAAGTAATCTTGTATAATTTTAGTGATCTGCCTTCAGAAATCTATAGGACCACATTCTTTACCTGAGTTACTATGTTTAACACCTACTTTGGATTCATAGTGGTCAAGCAGCTAGCAGAACACTCTTTAGTTTTGCTGGGTCATTTCTAAAGAAAAGGTAGATATTCGCACCTGTCAATCAGCTTCAGTAAGGAGCCAAAAGTGAAATCAGTTGTCAGTAACCCTTACAAAGCCACCTGGTATTGTTCTCTTGCCTTTCTTTTTTCTGTTTTCTGTTCATTCCCTTATTTTTGTTTCCATACTGCCTTATCTTTCTTTTCCTTTTCAAATTTCACTATACCTCTTTTAGTCTTTCCCTTGTCTTTCTGATTTCTAGACTTTTCTTATTTTTAGCTCCTATTCTTCATCCAAATACATGCCTTTCTGAAGACCCACCACAATTATTTTAAGTTAACTCTCATCAACCAGAGATTTCCCTTTACAGAGAGAATCATTGTTTTCTGTTTTTACCTGAAGCATGCTAGATCAATATAACAGGAACTATACAAAAGAATACTACTTTAATTCATTTTATGAGCAGTATATCAAGAGTAGATACAGGTTTTGTGGTACCTAAATCTTATATAATCTAGAGGTACTATCTTTAATTAAAATAGCAAACACTTAGATATGAAAGCAAGTATCAGTTTGTAATGAGTGCAATCAAAACAAAGCAAATTGAAAAATTCTTAAAGCTGATAAATGCTATAAATATCTTAATACCACAAAAATTACTATTTTGTGAATGAACTGTCTGATACACTTCTGTTATTTTTTCCCATGTTTTTTGTCTATTGTTTGAATCCCTCCTATGGCAATGATTTTGCAATATTCTCCACAGAAAGAATAACAGTACTGCTATAAATTTGTCCCTGACAAATAGGAATATGAGATGAGTCCTATCTCATGCAATTCCTATCAATAAAGAAAAGACTTAGTGGTGCATTTATTATCAACTCTGCTCTATTATCAAGTATATGCCTGACAGGATAGAAATTCTACTTTAACTGGAGTCAGTGAGAATGAAATCCTACAATTTTCCATGTATAATGATTGGAAAAATTTTCCACAGGCTAGCTCTGGTTTAATGCATTTCTAAAGTGTTTTTCTCCTCCGCTACCCACATATTACTGGTGGCAGTTTCATAAGATACATTGATATCATGATAAGACTCTAGCCCTGAAACATTACACTGTAACATGGAGTGAGTTGGCACAGTAGGTAGTAGAAGTATTCCTGACAGCCATCCCTACACCAGAATGGCTAGAAGTGTAACTATACCTGGAGTGGTTGCAGACCGTATAAATGAATCTCCTTACTCTAAGCTCAATGAATTCTCAGGCACTCTTACAAATAAAAATGCACTGGCTTCTAAATTAAGATGTTTGCCCTGATACATTGGGTAATTTCCTGGTTGTTCTAGTCTAGGGTATATTTTGAATATCAAATAACATGTTTAGGATATTTTCCCTTTTGAAAATGACAAAAATCACAGAGACTCTTATCAAAAAGCTTTCCTTTTATTCGTGCTCATGTTACTTGCTGCAATTGTGCATCAGGTGGGAAGTAGAACATGGCATGGGTGCCAAAGGGTGCAGTAGTTAGACTCTTCAAGTGACTCCAACACAAATGAGATCATGCTTGAATCTCCTGATCAAATTTTAAATAACAGATCTGTAGCCAGTTAAAGGCATATGAGAACTATCAACACAAAAGCACGTATCCTCAATCTTCACTGCACGGAAAACCCCCTGGGAGACTTCAGCAATGTCAATGCTTTGACTAGTCTCAAATCAATTAAATCTGAATCTGTGAGCATAGGACCCAGGCACCAGTGTTTGCATTTTGTTTTGTTTGTTTTTAATATTCCTTTTTGTAGCCAGGGTTGAGAACCACCCCCTGGTTTCAGCTTTGAAAACTAGTAAGTCAATGCTGTCAGACGACCCAGTGCCCAGTTTTACTTCAACTGACCCTTGGGGTGACATTTCTCTTGTACAATTGTATAGCACCAAATATTTTTTACTCTCTGGCCCGCCATGACAATCCCAAGCAGAAAAAGAATGCAACAGGTTTAAAGAGAAAGGCCTCTGATTTTGTTGTAGCAGCTAAAACAGACTAAGACATTAGCTGATGACATTAATAATAATAGAGTTTCCTTGAGAATCTAATTTGTCTTGGAGCCCCCAAAACAATAAAAATGCTTCACATAACTGGCATAGAATAGAAAACAGGGGAAATAAAATCCTACCTTTTCTCTATTATTTCAAGAAATTATTGGACACATCAAAGCCCATTATAAACCATGTATGGTCCATTGATGCCACCATTAGAACTTCTGAGGATTTGAATGTGGCAGGAAATTGTACTGCCCCCATGATTTACTGAGAATAGTTTACCAAGAGCAACACACTACTGAGAATCCACCCAACTTCTCAAAGAGCAAACTATTTTCCATTCTGAGGAAGATTTTATTTTTTAACAGTGTTGTGATGGCAGCAAAATTGTGGAAAAACCATTAGTCTCCAATAACTGTTGGTAACAGATTCTACCTACATTCCCCCTTTCCTTTGAAAATCCTGCTATCAGGTAATAATTAGCAATTAGCGAACACTCAACTCTACATGACTAAGAAGAGCATTTCTCAATCTGTGTTCTTGGGAACACTAGTTTCCTGCAATGTTAATATGTGTTATATAAAATGCTGCATATTCTGCCTTCTTTGAGAGTCAACAGACACATTTGAACATTAAAGGCTCTTCGAATTCCACATAAATAAATCTGCTTAACATTACTTAACCAAATGTTTCCCAAATTTATGTAACCATGGAATCCCCACCTCAAACACACATAGACACATATACATTTCTAATATGTGGGGGTTTTAGTGATTTGGGGATTTTGTTTTGGTTTTTAGAAGAACACCTATAAAACTAGTAGTTTTCTGTGAATCATGGTTTGGAAAACAACTTCTCCTGAGGAAATCAAAACCAAAGTTAAACAATAATGCTTCAGGCCTGGAATTTCAAGCTTGTGGGGACAGTAGGCATTCTCATAGCTGCTAAAATCATATCGGGTGGGCAGTTATTTGTCACCATCCAGCATAAAGACCCTTATCAAGCCTATTGCTATGTCATTAATTCTAAAAAAGATATGTCCAGTAATTCAGTCCCTCTGATTTCTCCGGTTTTGGGAATGTCTGCTTCAATGTGGCACACAAGCTATAGCAGATTGGGCTCATTTTGAGCCACAGGCAAAATATTCTAAGTTCAAGTATTTACCGAATTTTACTTGCCAGTTTTCATGGCATGTGTGATATTTTTAGCTGACTAGTGATAGTCTTTAAATCCAACAACAGTACACATTTTATATGAAAAATGCAGGATATTGACAAAAACTGCCTCCGTGACCAAACTTGAATCAGACTCCTTTGAATCCTCTCCTCTGCTAGGCCTCAACCTTTGCACTTCTATGTCCATCTTTGTATCACCCAGTTTCAGCAAAAATGCTGCCAAGTCAGTTTAGTGAGAATCTGTGCCCTCAATATCTGATCACCTGGATATCTGAGCAAATTCCTCATACCCAAACCATCCCCCAAGTGATATCAGATCACTCTGGCCTGCCTTCAGGTCCATTGGTTTAGCCAGAATCCCCCCTTACCTCTGATGCTTCCTCTTAGTAATTTTCCATCCACTGAGCCCTATCCAACTGTAAGTCCCCACTTGTCCGTGCTGTGTTCAGAATTGAGTCCGGTTCTATACTGAGGTCTCTTTTCTCCTACTGCAATCATTCCCAAATAAAATCTGTTCTTACCACTTTACTGTCTAACTCTGTTTTTTCTTTAACAATATGCAAGCTTGCAATAATAAATTTACAGCAAAAATAAACACTTTCATCTGCTTAAGAGGGCCTTATTAAAAGTACTTCGATGTATTGAAAAATTAGACTGACAGCTTTGAAACACAAAGTCCTCTGTTTATCCATAAAACATATATATGATTGCCACCAGCAATTCTAAGCTTCCTTTATGAGTTTACCTCTGTCTGCCCCTCTAAAGAGTGAGAAGAGGGTTCAGATTCCAGGCCCATTCAATTCTTGGCTCCTCTGCAAAGACTGCCAATTAGAGTATTTTGTGATATGGACATCTGTCCACTGGACTGAGACCAGCTCATTTCACAAAGCAGTTGTCAAGTGGTATCAACTTTCTGTGACAACCTGTGTTGGATTCAAACCCGTGCCCTTTGAGGTTACATGGCTTCCTCTTCTATCACTAAATCTTTTAAATGCCCAGAAGTTAGACACACTAATTTTCAAAACTAGCTAATTATAAAATCATAAAGTCATCTTTATTTCCCTTAATTCATGGAAATTTTTCTGATGCTTGCATTTATTGTCAAAAAATGATCCTCTATGTACACTTTTATTCTTGGAAATCTGGGCATTTTTCCAGTCACTTTGAAAGAAACGTATGTATTTAACATTATTTAAATGGGTGCTTTTTGGGCACCTACTACCTATTAGGCAGTGTGGAAATGCTACCAGTTTCCATTATTTTTTTTCTGAATTTATCTGCTGAATAGCTGAACAATTTTTCTCTCCACTATACCTAGTTTTTCTTTTTCTTTTTCTGTTTTTAAACTCAGTACAGTACAAGGTAAGAAGAGCAAAAAGTTTTATAAGGGGAAAGGTAATGTTTGAAGTTACATTAGTTTGAATGTAGTTTAGTTTCTCAACTATATATAATTACTTTGAAGGGGAAAAATCATAAAAATAGCTTTATTGTTACATTTTTGCCAGTGGGTGTGTGAAGTAATTTAACTTACAGGTAATGATTATGTAATTGTATTGATACAGGGCATACAGCCTACCAAGCTTAGTGAATCATCCAGACTGACAAGAGGAGGTGTAAAAATTCTGCCTGCTTCTTTTCTGTCTCACATCCCTGCCTTTACAAAGGAGAGAAGTCTTTCTCACAAGTTGGGGAGGGTGGTGGTAAGTGAGGCATCAAAGCTCCAAGATCACGGATATAAATGCATCAAGACAATGTGTCAATTCCTTGTGGTATAATTTTAAAAATTAATTGGATGGTGGTGAAGCTACCCAGCCCAAATGATGACTGTGCCATAAGAGATACAATGCAAATGGCTGACAGCAGCTACTTACCATTCAGAAATGAAGCTCTAAACTTTCACAAAGCTCCATTAAGATACAAATTAATTTCACTGAACTGTTCCATGTTGTTTGTCCCTGTTTTACCTCTGTAGGATACATTTGTTGCATAAACCCAACCATTTATTTGGACAGGAAGAAACAACACAAAATATAAAGGTCTAGTTATAGCATGGTATGCTGAGGTAATTAAAATTTCTATTTTTGCAGCCAATGACCTCTGTAGCCATAGCTGATTAAAAGTACAAAAATTTTAGATCTGGAGAATATTTGTGCCAAGGACAATGCTTGACCAAATATAATTAACTGAATTTAGATAAATTCTCAATCTGGCTTTCTTTAACTTGAATAGAAAAATCACACACTTCGTTGAACATGAATGGATTTGAAAATGAACATTTGGATTATATGCGAGGATAT